>NW_011332699.1:0-356766 GCF_000001405.40 Homo sapiens
GAATTCATTCCGACTAAAACGGGTCAGCAAACCAGTTCCAGGTTCTCATCTGTAAAGATCTACTTCTAGAGGTGTCCACCTGGAGCCTGGTGAACATTGGACATCAAACACCAGGTTGACACTATTTCTTCATCTTCAACAAAAACCACACAAACAAGCTTTGGAGAAAGAACTCCCTCCTCTCAATAGATGGTGCTGGGATAAAACGGCTAGCCAGTTGCAGAAGAAAAACAGTGGGCCCCTGTGTCTCACCATGTACAGAAATTAACGCAAGATGAATGAAAGCTGTAAATGCAAGACCTCAAACTATTAAAAGCCTGCAAGGGAACCTAGGAAACACACTTCCTGACAGAGGATTTGGCACAGCATGGATATGCCTAAGTCCCCAAAAGCAAGTGCAACTAAAACAATTATTGACAAGTGGGACCTAATATATAAAAGAGCTGCTGAACAGCAGAAGAAATTACCAACAGAGTAAACAGAAAGCCTACACAATGGGAGAAAATGTCCCCACATATGCATCTCATGAAGTCTGATTTCCAGGATCTACCTCAAAAATGTTAAGCAAATAAATCAGCAAAACAAAAACTCAGTGAAGAAAGGGCAAAGGGCATGAAAACACACATCTCAAAGGAAGGTTTATAGCAACCAACGGACAGGACATTTCTCTACCTCAGTAATCATCAGAGAAATGCAAAGCAAAAGGCCCATGAGATAGTATTTCACACTGGTCGGAATGACAATTATGACACAGTCCACAAGAATGAATGCCAGCGAGGCAGAGGAGGAGAGGATGCTGGTCTGCTGTTGGTAGAAATGCAAACTAGTTCAGACACCATGGAAAACGATGTGGGGATTTCTCAAATAACTTTCTCGACATCACCAATCCTCACAAAAATGTCCACAAAAACCACACTAAGAGTCCATCTCATTCCACTCAGAATGAATACTACCAAAGACAAACAAAACACAAATTTTTAAAGGTGACAGCCAGTGTAGACTTACAGAAGAGAAACCTCTTAAATGCTATTGGTGGGGATGTAAATTAGTATACACACTATGAAAAACAGCTAGAGGTTCCTGAAAAAATTCACAGTACAACTACCATGTCAGCTAGAAGCCCCATCACTGGTTCCACAATTAAAGCACTTGAAATCCCTAGGTTGAAGAGAGTTACCTGCCTTCCCATGGGTACTAAAGCACCCCTAACTGTGGCCAAGGTACAAAACCAACCTACCTGTCCGTACACAGCTTCAGGGATGAAGAAACTGCCATACAGATACACCACGGAATATGTTTCAGCCATAAAGCTTTGGGAAATCCTGCCATCTGCAGCCACATGAAGAAACCTGGAGAACATCAGGTCCAACAAATGAGCCTGGCAGAGAAAGTCCCATGCCACGTGATCTCAGACATGTAGACTGAAAAAAGCTTTATCTCCTAGAAGTAGAAAGTTCAATAGGGATTACCAGAGGCTGCTGGGGAGGTGGAGAGGGTCGGGGAAGGAATCAGTAATGGGTACAAAGTTACTCTTAGATGACAGTAATCAATTCTGGTCTTCTATTCTACAGCAGGGTGACTAGCCTTAATACAAATGTATCATATATTTCAAAGTAGCTAGAAGGAAAGATTCTGAATGTTGTTACCACTCAAAAAGTAGTAACTATGAGGTGAAGAGATGCTAAATAACTTGATTTTTTCATTACTCAACATATACATGTATCGAAATCTTCCTTGTACCCTCTACTTATATACACTTAGTGTATGGCAAATAGTGTTTTAAGAAATACAAAGAAACAATGCCAAAATTTATGTGGAAATACGAAACACCCTGAATTTCTAAAGCAATCCTGAGAAATACAAACCATATGGGCTGCATCACATTCCCTGAGTTCTAATTAAACGAAAATCCCTAGTTAACCAATCCATATGTTACTGGCATACACAGAGAAACACAGACCAGTGAGCAAAATGAGAGCGCTCAATAATAAACACAAATTTACACAGAGTGAACACATTTTTCAAAACACCACCAAAACAACACAATGGGGAAGGTTTCCAAAACTAGATATCCATATGCAAAAGAATAATACAGGACTCTTGTGGTACTAAATAATACAGGACTCTTGTGGTACCAAAAAAAACACTTTAACTCAAAAGGATTAAAGATTATTCACAAAACTTGCAACCATAAAGCTCTTATAAACACAACCTCGAGTGTGTGTATATTTAGGGAAGCTTGGATGTATGCTCACGGTTTGCAAAAAGTGTGGTACTAAATAATACAAATAGTGTGTACTAAATAATAAAAAATATTTTTATTTTGTATTATTTTGTATTTATACTAAATAATACAAAATATATTTAGTGTACTAAATAATACAAAAAGTGTGGTACTAAATAATACAGAAATAATTCACAAAACTTGCAACCATAAAGCTCTTATAAACACAACCTCGAGTGTGTGTATATTTAGGGAAACTTGGATGTATGCTCACAGTTTGCAAAAAGTAACAAAAATACAAGGGAAAAATCACTGACAATGGACTGCTTTGGCACTGATTTTGTTTTTTCTTGATTAGTAAACAATAGCACACTAACCAAGAAATTATACACATGTGGGACCTCATCAAACTGAAGAATTTGTGCCCAAAAAAGGAAAGAACGAACAAAATGAAAAGGCATACTAAAACTTATAAGAAAAGTTTGGGCAAACATACAGTGGATAACAGGTTACTTTTGAAAAGGCACAAGCCAGTAACACTAACAGCTGGCAAAAAAACAAAACAACAGAGAAATAACCAGACCAAAATTGGGCAAATAACCTGAGTAGATATTTGTGCAAAGAAGACAGAAAACAGATTCAACATTTATAAAAACGTGGTTAACATTACTACTCATGAGAAAAATGTAGATCAAAACCACTCTCAGATCTTATCTCACTCCAACTAGAATGAACATCACAAAAAGATTAAAATATTTAAAAAGAAAATTCCTAGTATGAATTTCCAGAAAGGGGGACTGTTTGTGGAAATGTAAATTGGTATTAACACTATAAAAAACAGTTGGGGGTCCTGCAAACAATAGAAAAAAAAAAAGGAAATACCATACCATCTAGCAGTCCCACTACTGGCTATACATTCAACCTACCTGTTCACCCACAGATAAAGAGATCAAGAAACTCTCATATACATACACTAGGGAATATTCTTCGGCTATCAGAATAATCAAACAGTGTCATTTAGAGCAACCCAGATGAACCTGGAAAACATTATGTTAAATGTGATGAGCTAGGCCTAGAAAGACAAACACTGCATGATACCACTCATGTGAAATCTTAAGATGTTTATCTTAAAGAAGTAGAAAGCACAATATTGGTTACCAGAGTCCGGGAGACAGAAGGGGAATGGAGAAGGATTGGTTATGGAAACAAAGTTATCTTAACATTAAAAGAATAAATCTGAGTGTTCTCCTCAGCCTGGTGACTGGACTTAACCGTATTACATTTTTCTAAAGAGCAAGGAGAATTTTGAATGTTCTCTTTACACAAAAATAATACCTGTATGAGGGAATAGAGATCCTAAGTACCCTGATTTGATCATTACCCAATATATATGTATAAAAATGTACCCCTAATTATGGCCCTTTATGTTGTAAAAAAATTAACAGAAATAAATACATAGTGCTAAAAATCACAGGGAACCACAAAAGCAATGAATATCTAAAGGAATCTTGAGAAATACAATCAAAGTGAGAACCCATAATCCTTGATATCAAATTAAATTGCCAAGTTGTAGTTATGCAGTAGATATATGGTACTTGCATAAAAAGAAATACCTAGAACTATGGACAAAAACAGGGAGGACAAAAACAACACAAATATGGACACAGTCAACTGACTTTGATAAAGAACACCACAACGTGGAAGGCAGAGTCTGATCAATGAATAGCTTTGAGAAAAATGATATCCGGATGCAAAAGCGAGAAACAGGACCCTTATTTTACACGATGTATGAAAATCAACCGCCCCCCCCATCAACTGAAGGCCAAAACAAAATACCATAAACCACAAAATGTTTTTTAAAAAATTACTGTGTTTACTTAAGTAAAACACAGGTTGAGCATATATTTTGGGTCACTTGAATCTCTGTTAACCTTTGCAAAGAGGAAAAGAAACAAACACCCTGGAAGAAAAACCTCACTGACAATTAAATGCTTTGTTACTGATGCATATTTTCTAATATGGGTGACCATTATGACACGCATAAAACGCAAAAAAAAAAAAATATGGGACTACATCAACGTGAAAAGTTTCTGCATAGCAAAGAAAACTACTTTCCAAATAAAAAAGCATCCCATAGATTATGCAAAAATTTCAGGCAATCATGTAATTCACGAGGAGTTGTCAACTAACGTGTACACAAAAAAGAGTACAAAGTAGAAAAAGAATCCAATCTAATATTTCGCAAATAACCTGAAGAGACAATTCTGCACAGATATAAAATCGAACAACAGATAAGAGATAAGGTCCTCAAAATTAACTATTCATTAGAATACTGTAATTCAAAACCACACGCAGATAGTCTCACACTTATTGAATATTCCTAGAAAATTTTTTTAAAAATAGGAGGGTCTGGGAGCCGTGGCTCACGTCTGTAATCCCAGCACTTTGGGAAGCCAAGGCGGGTGGATCACCTGAGGTCACGAGTTTCAGACCAGCCTGACAAATATCGTGAAACCCCGTCTCTACTAAAAATAAAAATACAAAAATTACCCGGGCGTGGTGGCGGGCGCCTGTAGTCCCAGCTACACAGGAGAATTGCTTGAAACCGGGAGGTAGAGGTTGCAGTGAGCCGAGATGGCGCCACTGCCCTCCAGCCTTGGAGACAGAGCGAGACTCCGTCTCAAAATAACAAAAACAAAAACAAATTGGAATGGGGGTTTGGTTTTGGAGAAACGGGAACTCATACACTGTAGGTGGAAATGAAAATTAGGGTACACACCATGGAAAACAGTTAAATAGCTGGAAACTCCTCAAAGAATTGAAACTACAGATGTCCCCTGCTCTAGCGAGGTCTCTTTCTAAAGGTCCTGAGGCATAAAAAATAACCCTAGACCCCAGCTCAGAGGCCCGTGGGGCTCGGAGGGACCCAGTCCAGCGCTTCACCGCCGGCTCTGGGCCAGGGCGCTCCTATAGGCTGGACGTGGGTCGGACAGGGGCATAGCCTTCCCGGCGGGGGTGTGGACGCTGCCGAGGCCCGGATCCCACAACCGCCCCAACGCTGACGACTCGGGCCCAGATGCCCACTTAGAAGTCAGGGCCCGAAAGCAGGGAGCGGCCGGGAAGGAGTAGGGAGACCCAGAGGGTTCCAGGTGGGGTTCATCCCCCTCCACTTACCGCCGAGGCCTGCCACCTCCTCCACCAACAAACGGAAGCCACCACATCTTCTCCGAGACTCGCTCTGACCACGCCGCCGATGCTGCCCGGGCCTCGCACGAAGCGCAGTCTCGGCTTCCGTCGGGGCCTGCATGCTGGCAGCGTCCCTGGCGCCAGGCTGAAGCACCACCCCCTCTTAAAGGGGCCGCGGCTGGGACTGGGCAGAAGCAGCTTCGGGTTGCACAGGCTGAGCGTCTGCCCAGCCCCAGGGGTGGACGAAAGGCCCCCAGTCTCTCATCCTCCCGGGCTCTAGGGCCCTAGAGGTCGCAGAAGCCCCTCCTGTGACCCCAGCCCCTAAATCGGCTCCCTTTGCCTGAGGAGCGCCCGGGACCTGCCCCTGCCCTCCTCGGGACCTCAGCTTCACCATCCTCAAAGAAAGCGGCCTGGCTGGAGCTCTGGGGTCCCTCAAGCTCGGCGCCTCAGGATCCAGGGTGGGCTCCCCTGCCCCTCTGCAGAGGGGGCCCAATAGCCACGGAAAGCTGGGGGCTGGAGGGACAGTCCCGAGGGCAGCAGGGCGTCCTTGGCCTCACCGTCTACATTCGTCCTGTGGGAGCCCGGGGGCGTCGCTAGGGCCCAGACTCCTGCGGCCTCACCAGGGCTGCCTGGGTCACCGGGCTCCCCAGGAGGCAGGCAGGGACCCTGGGGTCCAGCGCTGCCCCCACCTCAACTCCATTCAGCGTCAGCATCCGCGAGGGGATCCTGCGGACTGGACCCAGACCCACTCCTTCCCGGGGAGCGGGACCCGCATCGGTCTCTGTGACACCCAAGGGAGGGGCCGTGCTGACCTCTCCCGGGGATCTGGGGGCGAGGTGGGGGAATCTCGGCCACCTCTTGAAGCTCGCTGAGCCCCCCACCCCAGAGAGCGCTCAGGAGCAAAGGAAAGGACGGAGAGCCCACACATTTTCTATCTTTCATTTCCGTTTTTTCTTTTTTCCCCCCTCCAAAATGAAAGACGTGTGTAGCTTTGTCCCCTGTACACCATCCATTCCCCAGGGCCGCTGTGCGGATCCAGCCCGCTGGTTGCCTCTAGAGTCCTGGGCGCCCGGCGGTCCGCATGCAGCCCGGGGCCTGCCCAGGTGAGGTCTGCGGCCGCCACAGCGCTGAGGTCCCGCTTGGCCGGGGCGCACGGGCCGCTGGGGATGCTGGCTGCGAGGCTCCGGGGAGGTGGAGCGGGAGGTTGTCCCAGGCCCTGGCTGCAGAGCTCTTGATGTCACGCCTGACACCCTCCATCCACCGCCTCGGGGCAGCGCTTCAGAGCCCCGGCAGAGGCAAGAAGTCGATCACTTCGTTCTTCATTCGTTGGAAAAATGGAAAAGCACATTATAATCCCTGGAACAACCACTTCAGAGAAAGAGCAAAAAATTAAAATAGGATTGTAAATGACACACTGAAATAAGTTGATTTTAAAAATGGTAGTCAATGGAAAAACAGGATCAGAAGACAGGAGAGACAGGGAAAACAAATAAGTTATCTGACTGAAACAGAATTAGAAACTAACAACAGTAAGAAATATTGGACATCTGAAAATATGTGAAAATTTAACAACCCACCTCTAAATCATTGGATCAAAAAAAATCACAAGATAAATTGGAAAATATTTTGAGCTGCACTCCAGTTTGGGTAACAGACTGAGACCTTGTTTCTAAGAAAACAAAACAAACTTCAAAAAGCTATAAAATTAAATGCCAACTTTCCCCTTTACCCAAACTATCCGTGGCTCTCCTTTGCCCTCAGAGTCAAGCCCATGCTTCTCACTGTGGGCTCCAGGACCTAGGTGGCCTGACCAATGCACACCCTATCACGATCTCCTCCTCTGCCCACTTGCTCACGCTGTCCAATCACACACACTCTTTATTTTTGCAAATGCCAAGCTCCTGATCACCGCTGGGCCTTTGCCACTGCAGTTCCGCCTGCCAGGACCAGTCTTTCCCTAGACCTTCCCATTCCTGCCTCTTCCTGGCTTGGCTGCCTCTTTCTGGTGCTTCAGGTCTCAGATCAAATGTCACCTCTTCAGAGAGGACTTCATTGAAATCTCTGCCTAACACAGCCCGTATCAAGGTCAACACTTTTCTCTTTTTAGACTTAGGTTTTGATATAAAGAAGTTTCATAAAAATGACTTGGGCAGCTATCATCTGTTTAAAAGGTCTGACTTTGTTGAAATAATTTGGGCTTTCCTGTTCTTTGAGTTTTGATAAAACAACTGTAAAACCATCTGCCTTTTTAAAAAAAATTGAGATTGATGTATACTTTCTGTTATTACTATTTTTTTACATTCTGTCTCCCAGGCTGGAACACAGTTGCTCGTAGCTCATTGCAGCCTCAAATTACCTTGCCTTTGTAACAGTAGGTCCTCAGTCACCTTTCTCATCTACAGATGTTGGTTTACTTAAGCTTTCTAATTACTTGGAGGTCAGCTTAGCTCAGTGGTTAGCACAAGTTGCTAATAAATGCTCGAGTATGAGGGTGCAAAGAAAGGGGTAGGGAGGTGCAAGACCCTTGGCTTCAAATGCCCAGTCCCCTACTCATCTGCTCAGGCCCCTGTCTAGCCTCTGTATCTAAGCCAAACTACATGCCTCCTCCCCTGAGAAGCCCTCTTGGATTTCTCCTGTCCCGTCTTCCCTGCTCTATCCTCGGGTGAGTGGATCCATCCATCTGTCTCTGTGCTGGGCAGATGCCACTGCTCTCTGCTTTCTGGCTGGACGAGGCAAGGGGGAAGTTGTGTGTGTAGAAGTCCCCCTAAACCTTGGCCTTTGCCTCATGCCTGGCACATTCAACCTTTGCTGACACCTCCACAGAAATACCAACCTCACCAACATCTGCAGAATGGGCCACCAGGGTCTGTCTGGAGCTTGGGTGGGATTTTCACTTGACTACAAATACACACACATACACCCTAGGCTTCCAGGTCTGCATTCTTGGCTGACTCTTCACACTTGAGTCCAAGACAGGTCAATGGTTAGTGGCTGGATTTGCAAGCATGTGTGTTTTTGGGCAGGATATCAGCTGGGGCAGTCTGAGAGGAAGTTGTCAAGGGAAGCTAAAGAGGAGGGAGTCAGTCACGTCTCTCTTCACCTGTTGCACTCTCTAAATTTTACTGTCCACTCCTAGGCCTGATCTAGAGGGCTGTCTAGTCTAGGGGAGACAAAGTTGGATGTATCTACTGCCAGCCCCATGGGGTCAGAACTACAGGGGAAGGATGGGGACTGTGGGATTCCAGAGGAACAACAGGGAGGGCTTCTTGGAGGAATGCTTTTTCTTGAGCTGAGTTTTTTTTTCTCTGTAGCTCAGTCTGAAATGCAGTGGCACAATCACTGCTCACTGCAGCCTTGACCTTCCATGCTCAATTGATCCTCCTACTTCAGGGTGGGACTACAGGCACATGCCACCACACACAGCTAATTTTTGTATTTTTTGTAGAGATGGGGTTACATCAGGTTGTTCAGGCTGGTCTCAAACTCCTGGGTTCAAGCAATCCTCCTGTCTTGGCCTCTCAGAGTGCTGGAATTGCAGGCATGAACCACCTCATCTGACCTGAGCTGAGTTCTGAAGTGTGAATAGGAGTTGGCTAGGTGAAGAAGGGAAAAAAGGACCTTCTAGACAGAAATATTTGTCAAAGATAGAGAGAAGTAGGCAGGAGCTGATTAGGGCAAGGTGTTTGAATGTCAGGCTGGATGCAGAAATTTTCTCACAAGGCCAATGTGGAACCATGGAGAATGTGTGAGCAAGGGAGGCCATGATTAGAGCTTGATCTCTCAGGGGCAGAGTGGGGGACAGCTTGGTTCTTCGGTGATGGGATCAGGAGAGTTCCGGTGTCATGGGGGATCAGGAGAGTTAAGCCCTGCATCAACTCATCTGCACCTGTCACCTCGCACCAGAGTTGGTGGGGGACCTCCTGATGTTCTGGAGGGCCAAATAAGCCGTGGGATCCAGTGACTTACAGTGTGAGGTACAGACCAGCACAGAGAGGGTACCGCCCCAGGCTCTGCTCAGATGGACACAGCCCTGACCTCATCTCCAACCTCCTGCCATCTCCACCCCAGCCCTGATAGTCCTGCTTTCCATGGTAGCCATGAGCTGCATGTTAAAATGATAAATCAGCCCCATCCCTTCTCTCCTCAAAACCCTCTCATAGCTCGTCTTTGCTCTTAGACTAAAACCCAGAGCCTCCTGCAGCTCAGAAGGCCCAGTGTGGCCCAGCCTCTGTGGCCTCTTGCCCTCCCCACCCACTCCAACCTCACTGCTGTTTCTCTCCCCCTTGGGATCCTTGTACCTGCTGTTTCTTCTGCATGGAATTCACTTCCTGTCTCAGCTCTAGGACATCAGTCCAGAAAGGCCCCCAACTTCCTGCCTCTCGGGGTTTCCCTGTCACGTGACCTCTGCACTAGCCATAGTGTCCCTATAACTAAAATTGAGACAGATTGAGAAAGGGCTTAGTTGAGCCTTCTATGCTCAAGAGACTCAGGCCCAAGATCAGCCCCAGTCCCTGCTCTCATGAGACCACATGCATAGGGGTCATTTGGGGGATTATCTTGGCACTGGGTCCTGTGGGTTGGTGTCACCTCCAGCCTCCAGGGACTCATCCTAGCCATGGGAATGTGTCCAATTCCTGCCCAGGATTAAAATTAGCCCTGGAGATTACATTTAGTAAGTCAAGCTGGAGGTCAGGGGCTGGAGCCCACAGCCTGGGCTCTGCAGAGCTGTGGCGGCTCAGAAACTCAGCCCAGAGAACATGGAGGTATGCTTAGGGTCACACAGTGGGCCACAAGTGCCACCTGAGATGTCAGATACTTGTGGGCCTGGGACACCTGGATGATGAAGGGTCCAGCATGGGCTGGAGCAGTGCCAGGGATTGGGGTTCTGAGAAGCATCTGTGGCCACTCCCAGAGAATGACCTGAATTTCCTGAGAGTTTGTTGCCAGGCCTTGTGGTGGGAGCTTGGCATTTCATGCCTGCCATAGAGGTCTGTTACCTGTCCCATTCACAGAACAGCACATAGAGGCCTAGAAATCAGCCTCCTATGCTGAGAACCACCTCAAGGGTCATAGAAGAGGCTGGGACCCAAGCATAGGCCCATGTGACTCTGGGGAGTCACTCATCTGAAGCCTCAAGTCATCTGTGACATGGCAGAGGCCGGGAGGTGGAGTGTATTCACACGGTTGGCAGAGCGGGGATGTCCCCTGGGGGTCTCAGGGGCCTGGGATGGCATGCCTGCTGCGGAACGGGCAACATGATTTCTTTCTATGGAGGAACCTTGCATGGGGGTGCCAGAGAAAGCCTTGTCCCTGCCGTGGCCCAGCAGCCTCCTGCTTCTGAGACCCCCACCGGGGGATCCAAGATTCCTTGAGGTGGGGTCCAGGGTTTCTCCTGAGTCACCAAGTGGACCCCTGGACCTAAACTCTGGTCTGAGGGCTCCAAGCCAGAGTCTTTCCAGGGAATCCCTGTACTCTCCCACTGGAACAGGGTGGGTTTCCATCATTCTCTTTTCAAAAACAAAAAAAAAAATTAGCAGAAATAATTCACTGGTGGTTGGGGGGAATTGGAAGATTGAGATAATCAAAGAGTTAAAACAGGCTGGGCGTGGTGGCTCATGCCTCTAACCCCAGCACTTTGGGAGGCTGAGGCAGGCTGATCACCTGAGGTTGGGAGTTCGAGACCAGCCTGACCAACATGTAGAAACCCAGTCTCTACTAAAAATACGTAATTAGCCAGGTGTGGTGGTGCATGCCTGTAGTCCCAACTACTTGGGAGGCTGAGGCAGCATAATTGCTTGAACCTGGGAGGTGCAGGTTGCAGTGAGCCAAGGTTGTGCCTTTGAACTCCACCCTGTGGGACAGAGAGAGACTCCATCTAAAAAAAAAAATTGGAAAAGTTGTTGGGAATATAATCCACACAAAAATATCCTCAATCACATTAGAGTGGCCAACATGCCAATTCAAGAAATTTAGAGTACCTTTGTGAAGTACTATACAGGACAACAATCACCAAGACACAGTTATCAGATTCTCCAAGGTCAACATGAAAATAAAAGCCTTAACGGAGTTAGAGGAAAGGGTCAGGTCACTTTCGAAGGGAACTCTATTAGGCTAACAGTAGACCTATCAGCAGAAACCTTACAATCCTTAAAATCTTAGGAGCCTATTTTCAGCATCCTTAAAGAAAATAAATTCCAACCAATAATTTCATATCCTGCCAAACTAAGCTTCATAAACAAAGAAGAAATAAAATCCTTTCCCGGCAAGCAAATGCTAAGAGAATTTGTTACCATTACACTAGCCTTACAAGAGGTTCTTTAGGAAAATGAAAAATAAAACCTGCTAACATAAAACACACTTAAATACATAGCCCAAAGACCATGTAAAGCAACTACACAGTTGAATCTACAAAACAACCAGCTAACAAAACAATGACAAGATACAAATCTCACATATCGATATTAACCTTGAATGTAAATGGTCCAAACACCCCACTTAAGAGGGACAGGTGGTAAGTTGGAAGACTCAACCATATACTGTCTTCAAGAGACCTATCTAATATGTAATGCCATCCATGGGATGAAAGGAAAAGGTTGGAGAAAGATCTCTCATACAAATGAAAAACAAAAAGACCAGAGGTTGCTATTGCTATGTCATATAAAACAGACTTTAAACCAAGAACAGTAAAAAAAAAATAAAGGGCATTACATAATGATGAAGGATTTAGTTCAACAAGAAGACATAAAAATCCTGAAAATATAGGCATCCAACATTAGGGCACTCTGATTCATAAAACAAATACTTCTAAACCTGCAAAAAGACTTAGACAGCCACACAATAATAGTGGGGGCGAGTTACTGGGTGCAGCACACAAACATGGCACGTGTATACATATGTAACTAACCTGCACGTTGTGCATATGTACCCTAAAATTTAAAGTATAATTTAAAAAAAATAGTGCTGGATTTGAACATCCCACTGACAGCTTTAGACAGATCAATCATTGTGATGAAAACTAACAAAGAAATTCTCTTTTTTAAAATGTATTATTATTATACTTTAAGTTTTAGGGTACATGTGCACAACGTGCAGGTTTGTTACATATGTATACCTGTGGCATGTTGGTGTGTTGCACCCATTAACTTGTCATTTAGCATTAGGTATATCTCCTAATGCTATCCCTCCCCCCTCCCCCCACCCCACAACAGTCCCCGGTGTGTGATGTTCCCCTTCCTGTGTCCATGTGTTCTCATTGTTCAATTTCCACCTATGAGTGAGAACATGTGGTGTTTGGTTTTTTGTCCTTAACGATAGTTTGCTGAGAATGATGGTTTCCAGCTTCATCCATGTCCCTATAAAGGACATGAACTCATCATTTTTTATGGCTGCATAGTATTCCATGGTGTATATGTGCCACATTTCCTTCATCCAGTCTATCATTGTTGGACATTTGGGTTGGTTCCAAGTCTTTGCTATTGTGAATAGTGCCACAATTAACATACGTGTGCATGTGTCTTTATAGCAGCATGATTTATAATCCTTTGGGTATATATCCAGTAATGGGATGGCTGGGTCAAATGGTATTTCTAGTTCTAGATCCCTGAGGAATGGCCACACTGACTTCCACAATGGTTGAACTAGTTTACAGTCCCACCAACAGTGTAAAAGTGTTCCCATTTCTCCACATCCTCTCCAGCACCTGTTGTTTCCTGACTTTTTAATGATCACCATTCTAACTGGTGTGAGATGGTGTCTCATTGTGGTTTTGATTTGCATTTCTCTGATGGCCAGTGATGATGAGCATTTTTTCATGTGTTTTTTGGCTGCATAAATGTCTTCTTTTGAGAAGTGTCTGTTCATGTCCTTCGCCCACTTGTTGATGGGGTTGTTTGTTTTTTCTTGTAAATTTGTTTGAGTTCATTGTAGATTCTGGATATTAGCCTTTTGTCAGATGAGTAGGTTGCAAAAATTTTCTCCCATTCTGTAGGTTGCTTGTTCACTCTGATGGTGGTTTCTTTTGCTGTGCAGAAGTTCTTTAGTTTAATTAGATCCCATTTGTCAATTTTGGCTTTTGTTGCCATTCCTTTTGGTGTTTTAGACATGAAGTCCTTGCCCACGCCTAGGTCCTGAATGGTATTGCCTAGGTTTTCTTCTAGGGTTTTTATGGTTTTAGGTCTAACATGTAAGTCTTTAATCCATCTTGAATTAATTTTTGTATAAGGTGTAAGGAAGGGATCCAGTTTCAGCTTTCTACATAAGGCTAGCCAGTTTTCCCAGCACCATTTATTAAATAGGGAATCCTTTCTCCATTGCTTGTTTTTGTCAGGTTTGTCAAAGATCAGATGGTTGTAGATATGCGGCATTAATTCTGAGGGCTCTGTTCTGTTCCATTGGATTATATCTCTGTTTTGGTACCAGTATCATGCTGTTTTGGTTACTGTAGCCTTGTAATATAGTTTGAAGTCAGGTAGCGTAATGCTTCCATCTTTGTTCTTTTGGCTTAAGATTGACTTGGCAACGCAGGCTTTTCTTTGGTTCCATTTGAACTTTAAAGTAGTTTTTTCCAATTCTGTGAAGAAAGTCATTGGTAGCTTGATGGGGATGGCATTGAATCTATAAATTACCTTGGGCAGTATGGCCATTTTCACGATATTGATTCTTCCTACCCATGAGCATGGAATGTTCTTCCATTTGTTTGTATCCTCTTTTATTTCATTGAGCAGTAGTTCATAGTTCTCCTTGAAGAGGTCCTTCACGTCCCTTGTAAGTTGGATTCCTAGGTATTTTATTTTCTTTGAAGCAATTGTGAATGGGAGTTCACTCATGATTTGGCTCGCTGTTTGTCTGTTATTGGTGTATAAGAATGCTTTTGATTTTTGCACATTGATTTTGTATCCTGAGACGTTGCTGAAGTTGCTTATCAGTTTAAGGAGATTTTGGGCTGAGACGATGGGGTTTTCTAGATATACAGTCATGTCATCTACAAACAGGGACAATTTGACTTCCTCTTTTCCTAATTGAATGCCCTTTATTTCTTTCTCCTGCCTGATTGCCCTGGCCAGAACTTGCAACACTATGTTGAATAAGAGTGGTGAGAGAGGGCATCCCTGTCTTGTGCCAGTTTTCAAAGGGAATGCTTCCAGTTTTTGTCCATTCAGTATGATATTGGCTGTGGGTTTGTCATAGATAGCTCTTATTATTTTGAGATACGTCCCATCAATAACTAATTTATTGAGAGTTTTTAGCATGAAACGTTGTTGAATTTTGTCAAAAGCCTTTCCTGCATCTATTGAGATAATCACGTGGTTTTTTTCATTGGTTCTGTATATATATTGGATTATGTGTGTTGATTTGCATACGCTGAACCAGCCTTGCATCCCAGGGATGAAGCCAACTTGATCTTGGTGGATAAGCTTTTTGATGTGATGCTGGATTTGGTTTGCCAGTATTTTATTGAGGATTTTTGCATCGATGTTCATCGGGGATATTGGTCTAAATTTCTCTTTTTTTGTTGTGTCTCTGTCAGGCTTTGGTATCAGGATGATGCTGGCCTCATAAAATGAATTAGGGAGGATTCCCTCTTTTTCTATTGATTGGAATAGTTTCAGAAGGAATGGTACCAGCTCCTCTTTGTACCTCTGGTAAAATTCGGCTGTGAATCCATCTGGTCCTGGACATTTTTTGGTTGGTAGGCTATTAATTATTGCCTCAATTTCAGAGCCTGTTATTGGTCTATTCAAGGATTCAAGTTCTTCCTTGTTTAGTCTTGTGAGGGTGTATGTGTCGAGGAATTATCCGTTTCTTCTAGATTTTCTAGTTTATTGCATAGAGGTGTTTATAGTATTCTCTGATGGTAGTTTGTATTTCTGTGGGATCGGTGGTGATATCCCCTTTATCATTTTTTATTGTGTTTATTTGATTCTTCTCTCTTTCCTTCTTTATTAGTGTTGCTAGTGGTCTCTCTATTTTGTTGATCTTTGCAAGAAACCAGCTCCTGGATTCATTGATTTTTTGAAGGCTTTTTGTGTCTCTATTTCCTTCAGTTCTGCTCTGATTTTAGTTATTTCTTGCCTTCTGCTAGCTTTTGAATGTGTTTGCTCTTCTTTCTCTAGTTCTTTTAATTTTGATGTTAGGGTATCCATTTTAGATCTTTCCTGATCTCTCTTGTGGGCATTTAGTGCTATAAATTTCCCTCTACACACTGCTCTATATGTGTCCCAGAGATTCTGGTATGTTGTGTCTTTGTTCTCTTTGGTTTCAAAGAACATCTTTATTTCTGCCTTCATTTCATTATGTACCCAGTAGTCATTCAGGAGCAGGTTGTTCAGTTTCCATGTAGTTGGGCAGTTTTGAGTGAGTTTCTTAATCCTGAGTTCTAATTTGATTGCACTGTTGTCTGAGAGACAGTTTGTTGTGATTTCTGTTCTTTTACATTTGGTGAGTAGTGCTTTACTTCCAACTATGTGGTTAATTTAAGTATAAGTGAGATGGGTTGCTGAGAAGAATGTATATTCTGTTGATTTGGGGTACAGAGTTCTATAGATGTCTGTTAGGTCCCCTTGGTGCAGAGCTGAGTTCAAATCGTGGATATCCTTGTTAACTTTCTGTCTCGTTGATCTGTCTAATGTTGACAATGGGGTGTTAAAGTCACCCATTATTATTGTGTGGGAGTCTAAGTCTCTTTGTACATCTCTAAGGATTGGCTTTGTGAATCTGTGTGCTCCTGTATTGGGTGCATATATATTTAGGATAGTTAGCTCTTCTTGTTGAATTGATCCGTTTACCATTATGTAATGGCCTTCTATGTCTCTTTTGAACTTTGTTGGCTTAAAGTCTGTTTTTCCTGAGACTAGGATTGCAACCCCTGTTTTTTTTTTGTTTTCCATTTGCTTGGTAGATCTTCCTCCATTCCTTTATTTTGAACCTATATGTGTCTCTGCATGTCAGATGGGTCTCCTGAATACAGCACACTGATGGTTCTTGACTCTTTATCCAATTTGCCAGTCTGTGTCTTTTAATTGGAACATTTAGCCCATTTACATTTAAGGTTAATATTGTTACGTGTGAATTTGATCCTGTCATTGTGATGTTAGCTGGTTATTTTGCCCACTAGTTGATGCAGTTTCTTCCTAGCATCGATGGTCTTTTCAATTTGGCATGTTTTTGTAGTGGCTGGTACTGGTTGTTCTTTCTGTGTTTACTGCTTCCTTCAGGAGCTCTTGTAGGGCAGGCCTGGTGGTGACAAAATCTCTCAGCATTTGCTTGTCTATAAAGGATTTTCTTTCTCCTTTACTTATGAAGCTTAGTTTGACTGGATATGAAGTTCTGTATTGAAAATTCTTTTCATTAAGAATGTTGAATATTGGCCCCCACTCTCTTCTGGCTTGTAGAGTTTCTGCTGAGAGATCCGCTGTTAGTCTGATGGGCTTCCCTTTGTGGGTAACCCGACCTTTCCCTCTGGCTGTCCTTAACCTTTTTTCCTTCATTTCAACCTTGGTGAATCTGATAATTCTGTGTCTCAGGGTTGCTCGTCTCACAGAGTATCTTTGTGGTGTTCTCTGTATTTCCCGAATTTGAATGTTGGCCTGCCTTGCTAAGTTGTGGAAGTTTTCCTGGATAATATTCTGAAGAGTGTTTTCCAACTTAGTTCCATTCTCCCCATCAATTTCAGGTACAGCAATCACAAGTAGATTTGGTCTTTTCACATAGCCCCATATTTCTTGGAGGCTTTGTCCATTTCTTTTTACTCTTTTTTCTCTAAACATCTCTTCTCACTTCATTTCATTCATTTGACCTTCAATCACTGATCCCCTTTCTTCCACTTGATCAAATCGGCTACTGAAGCTTGTGCATGCGTCACGTAGTTCTTGTGCCATTGTTTTCACCTCCATTTGGTCATTTAAGGTCTTCTCTACGCCGTTTATTCCAGTTAGCCATTCATCTAATCTTTTTTCAAGGTTTTTAGCTTCCTTGCAATGGGGTCGAACATCCTCCTTTAGCTTGGAGAAGTTTGTTATTACCAACCTTCTGAAGCCTACTTCTGTCAACTCATCAAAGTCATTCTCCATCCAGCTTTGTTCCATTGCTGTGGAGGAGCTGTGACACTTTGGAGGAGAAGAGGTGCAGTGGTTTTTAGACTTTTCAGCTTCTCTGCTCTGGTTTCTCTCCATCTTTGTCATTTTATCTACCTTTGGTCTTTGATGATGGTGACCTACAGATGGGGTTTTGGTGTGGATGTCCTTTTTGTTGATGTTGATGCTATTGCTTTTGTTTGTTAGTTTTCCTTCTAACAGATTCCTCAGCTGCAAGTCTGTTGGAGTTTGCTGGAGGTCCACTCCAGACCCTGTTTGCCTGGGTATCACTGGCAGAGGCTTCAGAACAGCAAATATTGCAGAACAGCAAATGTTGCTGCCTGATCCTTCCTCTGGAAGCTCTGTCTCAGAGGGGCACCTGGCTGTATGAGGTGTCAGTTGACCCCTACTGGGAGATGTCTCTCAGTTAGGCTACTTGGGGGTCAGGGACACACTTGAGGAGGCAGTCTGTCCATTCTCAGAGCTTAAACTCCATTCTGTGGGAACCACTGTTCTCTTCAGGGCTGTCAGACAGGGAAGTTTAAGGCTGTAGAAACTTCTGCTGTAGAAAGTTTCTGCTGCCTTTTGTTCAGCTATGCCCTGCCCCTAGAGGTGGAGTCTACAGAGGCAGGCAGTCCTCGTTGAGTTGTGGTGGGCTCCACCCAGTTCAAGCTTCCCAGTGGCTTTGTTTACCTAGTCAAGCCTCAGCAATGGTGGATGCCCCTCCCCCAGCCTGTCTGCTGCCTCCCAGTTCGATCTCAGACCGCTGCACTAGCAGTGAGCAAGGCTCCATGGGTGTGTGATCCTCCGAGCCAGGTGTGGGATATAATCTCCTGGTGTGCCATTTGCTAAGACTGTTGGAAAAGTGCAGTATTAGGGTGGAAGTGTCCCAATTTTCCAGGTACCATCTGTCATGGCTTCCCTTGGCTAGGAAAGGGAAATCCCCCAACCCCTTGTACTTCCTGGATGAGGTGATGCCCCACCCTGCTTCAGCTCACCCTCTCCGTGGGCTACACCCACTGTCCAACCAGTTCCAGGTACTTCAGTTGGAAATGCAGAAATCATCTGTCTTCTGTGTTGATAGTGCTGGAAGCTGTAGACCAGAGCTGTTCCTATTTGGCCATCTTGGTGCCTCCCCTTGTTTTTTTTTTTTTTTTTTTTTTTTTTCTGATTTCAACTTGACAGCAGAACTCAACCATGCTGATGGTGCAGATGCATGTTGGTGGGAACTTTTCATTGTTTGATTCTGACATTTATGATAAATGGATTCACTTACTAAAGTTTTGTAGAGAGAGTAATAACCATTTAATCACCTAGATGATATTTCCTTTATAAAATCAAACATATCTGGTGGTTTTAGAGCAATATTTTTTACCTCAGTCACTTGTGTTTATTAGACAAGAATACTAAGTGTCAAGATGTTTGCATTGCCTTTCATATTTTTATTTAGGGGACAGTGTAATGATAAATGACTTTGAATATATAACCAGACACACCTTCATCCCCCCACCAAATCTGTGCTAATTTACTGTTTTTTATATTTCATGCATGAAGCTAAATTGTTTTTACCCATGGATTACAGCAAAATGATGCAATGATACCTGAATCCTGGCCAAATAACATGAAATGGCAACTGCAAAATTGTTCTGCAAAATTTTACAAAGTATTATGGTATTGAGGATATCCGAAGAAAACTTGAGAGGCATTATCTTTCTCATTGGAGACTGACATTCCTGTATCAAGTAAAGTCTCAGGAAAAAGAACCACATGTGACTATTTTAATGCAACCTCTTGGTTGAAATAAAATGACTAAAAGCAGTGTTTATCTTGTCGATAACTGAGAGGCAAATGTTAAAAATTTTGTTCTGAGATGAAGAGAGTTCACATGATAAGTCTCTGGGATGTGAACTAAACTGGGAAAGCACCAGGACCATTTCTGAGACATACAGTTAATTAGGGTTTGGATAAACAGAATAATGTTCCCCACTCCCTAAAAAAGATATTTACATCCAAGTTCTTAGATACTGGAAATAATATATTACAATTCATGGCAAAGAGAATATAAGGTTGCAAATGGGATCAAAATTGCTGATATGCTGATGAAAAATAGGAAGACTATTATGAATTATCATGGTGGGCCCAGTAGAATCATAAGCATCAAAAACCATGGAAGAGTGAAGAATTAACCGTATCAAAGTGATAGATCATGAGAAAGACTCAATTGGATATATTTTTAATTGTTTGCTTTAGTGAGTCTTTCCACTTTAGCATACATTTTATTCAATTCAACTCTGCAAATGTGATTCATTTTATATGCCTGTCACTGAATTGGGTGTTAAAAATAAAATGAGAGAACACAAAATAACAAAAATTGATTTCTAAAGATGGAGGGCAAAGGGCATTAAGAATATAGATAGTGTGCACCCTATACAGGCATGATTGTAAATGTATTCATTATATATAGAGAGTAATAATTATATATATATGTATATAATTATTTGGCTTAGAAAAGAGTGCAGGGGGTACATTATCAAGAATTTAGCATCAAGGTTAATCAAGAATAAGTGAGTAAAATAAAAATAATAATGATGGTAATAATTTCAAACACTGAAGAAAGAACATTGATGATATGAAGTCATTTTTTTCAGATCTACAAAATAGGTTTCTTCTGTGCCATTAGGATGAACACAGTTTTCACTTATGTTATCTTTTAAAAATACCTTTAATTGTCAAGCTAGCATTAGAATCTCAGCCAACATCTTCCATCTTCTCTTCCACATTTTTACATTCTTTCAGGATCACAGGCCTAAGACCCATGACCTGGTCACCTGTCATTTGGCCTTTGTCCACCTAGTAATGCTCTTCACTGCAATGGAGTTTTTGTCTCCAGACATGTTTGAGTCACTGAATTTTCAGAATAACTTTAGATGTAAAGCTTTCTTTTTTTTTTTTTTTTTTTTTTGGAGACAGAGTCTCTCTCTGTTGCCCAGGCTGGAGTGCAGTGGCGCGATCTCAGCTCACTGCAAGCTCCACCTCCCGGGTTCACGCCCCACGCCATTCTCCTGCCTCAGCCTCCCAAGTGGCTGGGACTACAGGCGCCTGCCACCACGCCCGGCTAATTTTTTTTGTATTTTTTAGTAGAGACGGGGTTTCACCGTGTTAGCCAGGATGGTCTCGATCTCCTGACCTCGTGATCCACCCACCTCGGCCTCCCAAAGTGCTGGGATTACAGGCGTGAGCCACCGCGCCCGGCCTAAAGCTTTCTTCTATTTGCACAAGGTGATGAGGGGCCTCTCCATCTGCACCACCTGCCTCCTGAGCATGCTCCAGGCCATTACCATCAGCCTCAGCACCTCCTGGTTGGTTAGATTTAAACATAAATTTACAAAATACGATATCCTGGGCTTATTCGTTTTTTGGTTTAGCAATTTGTCTTTCAGTAGTGACATGATAATCTACACTGTAGGTTATTCCAATGACCCAGATAATTTTGAATATCAGCAAATATTGCACATTTTTCCCAATGAATGTCCTCATCAGGACGCTATTTCTTATGCTGTCATTATCCAGAGATGCCTTCTTCATAGGAATCACGCTGCTCTCAAGTGTATACATGGTCATTCTTTTGTCCAGGCATCAGAGGCACTCCCAGCACTTTCACAGCAGCAGCCTTATATTAAGGACTTCTCTAGTGAAAATGGCCACCAAGACCATCCTGATGCTGGTGAATTCCTTTGTGCTGATGTACTCAGTGGACTTCATCCTCTCATCATCCACAATGCTGTTATGGGTAATTGGCCCTGTCACCTATGGTGTCCACAAGTTTGTGGTCAATGCCTATGCCACTGTCAGTCCTCTGGTGCTAATCAGATCTGATAAAAGAATCATCAATATTCTGCAAAAGTTTCAATGGAAGTGCCATCTATTTTTAACAAGTTGGTGATAAAATTTTCTAAAAATTATTTCTTTGTAATCAATTAAATTATACAAAAAGCACATAATTTTCTTTCTGATTTAAATAAAACATGTGAATTGTACTTTTATAATATCTCAATATCTTTTAATTTTTTGGTGCCAAGAACTGTGTGCTTTCCTCAGTTCAATGTCCACTATGATTTTGTATTCTCAAGGTCTGTCTCTCACCCCTTCATTTTAATTTTACCTTTATACAGGAAAATGTTATTTTCTTCTTGAGTACACTCTTATGCGGCTCCTATTGGCAAGCAAATCTCTTAGTTTTAATTTTTGAAATTATTTTAATTTTTCTTATTTATTGAAGATATTTAGCTATATTCAAATTCTAGCTTGAATAAAAAAAATTTTTAAGCATAATTTTAAAATTTGTTTTTAATTGAAAATAACATTGTGTAAGTTTATTATGTATGTTTTGAATTACATATAGATTATAAAATGATTAAATCTAGCTAATTAACAAATGCATGATCTAAAAGTTATTGTTTTTTGTGGTGAAAACAGTTAACATCAACTACCTTTTCATTTTTCAGGACTGCAATATATCATAATTAAGTATGGCTGCCGTGCTGCATAGCAGATCTTGTAAAATATATTTCTTCTATCTAATAATAATTATGTTTCCTTTGACCAACATCTTTCCATCCTGTCCTCCACCACCGCAGGCTCTGGTAACCACCATTCTCCTCTCTACTTCTAAGAGATAAGCTTGTTTAGATTCCACATTTAATAAATTCCTGTCTTATTTGTCTCTCTATGTCTGGCTTATTTCACTTAACATAATGTCCTTCAGGTTCATCTATGTTGTCTTAAATGGCAGAATTTTATTCTGCCATTTATTTTATTATGCCATATATTTGTGGCCAAATAGCATTTCATTATGTTTACATACCATGTTGTCTTATCCATTTATTCTTCGATGGGCACTGTGATTGATTCCATATCTTGGCCATTGTCAATAGTGCTGTAATAAACATGGGAGTGTAGCTATCTCTTTAACATACTGATTTTATTTCTTTTGGCTATATGCCCAGTGGTGGAATTGCTGGAACATACAGTAGTTCCATTTTAGGTTGAGAAACTTCCATACTTGTTTTTCATAGTGGCTGTATTAATTTGTATTCAAACCAACAGTTTATAAGAGTTCCCTTTATTCCACATCCTTGCTAACACTTGTTCTCTTTTGTCATTTCGATTATGGCCATTCTACTTAAGATAAGGTAATGTCTGGTATTGTTTTGATTTGCATCTCCCTGGAGGTGATAAACACCAAGACAAAGAAACTGGGAGATACAAGAGGACAGAAATGACTCAGTGATAGACACCATGGAGTCTCATCCACAATCGGCACACTCTGATCCTCTAACCAAATGACAAGCCACAGTTCAACTACTCCTTTTAAAGAAAAATGAGAAAACATATCTCTAAAATCGAGGACAGGCAAGGAGAGTGTCCCCCTTTGGGCACCCCAGCTGGTTTTATGTGTGATAATTATAGCACCTCTTCTTGCAAACATTTATGTAAAGGGAGGATTTTACTAAGGACGACCAACATCTAAGGTTCCCAAAGTGAAGAACTTTAAATATTCCCAAACTGGTCTTCTCGTATGCTAAATTAGAGAAGTTAGGTTTCTGCATCAAGGAAAATAAATGAGGGTTGTATTTTAGCTGGCACCTAAAAACATCCAAAAGTAGAAATGATAAACTTATTTCTTTCCAGAAAGGTAACAACAAAATATTTGAAACTACCTCAGAATTAAAGAAAAGTAGCAAAATCAGCTTCTAAAATCAGGAAGCTGCCAGAAACTGTCTCTTCTTTTTCTTCTCCTAAACCTCTGCTTTCTAAACTTCCTTGCCTGGATGATTTCATTTTTTTTCTCTTTCTCCTCCCTGTATTCCTTCTTAAACCACAAAGGGTCCAGAAATAGCTACAGGAGAAGACAAAATAGTAGTCATTTCTTTTAAAACAAAACCCACAGGAAGAGTGGGTTCAAACATAAGATATACACCTTACACCAAGTCAGAATTAAGTGC
Organism: Homo sapiens; assembly: GCF_000001405.40. Classification (NCBI taxonomy): domain Eukaryota; kingdom Metazoa; phylum Chordata; class Mammalia; order Primates; family Hominidae; genus Homo; species Homo sapiens. The sequence goes on from NW_011332699.1 coordinate 23,487, forward strand.
TCTGATGTTTGGATTTCCTGATCTGACTCAAGACACCTTAGGTTTGCCAAGGAATTCCAAATAATGTTTAAGACCTATGATTCAGGGTTTTCAAACCAATATCAGCTAACTGATTTACTAGTCCTCCAAAACAAAGCCAAAGAGTGCTACAAAGTAGTGAATTAGAAACAGCTTTAGCAGATTTTAACAAACTAAAGTGCAAATGGGAGAGAGAAGTGTAGGGAGTTTTGCAACTGCCTCTGTGGGAATTTACCACAGCTATTCCCCCTAATCCTATAGACTAGGCAAAATACAACAATGTAATATATACCCCAGCAAAACCATACCTGATTATTATATCACATTTATTTTTATTTTTTGTGGGTATACAGTAGTTGTGTGTATAAATGGGGTATATGAGATACTTTGATACAGGCATGCAACATGTAACAATCACAGCATGGTAAATGGGGTATCCATCTCCTCAAGCATTTACTCTGTATTACAAAAATTGAATTATATGATTTCAGTTATTTTAAAAGGTACAACTAAATTATTATTGATTATAATAATTGTCAATTATTGACAATTGCAGTGTTGTGGTATCAAGTACTACTGTTGTGCTACCAGTACAAACTGTGTTATCAGTACAAATACTACTGTTGTGCTATCAGCACAAATACCCTGTTGTGCAATCAAATAGTACCTCTACCTCTTATTCATTCTTTTTAACTATTTCTTGTACCCATTAGCCATCCTCACTTCCCTCCATGGCCCTACCAAACTGCCCCCCTACTATGCTTCTCAGCCTCTGGTAACCATCCTTCTACTCTCTATCTCCGTTGAATTCAACTCAATGGGATCCTTAGCGCCCATAAATAAATGAGAACATGCAAAGTTTGTCTTTCTGTGCCTGGCTTATTTCATTTAACATAATAACCCTCATCCATGTTGTTAAAAATGACAGAATCTCATTCTTTTTTTCTGGCTCCACTGTGTATACATACTACATTTTCTTTATCCATTCATCTGTTGATTGACACTTACGTTGCTTCCAAATCTTGGCTATTTTCAACAATGCTGCAACAAACATGGGAATGTAGACATCTCTTCAACATACTGAGTTCCTTTCTTGTGAGTATATACTTAGCAGTGAAATTGCTGGATTATATGGAAGCTCTAGTTTAGTTTTATGAGGAACCTCCAAGCTGTTTTCTATAGTGGTTGTACTAATTTACATTTCCACCAACAGTGTACCAGGCTTCCCATTTCTCCACATTCTCACTAGCATTTGCTGTTGCCTGACTTTTGGACAAAATTCATTTTAACTGGGATAAGATGATATCTCATTGTAGTTTTGATTTGCATGTTTCTGATAATATAACTGCTTGCAATTCATATGCCTTCTTTTAAGAAATGTTTATTGAAATATTTTGCCAATTTTAAAGATCAGATTACTAGATTTTTTTCCTATACAGTAGTTTGAGCTGCTTATCTGTTCTAGTTATTAATCTTTTGTCAGGTGAATAGTTTGCAAATATGTTCTCCTATTCTGTGGGTTGTCTCCTCACTTTATTGATCATTTCCTTTGACATGCAGAAGATTTTTAACTTGATGTAACTTCATTTGTCCATATTTGCTTTGGTTGCCTGTGCTTGTGGGGTATTACTCAAGACATTTTTGCCAAGACCTGGAGAGACTTTCCCCAATGTTTTCTTGCAGTAGTTTTTTAATTCGAGGTCTTAGATTTAAGTATTTAATCCGTTTTGATTCGACTTTTGTATATGGCAAGAGTTGGGGTTATAATTTCATTCTTTTGCATGTAGATATCCAGTTTCCAAGCATGATTTATTGAAGAGATTGTCTTTTCCCTAATTTAAGTTCTTGGCACCTTTGTTGAAAATGAGTTCAGTGAAAATGTATAAAATTTTTTTCTGGGTTATCTGTTCAATTCCATTGGTTTATTTGTCTATTTTTATGCCAGTACCAGGCTGCTACAGTTACTATAGCTTTGTAATATAATTTGAAGTCAGTTAATGTGATTCCTGCATTTAATCTGTGAATTGCTTTGGGTAATATAGACATTTTAATATACTAACACTATCAATCCATGAACATGGAATATCTTTCAATTTTTGTGTCTTCAATTTATCTTATGATTGTGTTATAGTTTTTGTTGTAGAAATCCTTTACTTCTTTGGTTGATTTCTATGTATTTAGTTCTATTTGTGGCTATGATAAATGGTATTTCTTTTTAAATTCTTTTTCAGATTGTTCACTCTTGGCATATAGAAATGTTACTGATTCCTGCCGGGCGCGGTGGCTCACGCCTGTAATCCCAGGACTTTGGGAAGGTGAGGTGGGCAGATCACGAGGTCAGGAGATCAAGACCATACTGGCTAACACGATGAAACCCCGTCTCTACTAAAAATACAAAAAAAGTTAGCCAGGCGTGATGGTGGGTGCCTGTAGCCCCAGCTCCTCGGGAGGCTGAGGCAGGAGAATGGTGTGAACCCAGGAGGCAGAGCTTGCAGTGAGCCAAGATTGCACCACTGCACTCCAGCCTGGGTGACAAAGTGAGACTCTGTCTCAAAAAAAAAAAAAAAAGATACTGATTTTTATATATTGATTTGTATCCTGAAACTCTACTGAATTTATCAGTTCTAGTAGTTTTTGTGGAGTCTTCAGGTTTTTTACAAATATAAGATTATATCATCTGCAAAACAAAGATAATTTGTCTTCTTCCCTTTAGATGCCCTTTATTTCTCTCTCTTGTCTGATTGCTTTTGCTAGGACTTCCAGTACTATGGAGAATAACAGTGGTGAAAGTGGGCATCCTGGTCATGTTCCAGATCTTAGAGAAGGGGATTTCAGTGTTTCCCTTGTCAGTATGATACTAGCTGTGGGTATGTCATATATGGCTTTCATTATGTTAATAATGTTCTTTCTCTACCCAGGTTTCTGAGGGTTTTTAATCATGATGGGATGTTGAATTTTATCAAATGCTTTTTTAAAATGTCTTAATTTAAATGATTATATAATCTTTTCCTTCATTTTGGTGATGTGATGTATCATTTGGATTGATTTGCAACCATTCTTGCATCCTTGTGATAAATCACACATGATCATGAAGAATGATATTTTTAATATATTGCTTAAAGGTTTGCTAGCATTTTGTTGAGGATTTTTGCATCAATATTAATTGGAGATATTGTAGTTTTCTTTTTTTAAAGTGTCTTTGATTTTGGTATAAAGGTAATTCTGGTGTTATAGAATGAGTTTGGAAGTATTCCCCATCTGTATTTTGTGGAATAGTTTCAGTAGGATTGGTGTTAGTTCTTTAAATATTTGTTAGAATTCAGTAGTGAAGCCATAGAATATTGGGGCTTTTCTTTTCTGGGAGACTTTTTATTACAGCTTTGTTCTCATTATTTGTTATTGGTCTGTTCATGTTTTGTATTTCTTTGTGTTTCAATTTTGGTGTGTTTCTTGGCCCTAGTCTGGTCCACTCAGACCTGCTCCATGCTCACCATCAGGCAGCTGGTGGTCCTTTTTGAGGAGTGAGTGCAGCAGGGACCAGTGGTTGGGCTGAAGCCCCTTCACCTCATGCGGACTCTCCAATACTCATTGAACTTCATGGTGAGGGACAGAGGACCCACCCTGGCTCTCAGCGGGAGAGCAGGGAATTCTTGTTCAAGGAAGCCCCTGGGGCAGCCGCAGGAGGCAGCCCTTGGGAAAAAGCGCCCAAGGCCCCCCTCAACCGGCCATCCTGCCTCCTCTGCAGGACCTTCTCTTCCCCTCTTTCCCTCCCTCCTGAGGTGAAAAGGAGGGGAGGAGACCACGGAGCCCTCTGTGTCAGGGAAACCTGGCCCTTCCTTTTGAGCGTTCAGGGGACTCGCATGGGCCTTGCCCCTTCTCCAGGACCTGGAAGCTTCTCTCTCTGAAGAGCCCTGAGTTCCAGTCTCAAGTGTCTCATTCCCCATTGCCTCCTGCTTCTCCTTTCATCCCCCCCACCACCACCTGGGGCTCACACTCCCTGCCTTTGGGCTTCAAATGTTGTACTACGTGCTTGACCCACTAGCCTGCTTAATCTTCAAAATCACTCTATCAAAAAGACATTTTAGGCTGGGCATTGTGGCTGAAGCCTGTAATCCCAGCACTTTGGGAGACCCAGATGGGCTGATTACTTGAGTGTATGAGTTACAGACCAGCCTGGGAAACATAACAAGATCCTGTCTCTACAAAAATAGAAAAAAATTAGTGGAGTGCTGTGGCACATGTCTGTAATCCCAACTACTTGGGAGGCTGAGGTGGGAAGATTGCTTGAGCCTGGGATGTCGAGGCTGCAGTGAGCTGAGATCACGTCACTGCACTCCAGCCTGGGTAACAGACTGAGACCCTGTCTCAAAATAAAAATAAAAATAATTTAAAAAGCGAAATTGCCAAAATCATTCATTTAACCAATAAGATGAGCACCTACCTATCAGGGACAATAAAAGTTTAAAGGTGCCAACAATTATGAAGGCAGTATTGAATTTACTTGAAATATGAAGAACACCACATTGGGTGAATTTAGATAGGAAGGCCAAGGAGATATTCCTAGGAATATCATTATATATGGAAAACACTGAAAAAAGACACTGCAGTGTTTGAGAAAATAATGGCCATAGAAAGAGATTTCATGGACCTTCCAGCTTATGAAAAAATCAACTGAAATTGCTCGACATTAGGTTAGAACATTAAAAAGGAAAATAAGCCATTATAGAAGGAGAGAATTGGAATAGGGGACAGGAATGACCCATTTCCCAGTCTCTGCCTAGAACAGGGCTGGGGAAAAATCTGTGGTCATCACATTCACCATTGCATAAACACATATTCTTTCTATATGTCAGCAAGGAGCAAGTGCTACCAAGACAAGGCAAGGAAAAGGAATAGAGAATATTGCTGGGTGCTTTTCTGTAGGGTGATCAGGAAAGGCCTCACTGAAAAAGAGACATTAGAGCAGAGCAAGTGACAGAGAGAGAGTCATAGAGAGATCTGTGGGAAGAGCATTCCACGTGAGGGCAACAGACACTGCAAAGGCCCTGAGGCAGGGAGTGCTTGGCATGTCTGAGGAGCCAGAAAAAGGCCAGTGGGGCTGGAATGGAGTGAGTGAGAAGTAATAGGTGCAGAACACACATGGCCTTAGAGATCATGGCTCTAGGTGTTTTGTTTTATTTTCCAATTTTTAAAATTGTGTTAAAATACACATAACATAAGCGTCTGGGATCCCGCAGGATGCTGGCCCCAAACAGGCCAATTTGTCCTGTCTCTGTGGGATTTGTTGGTTCTGGAAGATCAGATTTGGTCTGGGTCACCCAAATCTGTCTGTACCCCAACCTCCACTGTCTGCTCTTACCTCCCTAGGTGTTGGCTCAGGTACTGGGCAAACTTTACCAGGAATATATACATTGTGTGGAATTTCTTAGCTTCCATTTCAACAAAGTTGAAACTTCGGGGAAATGATTTGCCAAGGGTTACAACTTGGGGAAAATGATGATAGTTTGCTTTACAAATTGCTCTAGTTAACCAATAAAAGTATGGCATGCCTACCCAGGTACAGTGGAATTCGAGGTAAACAGCAGAACAGATGCATGCTCAGGTACATTTGAGTTGGAGATAAACAGCAAAACAGATGCGTGCTCAGGTACACTTGAATTCGAGGTGAACAGCAGTATGCATGCGTGCCCAGCTACACTTGAATTCGAGATAAACAGCAGAAAAGATGAGTGCCCATGTACACTTGAATTTGAGATAAACAGCAGTATGGATGCATGCTCAGGTACACTTGAATTCAAGGTGAACGGCAGCACGATGTGTGCCCAGCTACACTTGAGTTCGAGGTAAACATCAGCACGATGCATGCCCAGATACACTTGAATTCGAGATAAACAGCAGAACAGATGCGTGCTCAGGTACACTTGATTTCAAGGTGAACAGCAGCACGAGGCATGCCCAGATAACACTTGAATTCGAGATAAACAGGAGAACAGATGTGTGCTCAGCTACACTTGAATTCGAGGTGAACAGCAGTATGCATGCATGCCCAGATACACTTGAATTCAAAGTAAACAGCAGCCCAGGTACGCTTGAATTCAAGGTTAACAGCTGTATGCATGTGTGCCCAGCTACACTTGAATTTGAGATCAACAGCAATATTGAATTTTCTACCAAAAATGCATATGCTCTGTCTCTGAATAAATGTGCAAGAAATGAAAGTTCTACATGCCCAACAACTCTTTGCTTCCATTTCCTTACGGTCATGAAGCCACACCTGCCTGGAGCTACTAATCTATTTCCTGAGCATCAGAACCCTCTTGCTCATTTGGGGAATCCATCTCCCTGCAGTTGACCTGTGGACCTCCAGCATCCCTGGGCAGCCTGAGGACCCTAAACCCTGTAGTTCAGTTTATGACACGCAGGCTTGGAGGAATTTCCCTCCATAAGGCTGCTGTGAACTCCCACGCCAGGAGAAATTAAAATTTGTAATACAGCGGAGATCTCTGAATGAGCTTTTCTCCCTGATACATGTCAGCGAACTCAGTGTGTCTTTGGAAATCCGGAAACCTCCTTTTCTCAGTTCAGGCTGCCTGCATCATGCTGGTTTGCTTCCTGCAACAAAACAGATCATCCAGACACCTCTCTGTTTTCCTTCGGATATTCCCCACACTACCACGCCATTCGTGGGCAGGACCTCAGTGCCTGAGGTCAGAATAGAGACACCTCTGACATCCCATGGCTGTACCCACAAATAACCCTTCCTCGGCAGTCGCTGAAGCCACACCTCTACACAGCTGTCTGTTGTCTTACAGTGGCATAAGCATAAAACAGATTTTTTTTTGACATGTATTATAGCACCTGCTGGCTTTATTTCCCTCCCTTATACCATAATATTGCTTGTTGATTTGTATCAACGGATTTGCATCTTCTGCCCGCCACACACACACACACACACACACACACACACAGACACATCCACCCCACTCCCCCCACTAGTGACTAGGTACACTTGAATTCGAAGTAAATAGCACACACAAGAGATATGTCCAGCACGTGATTTTCACAGGCCTGATTTCACAGCGGTGCTGGAGGCAAACCTCGCAGCCTCTAGCCTGTGCAGACCGCATCATGACAAATTGTATAAATATGTGCAAATTGTCCAGATGATGTCATGTGTGCCCCAGCCTGCTCTCCAAGTGGGCAGAACGCTTCAGGGAAGGTCAGGGCAGGCCTTGCTCTGAATTCAATTGAGGTAATTGCATTCAATTTGCTTAAATGTATCACAGAGAAAAGCCCTGTCTGTTGATCTCAATCGTATTAAGAAGTTTATTTTCCGCCAGGGCCGGACTCCACGGCCTCACGGAGAGGAAGCCTTCTCTCGGTTATGTCCTTCTTTCTCCTGCTTGGTTCCAGGTCCTGGGGGCAGCCCTGGGAATGCCAGAGAGGGCCCCCCGCCCCCGCCACAAGAAATACCTTATGGCTCTCTCCCTAGCCACCTGCAGGGCTCGGAATGGCCGCAAATAAGCATGAGGATTTCTGTGCTTAGGGAATAGTTTGTCAGCTCTTTGCAGGTGTGATTTGACGATGCCAGTGAGTGAACAGAGCCTGAGGTTTCACCCCAAAAGATCGTTCTGTGGTTTGCCTACCATGATTCAACAGCCCAGGATCTGCTCGGGCACAGACAACCTGAAGTGTAAAGAGGCTCCTGAGAGCCGGGTCCCAGCTCGGCCCCAGACACCCCCTCTGCACCGACCCCACGAGCCCCCAAAAGTCATCTCTACCAGAGGTTCTCCTCATTTCTGAGAAGAGGGAAGCAGGGCCCATGCGTTTTGAGGTTGCCTCTGGCTCCAACGCGGTGACACGCAATGCCAGCCTCATGAGGGTGAGAGTCCTCTGAATGGCCCACGCTCTCTTGTGACAATGACACTTGTCTGTGAAGGAGAAGGCCAAGCTGACTCACACGCTGAGTGCCCCAAGGATGAAGGGGGTCCCCGGAGTGGGTACCGCACCTCCCTCTTTGCAGACAAGGAGGGGGCGGCTCTGAGACCCACAGGGATGTACCAGAGAGTGCGTGTTAGGCAGAACCGAACATCCCCAGGAAGGGAGGGAAAAGCAGGTGGCTGATATCTGCAGGGTCCTCTTGTACCTGAAACTCCAAAACTTTACACTATTTTCAGAATAACAGCAGCAGCAGATACAAAAGAACTCATGAGGGTTATGTCTTATAAAATAACAGAAAATATCTTAGGCAGACTGGGGAGTTTCTGTCTATCTATTACCCATCTATCATCTATCGACCTATTGATCTATTTATATATAATCTATCTAACATCTATCATCTATCTATCAATCATCTATCATCTACTATATATCCATCATCTATCATCCATCCATCCATCTATCCATCTATATATGTATTTATCTATTGAATCTATAATCTATGTATCAATTGTATATCTACCTATCATCTATCCCTGTAGCTATCTATCGACTTACCTATCTACCTATCTATCCATCTAATGTATTATGTAATCTATGTATTTATCTATTGAATCTATAATCTATGTATCAATTATCTATCTACCTATCATCTATCCCTGTAGCTATCTCTCTATCCAGCTATCTATCTATACATCTATCTATCCATCCATCTAATGTATTATCTATCTATGTATTTATCTATTGAATCTATAACCTATGTATCAACTATCTACCTATCATCTATCTGTCTGGCTAGCTAGCTATCTACCTATCATCTCTCTACTATCTATCTATCATCTACTATATATCCATCATCTATCATCCATCCATCTATGCATCCATCCATCTATCCATCTATATATGTATCTATTGAATCTATAACGTATGTATCAATTATCTACCTATCATCTATCCCTGTAGCTATCAACTTACCTATCTACCTATCTAATGTATTATCTAATCTATGTATTTCTCTATTGAATCTATAATCTATGTATCAATTATCTACTTATCATCTAACTGTTTGGCTAGCTAGCCGTCTATCTACCTATCATCTCTCTACTATCATCTACTATATATCCATCATGTATCTATCATCCATCCATCTATGCATCCATCCATCTATCCATGTATCTATATATGTATTTATCTATTGAATCTATAATCTGTGTATCAATTATCTATCTACCTATCATCTATCCCAGTAGCTATCTATCAACTTACCTACCTATCTATCTATCTAATGTATTATCTAATCTATGTATTTATCTATTGAATCTATAATCTATGTATCAATTATCTACCTATCATCTATCTGTCTGGCTAGCTAGCCATCTATCTACCTATCATCTCTCTACTATCTATCTATCATCTACTATATATCCATCCTCTATCATCCATCCATCAATCTATCCATCTATCTATATATGTATTTATGTATTGAATCTATAACCTATGTATCAATTATCTACCTATCACCTATCCCTGTAGCTATCTACCTACCTACCTATTGATCTATCTATCCATCTAATGTATTATCTATTTATCTATTGAATCTATAATCTATGTATCAATTATCTACCTATCATCTATCCATCTAGCTAGCTGTCTACCTATCATCTCCCTAGTATCTATCGTCTACTATATATCCATCATCTATCTATTATCCATCCATCTATCCATCTATCTATATATGCACTTATCTATTGAATCTGTAACCTATGTATCAATTATCTATCTACCTATCATCTATCCCTGTAGCCATCTATCCACCTATCTATCTAATGCATTATCTGTTGAATCTATAATCTATGTATCACTTATCTACCTATCATCTCTCCATCTAGCTAGCTAGCTGTCTATCCACCTACCATCTCTCTACTATCTATAGTCTACTATATATCCATCATCTATCTATTATCCATCCATCTATCCATCTATCTATATATGTATTTATCTATTGAATCTATAATCTATGTATCAATTATCCCTCTACCTATCATCTATCCGCCTAGCTAGCTAGCTGTCTATCTACCTATCAGCTCTCTACTATTTATCATCTACTATATATCCATCCTCTATTATCCATCCATTTATCTATATATTTATGTATCAAATCTATAATCTATGTATCAGTTGTCTACCTATCATCTATCCCTGTATCTATTTGCCTATCATCCCTCCATTATCTGCCTATCTAGCTCTCTATCATCTATGCATCTATCCAGTTATCTCTCTATATATCTGTCATATATTTATCTACCTATCTCTATCATTTATGTAATTTAACTCACCTATTCCTATGTATTAATAATATATCTGTTATCTATCTATCATTTATGTATTTACCTAGGTCTATCATTTAATTGTCCTAATTTATGTCTTTTCTATTAATTATATACCTACCATCTATCTCGTTCTAACAGTTATCTATTTCTATCTAGTTTAACCTATTTAGTTTATTTCTTTCCATCTGTAATAGAATATGTCTATTGTCTATCTATATATCCTTTTTTGCTTTTTTTGAGACAGTATTATTCTGCCACCCAAGCTGGAATGCAGTGGCACGATCTCAGCTCACTGCAACCTCCACCTCCCGGGTTCAAGTGATTCTCTTGCCTCAGCCTCCCGAGTAGCTGGGACTACAGGCCCAGTCAATTTTTTACAGACCACCACGCCCAGCCAATTTTTGTATTTTTAGTAGAGACGGGTTTTCATCATGTTGTCCAGGCTTGTCTCAAACTCCTGACCTCAGGTGATCTGCCCGCCTCGGCCTCCCAAAGTGCTGGGATTAGTGGCGTGAGCCACCGCGCCCAGTCTGTCTATATACCTTTCTCTCTCTCTCTCTCCACACACACACGCACACACATAATTGTTTTTGTAAGCATCTGGAGAATACGTCTAATCATCTAATCTCCCATTTCAATTTGGGATCCATTACTTCCACAGTCAACACTATCCAATTAGCAATAGCCACTTAAACACTTCAGGCATCTTGGAATGTCTGTTTTTCTAAGCCAAGATCTAAAACCTTGGATGTCAGATTTTCCAGATCTCCTGTTTTGGGGACTGGTGTGAAAACGTCATTCGATGACAGGCCGACCCAGGTGGCCCCTGCCTTAACATCAAACGCCATCAAACTCTCCGAACACGCTTCTGGCTCCAGGCAGGTGCCGTTTTTCTCCCCACAGAAAGGTCAGCTAGAGTCACCCTTAAAATAATGCACTTGTATATTTTTTATTGTGTGGACAAGAAATTGGGAACAGGTTCAGGCTGCTCAGAAAAACGTGTTAAGTTTATTTTTGAACAGAGGTTTATTAAAAAAAAAAAAAGCCAAGGAAAGTCATGCATGGTTTTGAGCTTCTGCCTCGCAGTACCTGGTAGATGCTGGTGTTGCAAAGTGGACACAGCAATTTGATCCCTTCCCTGGGTCACCAGGGAAACCTGTGCCCCACACTTGTCTCAGCTGCAGATGTGTAAAAGCGGCTGAGATGGTTTCTTCTAGAAGTGAGTTAAAAAGGACTGTAAGGGGCCGGGTGCGGTGGCTCATGCCTGTAATCCCAGCCCTTTGGGAGGCCGAGGCGGACGGATCACAAGGTCAGGAGATAGAGACCATCCTGGCTAACACGGTGAAACCGCATCTCTACTAAAATACAAAAAAAAAAAAAAAAAATTAGCCGGGCGTGGTGGCGGGCACCTATAGTCCCAGCTACTCAGGAGGCTGAGGCAGGAGAATGGAGTGAACCCGGGAGGCGGAGGTTGCAGTCAGCCGAGATCGCGCCACTGCACTCCAGCCTGGGCGACAGAGTGAGACTCCGTCTCAAAAAAAGGAATTAAAAAGAAGGAAAAAAAAAGGGCGACACAATGGCTCACGCCTGTAATCCCAGCACTTTGGGAGGCCGAGGCGGGCAGATCATGAGGTCAGGAGATCGAGACCATCCTGACTAACACAGTGAAACCCTGTCTCTGCTAAAATACAAAAAAACATTAGGCGGGCGTGGTGGTGGGAGCCTGTAGTCCCAGCTATTCAGGAGGCTGAGGCAGGAGAATGGCATGAACCCAGGAGGTGGAGGTTGCAGTGAGCCGAGATCGCGCCACTGCACTCCAGCCTGGGCGACAGAGCAAGACTCCATCTCACAAAAAAAAAAAAAAAAAAAAAAAAGGACTGTAAAACCACTTGTCCTAACCATGCTGGTTTGTGGATCTTGTTGATCCCTGGGAGACCCAGTGTGGGGCTGTGACTCACAAACTTCCCTAATGTGGGGCCTTGAGTGTATAATCAACACTCTCGCGTCTGAAGTTAACTGGGATGCTGGTTTCCTGCAGACACCTTCCAGGGAGAAAAAGCCGAGATGCTGCTGGCTGCATGGGTCCCCCATGGAGTCACTTAAGAAAAGCAAAGAGGCCAGGTGCGGTGACTCACACCTGTCATCCCAGCATTTTGGGAGGCTGAGGCGGGCACATCACCAGAGGTCAGAAGTTCAAGACCAGCCTGACCAAGGTGGTGAAACCCGTCTCTACTAAAAATACAAAAATTAGCCGGGCGTGGTAGTGGGGGCTTGTAGTCCCAGCTACTCAGGAGGCTGAGGCAGGAGACTAGCTTGAACCTGGGAGGCGGAGGTTGCAGTGAGCCGAGATCATGCCACTGCACTCCAGCCTGGGCAACAGAGTGAGACTTTGTCTCAAAAAAAAAATAAATACATACATAAAAAATAAATAAAAATTAAAATAAAAAAAGAGGAGCTGCACAGTGGCTCAGGACTGTAATCCCAGGACTTTGGGAGGCAGAGGCAGGCAGATTGCCTGAGCTCAGAAGTTCAAGACCAGCCTGACCAAAGTGGTGAAACCCTGTCTCTACTAAAAATACAAAAATTAGCCGGGCGTAGTAGCAAGTGCCTGTAATCCTAGCTACTGGGAGGCTGAGGCAGGAGAATTGCTTGAACCCAGGAGGTGGAGGTTGCAGTGAGCCGAGATCATGCCAATGCACTCAAGCCTGGGCAACAGAGCAAGACTTCGTCTCAAAATAATAATAATAAATAAATACATAAAAAATAAATAAAAATTAAATTAAAACTAAAAAAAAAGAGGGGCAGCACAGTGGCTCAGGCCTGTAATCCCAGGACTTTGGGAGTCGGAGGAAGTAAGATTGCCTGAGCTCATGAGTTTGAGACCAGCCTGGGCAACATGATGAACCCCCTGTCTCTATAAAAAGTACAAAAGTGAGCTGGGCATGGTGGTGCATGCCTGTAGTCCTAGCTACCTGGGAGGCTGAGGTGGGAAGATCGTTTGAGCCCAGTAGACAGAGGTTGTAGTAAGCTGAGATGATACCACTTCACTCCAGCCTGGGTGATATAGCCAGACCTTGTGTCAAAAAAATAAAAAACAAAAACAAAATAACATAACATAACGTGAATTAAAAAAGGGGTGATCAGGCCATGGTGGCATCTTTCTCATGAATGGGCTTAAGGTCCTTAGGAAAGAGGCTTCCTGGCCGGACACGGTGGCTCATGCCTGTAATCCCAGCATTTTGGGAGGCCGAGGTGGGTGGATCATGAGGTCAGGGGTTCAAGATCAGCCTGGCCAACATGGTGAAACCCCGTCTCTGCTAAAAATACAAAAATTAGCCGGATGTGGTGGCAGGCACCTGTAATCCCAGCTACTCAGGAGGCTGAGGCAGAAGAATTGTTTCAACCTGTGAGGTGGAGGTTGCAGTGAGCCGAGGTCACACCGCTGTGCTCCAGCCTGGGCGATAGAGCAAGACTCCTTCTCGAAAAAAAGAGAGAAAGAAAGAAAGAAAAAGAAAGAAAGAGAGAGAGAAAGAAAGAAAGAAAGAAAGAAAGAAAGAAAGAAAGAAAGAAAGAAAGAACGAAAGAAAGAAAGACAGTAAGAGACAGGCTTCCTGTAACATTCAGTTCCCTTGGTCTTCCACCTTTACCATGTAAGGACAAGGTGTGTCTTCCTTCTGGAAGATTTAGCAGGAAGGTGCCATCTTGGAGGCAGAGAATAGCACTCATCAGATATAGAATCTGCTGGTGCCTTGGTCTTCATGTAAGGACAAGGTGTTTCTTCCTTCTGGAATATTCATCAGGAAGGCACCATCGTGGGGGCAAAGGACAGCCCTCATCAGATATGGAATCTGCTGGTGCCTTGGTCTTCATGTAAAGACAAGGTGTTTCTTCCTTCTGGAAGATTCATCAGGAAGGTGCCATCTTGGAGGCAAAGAACAGCCCTCATCAGATATGGAATCTTCTGGTGCCTTGGTCTTCATCTAAGGACAAGGGGTTTCTTCCTTCTGGAAGATTCAGCAGGAATGTGCCATCTTGGAGTCAAAGAACAGCCCTCATCAGATATGGAATCTGCTGGTGCCTCCATCTTGGACTTCTCCTCCTTCAGAACCAGGAGTAAATACATCTCTGCTCTGTATAAACCACACAGTCTTAGGGACTCTGTTCTAGCAGTGAAAACAAATCCAGGCAGATGCAGATACATGATTTACGTGGACTCAATGGCTAATAGAGATGACGTTCACCTGGAAACTCTACAGATGGGACCTTGACTAGCTAAGTCTAGGCTGACTGGAGAGTTCCTATCTGTCTATTACCTATCTATCATCTATCAATCAATTTATCTATCTACTATCTATCTATGTATCTATATATCTAACATCTATCATCTTTCTATCAATCATCTATCATCTATATATCAATCATCTATCATTTATCTATATATTCATCTATCATCTACCTATCATCAATCTATCATCTATGTATCTAACATCTATCATCTTTCTATCAATCATCTATCAATCATCTATCAACTATCAATCATCTATCAACTATCTATATATTCATCATCTATATCTATCAATCAATCATCTATGTATCTATCTATCCACCTACCTATCTATCAATAAATATTGATAGATAGGTAGGTGGATAGATAAACAGCCCTGATGAGGGCTCTCCTTTGCCTCCAAGATGGCGCCTTCCTGATGAATCTTCCAGAAGAAACACCTTGTCTTTACATGAAGACCACCTATCTATCTATGTCTGTGTCTATCCATTCATCCATCTATCCATTCATCTATCTAATGTATTCTCTGTGTATTTATCTATTAAATCTATAATCTATGTATCAATTATCTATCTGTCATCTATCTATCTGTCTAGCTAGCTGTCTATCTGCCTATCCTCTCTCTACTACCAGGAGTTCATCGGTGGGTCTTGATCCTCTCACTTGGTAAGTATCATCACAGCTTAGAATCTCACGTCTTCACCATCACCTCCTCTCTGTCCTATATAATTAGTTCCAAGGGTCTTAATTAGGCACTTATGTAACCCAGCACTGCTTATTGCAAAAGTTGAATCTCCAATGAAAGGTTCTTAGCCTCCATGGAGATCCTGAGATTCTCTGCTTGGCTGTTCCCAACTTCCATGTCAACCTGGGGCTTGGGGCAACCCCTTCTCCATCTGGCATCTTGCCTCCTCCTTGGTGGCCTGGGCCAAGACTCTGTTCTCCCTGCCTGCCCGAGTCTCCATAAGCAAGGTTGCACTGCTCATTTAGATCTCAGATCTGTGGAGCTGACTGAGTTTCTGCATGCCTTAGAAGATGAGCTTTGAGGCTGGGCGCCGGTGCCTTACATCTGTAATCCCAGCACTTTGGGAGGCCGAAGCAGGTGGATCGCCTGAGGTCAGGAGTTCAACACCAGCCTGCCAACATGGTGAAACCCCATCTTTACTAAAGATACAAAAAATTAGCCGGGGGTGGTGGCAGGTGCCTGTAATCCCAGCTACTCGGGAGGCTGAGGCAGGAGAACTGGTTGAACCCGGGAGGCGGAGCTTGCAGTGAGCTGAGATCATGCCATTGCACTCCAGCCTGGGCGACAGAGCGAGTCTCCATCTCAAAAAAAAAAAAAAAAAAGAAGAAGAAGAAGATGAGCTTTGAAGGATTCATGGAAAACTGTAAAAGCTGCAATGCTTGATCGCATTTACAGATGCTTTTCCTTTGCAGGCTTAACCTTTGTTTGGGTAAACACGCTAATTGTTTTAAACATGATTTGAAAAGTCTGTTTTGCTTCATGAATGTTGAGGAATGAATCCAAGGGCTGAGGTTTGCCAAACTCCTCAGGAAACCATCGACCCTGGGTTATCGCTGTGACAGCTTGGAATCCCAGAACCCACAGGAACTCCAAGCACCTGTCACCCTCCTCACCGGTGCCCATTGAGGAGGGTGGCAAGGTGCTCCAATGACCATCACAGGTGGCATCTCACTTTCATCTTAGTGGGCTGCCGAGGGTAGTGGCATCCTTGTAAATCCTAGCACTTTCTATGAAACGCAAAAAGTTAAGAGTTTGGGGACTGGGGACAACATGGCTGAACAACTCTTAATTTTATGTATATATGTATGTATGTATTGGAGATGGAGTCTCGCTCTGTCTCCCAGGCTGGAGTGCAGTGGCACAATCTCGGCTCACTGCAACCTCTGCCTCCCAGGTTCAGGTGATTCTCATGCCTTAACCTCCTGAGTAGCTGTGACTACAGGCACCCACCACCATGCCTTGCTAATTTTGGTATTTTTAGTAGAGACAGGTTTTCACCGTGTTGGTCAGCCTCGTCTCGAACTCCTGACCCCAGGTGATATGCCCGCCTTGGCCTCCCAAAGTGTTGGGATGACAGGTGTGAGCCACTGTGCTCGGCCAACCCTTGAATTTAGGCTCAGAAGTTGCCATTTCCTCTGTTTTGCAACTTATTCTCTGAATACTCACTGAAAAATCACCCACCTTCTAGAAAGTTCTGATGTCTCTTCTGTAAAATGCCTGCCTCTCATTGTCTGAGGATCAAGCTGCATTTTAAAACAAAAGCACTATGTAAAAATTGCATATTTCTCTCCATAAAATAAAGGTAGAAGGATCACTGGAGCCCAGGAGTTTGAGACCAGCCTGGGCAATACAGTGAGGCCCCATCTCTCCAAATATTTTTTTCTTTTTTTTGAGACGGAGTCTTGCTCTGTCGCCCAGGCTGGAGGGCAGTGGTGTGATCTCAGCTCACTGCAAGCTCCACCTTCTGGGTTTATGCCATTCTCCTGCCTCAGCCTCCCCAGTAGCTGGGACTACAGCTGTCCACCACCACACCCGGCTAATTGTTTGTATTTTTAGGAGAGACGGGGTTCCACCGTGTTAGCCAAGATGGTCTCGAACTCCTGACCCCGTGATCCACCTGCCTCGGTCTCCCAAACTGCTGTGATTACAGGCATGAGCCACTGTGCCCGGCCCCGATTTTTTTCTTAATGAATAGGACATGGTGGTGTGTTCCTGTGGTCCCAGCCACTTGGGAGGCTGAGATGAGAGGATTGCTTGAGCCCAGGAGTTTGAGACCAGCCTGGGCAACATAGCAAGACCCCATCTCTGCAAATTTTTTTAAAATTAATGGTGCATGGTGGTGCTCTGGGTTTGAGACCAGCCTGGGCAAGATAGCAAGACCCCATCTCTACAAATTTTTTTTTTAATTAATGGGGCATGGTGGTGCTCTGGGCAACATAGTGAGACCCCCTCTCTCCAAAACATGTTTAAAAATTAACAGGGCATGGTGGCAAGCTCCTGTGGTCCCAGCTACTTGGGAGGCTGATGTGGGAGGATGGCTTGAGTCCAGCAGCGTGAGGTTGCAGTGAGCTATGATTGCTCCATTGCACTCCAGTCTGGGTGACGGAGCAAGATTGTCTCTCAAGAAAAGAAAGAGAGAAACAGCTGTGGACAAAGGCAGGATGCCCCTCTGCAAAGACAAAGTCAAGGGATGGGGTCACGGTGAGGCAGATGGAGAGGAAGACAGGAGAGATCCTTCCCACTGTGGGTGGCTGGTGCTTCCTCCTCTCCTCCCTCCCTGACTCCAGCTCCCCACCTCCCTGATTTTTGGAGAACTCGACAATGAGTTGCCAAAATGACATCTTCCTCAACTCTGGCACTGACCTTCCGCAAAACCACCAGTGTCATCCCTTTTCTTCCAAAAGATGCCCTGGAATTGGAACAGAGAGAAAATATCTTCCAGGAGAGCTGTCTCTCTCTGTGTCTCTCTCCCCCCTCTCTCTCCCCTGTCTCTCTCTCTCTGTCTCTCTCTCTCCGCTCTCTCTCCTCTGTCTCTCTCTCTCCCCTCTCCCGTCTCTCTCTCCCCTCTCTCTCTCTCCCCTGTCTCTCTCTCTCTCTCTCTGTCTCTCTCTCTCTCCATCTCTGTCTCTCTCCTCCCTCTCTCCTGTCTCTCTCTCCCCTGTCTCTCTGTCTCTGTGTCTCTCTCTCTCCCCTCCCTCTCCCGTCTCCCCTCTGTCTCTTTCTCTCCCCCCTCCCCTCTCTTTCTCTCTCTCTCCCCTCTCTCTTTCCCCGTCTCTCTCTCTCCCCTCTCTCTCCCCATCTCTCTCTCTCTCCCCTGTCTCTCTCTCTCTCTCTCTTCCCTGTCTCTCTCTCTCCCCCCCCTCCCCTGTCTCTCTCTCTCTCTCCAACCAGAGCAGCTGTGGGACCGCCCATCACAAGAGGCCACATAACTTCCCTTCATCAGTTTCCAGCAATCAGCTGGGAAAATTGTCCCATATGTGGGAGTGCCAAGTGGGGTGCAGGGTTAGGGCTGGGACACAGGCCACAGCGAGGTTACTCTCTGGCTGCAATTACGTGCACGCTGCGGGAATCCGGGGGTGCCTTGGGGAGCTGTTGCACTCCGGTTCTTTATAATTGCATGCTCGGAAATTACTCACCCTGCAACGTCTTGGGGCCTTCCCGGTTCAGCATCTGCCCACGTGTTCCCCGAGGAGGAACAGCCTAGTCTTGGCGGGTTTGGAGCATCTCCACTGTGTTTATTAATTATTTATTGTTATTTATTTATTTTTGAGACAGAGACTCATTCTCTTGCCCAGGCTGTAGTGCAGTGACGCGATCTCGGCTCACTGCAACCTCCACCTCCCAGGTTCAAGCCATTCTCCTGCCTCAGCCTCCCAAGTAGCTGGGACTACAGGCACGTGCCACCACACCAAGCTAATTTTTTGTATTTTTTTTTTTTAGTGGAGATGGGGTTTCACCATGTTAGCCAGGATGGTCTCGATCTCCTGAACTTGTGATCCATCTGCCTCGGCCTCCCAAAGTGCTGGGATTACAGGCGTGAGCCACCATGCCTGGCCTATTTATTCATTTTTGAGACGGAGTCTCACTTTCTCGCCCAGGCTGGAGTGCAGTGGCACGATCTCGGCTCAGTGCAAGCTCCGCCTCCTGGGTTCAAGCAATTCTCCTGCCTCAGCCTCCTGAGTAGCTGGGTTGACAGGCACCTGCCACCATGCCCGGCTAATATTTTGTATTTGTTTTTTTAGTAGAGATGGGGTTTCACCATGTTGGCCAGGCCGGTCTTGATCTCCTGACCTCGTGATACACCCACCTCGGACTCCCAAAGTGCTGGGATTACAGGTGTGAGCCACTGCACCCGGCCTATTTATTTATTTTTGA
The DNA here is from genome assembly GCF_000001405.40 of Homo sapiens. Taxonomy (NCBI): domain Eukaryota; kingdom Metazoa; phylum Chordata; class Mammalia; order Primates; family Hominidae; genus Homo; species Homo sapiens. Next base: position 42,958 of record NW_011332699.1, read on the forward strand.
GATGGAGTCTTGCTCTCTCACCCAGGCTGGAGTGCAGTGGCACGATCTTGGCTCAGTGCAACCTCCGCCTCCCGGGTTCAAGCGATTCTCCTGCCTCAGCCTCCCAAGTAGCTGGGTTGACGGGCACCAGCCACCACGCCAGGCTAATTTTTGTATTTTTAATAGAGATGAAGTTTCCCCATGTTGGCCAGGCTGTTCTCGAACTACTGACCTCAAGTGATCTGCCCACCTCGGCCTCCCAAAGTGCTGGGATTACAGGCGTGAGCCACCACGCCCGGCCCAATCTGTGGTTTTTTTGGGGCTTGCCTTTTTTTCACAGAATGCTATCTTTTCAGATTCATAAACATTGTAGCCTGTCTCAGAGCTTCACTCCTTTACTGTTTTTATTTTATTTTATTTTATTTTACATTTATTTATTTCTTCACTTATTTATCTTTTGAGATGAAGCCTTGCTGTCACCAGGCTGGACTGCAACGGTGCGATCTGGGCTCGCCTCCCAGGTTCAAGTGATTCTCCTGCCTCAGCCTCCCGAGTAGCTGGGGTCACAGGCGCCCACCACCACGCCAGGCTAATTTTTGTATTTTTAGTAGAGACGGGGTTTCACCATGTTGGTCAGGCTGGTCTTGAACTCCTGACCTCAGATGATCCACCCGCCTTGGGCTCTCAAAGTGCTGGGATTACAGGCGTGAGCTACCTCGCCCGGCCCTTCGTTGTGCTGGGTTTTAAAATCATCCCAAAGAGACCCTGTGGGCCAGTTATAGAGACAGTGGCTGGTGCTCTTTGAGGGGGATTCTGCTATTTAAAAGTCCAGAGGGTACCCTGAGGGCAGATCACCTGAGGTCATGAGTTCGAGACCAGCCTGGCCAACATGGTGAAACCCCTTCTCTACGAAAAATATAAAAATTAGCCGGGTGTGGTGGTGGACGCCTGTAATCCCGGCTACTCGGGAGGCTGAGGCAGGAGAATCGCTTGAACCCAGGAGGCGGAGGTTGCACTGAGCCGAGATCGCTCCACTGAACTCCAGCCTAGGCGAGAGAGCAAGACTCTGTCTCAAAAATAAATAAATAGGCCAGGCGCCAGTGGCTCAAAAATAAATAAATAGGCCAGGCACCAGTGGCTCACGCCTGTCATCCCAGCACTTTGGGAGGCAGAGGCGGGTGGATCACGAGGTCAGGAGATCGAGACCATCCTGGCTAACACGGTGAAACCCCATCTCTATTAAAAAAATACAAAAAATTAGCCAGGTGTGGTGGCAGGTGCCTGTCAATCCAGCTCCTCGGGAGGCTGAGGCAGGAGAATCGCTTGAACCCATGAGGCGGAGGTTGCAGTGAGCCGAGATCGTGCCACTGCACTCCAGCCTGGGTGACAGAGCAAGACTTAGACACACACACACACACACGCATACACACACAGGAGACTTAGACACATACACACACACACACACACGTCCTGAGGATATTTCTTCCCACGGAATGCTACCTGTTCATTTCTACGTGTCTTGTGCCCTTAAAGTAAAGGTGGTGTCTTATCCTCAGCTGTCTCTGTGCACAGGGCCAGAGGAAGGAGTCTTGAGTTTCTTGGAAACAGTACCTGGCTGTAGTGCGGCTTAATCTCTGTCTCTTGAGCTGACCGGCCAGGTGAATTTGCCCCAAGTCACATTGGAAAAAGCTGGGCCTCTCTGCTCAGCAAACTGGGAGAGAAAAATTACAACCAGATTGGGTGCGCTCATTACTCCGACGGCAAACACTGAAAAAAATGTCTTAGGTTATTTATTTATCTCGTTTTTGATGTATTGGTGTGAATTACATCACTGAAGTACTTTGAAATATGTAGCTTTGCCATGGAATACGCTATAAGGAAGAAAGAAATCACGTCCTTTGTGGCAACCTGGATGCAGCTGGGGAATATTATCCTAAGATCATTATCACAGGAACACAGAAACAAATCCTGCATGTTCTCAACTTATAAGTGGGAGCTAAGTGTTGGATATACGCGGATATAAACATGGGAACAACAGAAGCTGGGGGACTAGCAGAAGAGAGGGAGGGAGGGAGGAAGGGAGGGAGGCTAGGGTTGAAAACCTCAAATAACCACGAAGCCTTATTGAGCAAATGCAAAGTGTCTGGCGTGTTTGGCTGGGTGAGGTGGCTCACACCTGTAATCCCAGCACTTTAAGAGGCTGTAGCAGGTGGAAGGTTTGAGCGCAAGAGCTTGAGACCGGCAACATGGCAAGACGTCATCTTTACAATTTTTTTTTTTAAATTAGCTAGGTGTGCTGGTGCACACCTGTAATCCCAGCTACTTGGGAAGCTGAGGGGTGAGGATTGCTTGAACCCGGGAGCCGGAGGTTGCAGTGAGCTGAGATTCCACCACTGAACTCCAGCCTGGGCAACAAAGTGAGAGTCTGTCTCAAAAAAAAAAACAAAAAAGAAGAAGAAGAAAGAAAGAAAACAAAAAAGAAAAAAAAAAGAAAAGAAAAGAAAGGCAAGGCAGGGCAGGGCAGGGCAACCTCCTGGTTACTATGCTCAGTATCAGGGTGAGGGGATCACTTGTACCCCAAACCCGAACATCACACAATATTCCCATGTAACACACCTCCTACTCAGGAGACCGAGGCAGGAGAATCGCTTGAACCCGGGAGGCGGGAGATCACACCACTGTACTCCAGCCTGGGCAACAAGAGAGAGATTTTGTCTCAAAAAATAAATAAATAAATAAATGAAATTCCAAATTATTATATACAAATATATATGCAGCTTTCCAAGGACAAATGGACTGTTCTAAAAAAAAAAAAAAGGCCCCCACGGTGGGTGATGCCTGTAATCCCAGCACTTTGGGTTGGGAGGCCGAGGCAGGTGGATCACGAGGTCAGGAGATCAAGACCATCCTGGCTAACATGGTGAAACCCCGTCTCTACTGAAAAAAAGATACAAAAAAATTATCCGGGCGTTGTTGCAGATGCCTGTCAACCCAGCTACTCAGGAGGCTGAGGCAGGAGAATCGCTTGAACCTGGGAGATGGAGGTTGCCGTGAGCCGAGATCACACCACTGCACTCCAGCCTGGTCGACAAGAGTGAGATTTTGTCTCAAAAAATAAATAAATAAATAAATGAAATTCCAACATTATTATATACAAATATATATGCAGCTTTCCAGGGACAAATGGACTGTTCTAAAAAAAAAAAAAAAAAAAAAAGGCTGGGCACAGTGGCTCACGCCTGTCATCCCAGCACTTTGGGAGGCAGAGGCTGGTGGATCACGAGGTCAGGAGATCGAGACTATCCTGGCTAACATGGTGAAACTCCATCTCTACTAAAAATACAAAAAATTAGCCGGGCATGGTGGCGGGTGCCTGTAGTCCCAGCTACTCGGGAGGCTGAGACAGGAAAATGGTGTGAACCCGGGGGGCGGATGTTGCAGTGAGCCGAGATCGCACTACTGCACTGCAGCCTGGGTGATAGAGCAAGACTCCGTCTCAGGGAAAAAAAAAAAAAGGCTTAAGTGTTAAACAACAACAATGCTTAAGTGTTAAACAACAACAACAAAAAAGGAAACCATTAGAGGATTCTGTCAGTGATTCATGGAGACTGGCTTGGCGAATGCCGTTGAAAAGAAGGGCCATCCTCCCAGACTCCAGGTGATAGACAGGTGGACGCCTAAGAGGAAAGCATTTATTTTCCATGTTTAAATCGTTATTAATCAAGACACATACTGCAAAACATTTCTTGGAAGGGAGCAACGTGAACCAGCCATGGGCTGCCTGAAGAGCCCCAGATGTAAACCATTACATTATCTGAGGATTAAAGTGTGTTCACATTTCCAGTTTTGCCCATCAGGAAGGCATGTGATTTGAAAGTGTAATTGGCCAATGTCATTTTTGGGGAAACGCACAGCGTGCTGTGGACGTATTAACTTACTGTAAAGAATGTATGGGGCGTGTGGCCTCCTTGCAGGATTCTGGGACATGGGGTGAAGTCCCCACTATCAATGGGCACCCACAGGTGTGTGGATACCCCCACCCACCAGAGGCTCCAGCATGATTTACCCACCAGAGGCTCCAGCATGATTTACCCACCAGAGGCTCCAGCATGATTTACCCACCAGAGGCTCTAGCATGATTTACCCACCAGAAGCTTCAGCATGATTTACCCACCAGAGGCTCCAACATAATTTACCCACCAGAAGCTCCAGCATGATTTACCCACCAGAGGTTCCAGCATGATTTACTCACCAGAAGCTCCAGCATAATTTACCCACCAGAAGCTCCACCATGGTCCACCCACCAGAAGCTCCAGCATGGTCCACCCATCAGAAGCTCCAGCATAATTTACCTCCAAGAAGCTCCCACTATGGTCTACTCACCAGAAGCTCCAGCATTGTCCACCCACCAGAAGCTCCAGCATGGTCCATCCACCAGAAGCTCCAGCATGATCCACCCACCAGAAGCTCCAGCATGGTCCACTCACCAGAAGCTCCAGCATGGTCCACCCACCAGAAGCTCCAGCATAATTTACCCATGAGAAGCTCCAGCATGGTCCACCCACCAGAAGCTCCAGCATGATTTACCCACGAGAAGCTCCAGCATAATTTATCCACCAGAAGCTCCACCGTGGTCTACTCACCAGAAGCTCCAGCATGATTTACCCACCAGAAGCTCCAGCATGATTTACCCCACCAGAAGCTCCAGCATGCTCCACCCACCAGAAGCTCCACCATGGTCTATCCACCAGAAGCTCCACTATGGTCCACCTACCAGAAACTCCAGCATGCTTCACCCACCAGAAGCTCAGCATGGTCCATCCACCAGAAGCTCCACCATGGTCTACCCACCAGAAGCTCCACCATGGTCCACCTACCAGAAGCTCCAGTATGGTTCACCCACCAGAAGCCCCAACATGGTCCACCCACCAGAAGCTCCACCATGGTCTACTCACCAGAAGCTCCAGCATTATTTACCCACCAGAAGCTCCACCATGGTCCACCCACCAGAAGATTCAGCATCGTCCACCCACCAGAAGCTCCAGCATCGCCCACCCACCAGAAGCTCCAGCATGGTCCACCCACCAGAAGCTCCAGCTTCTTCTAAAAAGCTGATGCTGTTTGCCGTATTTGCTTTCTTTTTCTGGGAGGTGGAGGTTGCAGTGAGCCAAGATTGCACCACTGTACTCTGGCCTGAGCAACAAAGGCAGAGACTCCATCTCAAACAAACATACAAACACAACAAAAACAAACAAACAAACAAACAAAAACACTTTATTTTAGGTCCAGGGGTACCTGTGCGGGTTTGTTATATAGGTAAACTCATGTCATAGGGGTTTGTTGTACAGATTATTTTGTCACCCAGGTACAAACTTTGTACACAATAAGTTATTTTTTTCTGATCCATTTCCTCCTCCCAACCTGCACCCTTAAAGAAAATGTGCCACATATGCATGGAATACTATGCAGCCATAAAAAAGTATGAGCTCATTTCCTTTGCAGGAACACAGCTGGAGCTATGGTATGCTTAGCAAACCAATGTAGGAACAGAAAACTAAATACCACACGTTTTCATTTAAAAGTGGGAGCCAGCTGGGTGTGGTGGCTCACACTTATAATTCCATCACATTGGGAGGCCAAGGTGGGTGGATCACTTAAGGTCAGGAGTTTGAGACCAGCCTGGCCAACATGATGAAACCTCATTTCTCCTAAAAATACAAAAATTAGCTGGGCTTGGTGGCACGTGCCTGTAATCCTAGACACTTGGGGGGCACTGAGGCAGAAGACTCACTTGAACCTGGGTGGTGAAGGTTGCAGTGAGCCGAGATCGCGCCACTGTACTCCAGCCTGGGCGGCAGAGTGGGACTCAGTCTCAAAATAAATAAATAAATTTAAAAATAAAGATCCTATCATGAAAGAGCGTTACCAGCTGGGCACAGTGGCTCATGCCTGTAATTCCAGCACTCTGGGAGGCCGAGGAGGGCAGATCATTTGAGGACAGGAGTTCTAGACCAGCCTGACCAATATGGTGAAGTCCTGTCTCTACTGAAAATACAAAAGTTAGCCAGGAGTGCTGGCAGACACCTGTAATCCCAGTGACCCAGGAGAATCACTTGAACTCGGGAGGTGGAGTGTACAGTGAGCCGAGATCTTGCCACTGCAGTCCAGCCTGGGTGACAGAGTGAGACTCTGTCTCAAAAAAAATTAATTAATTAAAAATAAAAGTGAGAGCTAAATGATGAGAACCTATGGACAAGAGACACTGATTTTTTTTCCTGGTGTTACCCACATCATGAAGAATATTGTTTTTTCACCCCACTGATGCTTGGAACCACTTGTCAAGCAGTTTTCTCATATTGTTTTATTTAAATAGAAGGAAGAAGGGAAGACCCTGACCTTCCAGGGTACCTGGGGAGGTAAGAAGTAATCTATGTAACAGGAATGGGGAAAGAGAGCAGGTAGGTAGAGAGACGAGTGTTTTTTTTTTTTTTTTTGGAGATGGAGTCTCACTCTGTCACCCAGGCTGGAGTGATCTCTGATCACTGCAACCTACACCTCCCGGGTTCAAGCAATTCTCCTGCCTCAGCCTCCCAAGTAGTTGGGATTACAAACATACAAACACAACAAAAACAAAAAACAAACAAACAAAAACACTTTTATTTAGGTCTAGGGGTACATGTGTGGGTTTGTTATATAGGTAAACTCATGTCATAGGGGTTTGTTGTACAGATTATTTTATCACCCAGGTACAAAGCTTTGTACACAATAAGTTATTTTTTTCTGATCCTTTCCCTCCTCCCAACCTTCACCCTTAAAGAAAATGTGCCACATATGCATGGAATACTATGCAGCCGTAAAAAAGGATGACCACCATGCCTGGCTAATTTTTGTATTTTTAGTAGAGACAGGGTTTCACCATGTTGGCCAGGCTGGTCTCGATCTCCTGACCTCATGATCCACCAGCCTTGGCCTCCCAAAGTGCTGGGATTACAGGCATGAGCCACTGCACCTGGCCAGTTGACTGCTTTTGTAATCAAGAAACCTTGTGATATATAAATAGCCACTTTCCAAAAAAAAAAAAAAATCACCAGAATACCTCCAGTATTGACAAGCTGTGGGGTGTTGAGAGAATTCGAGATTGTCTTAGCAGCCTGGGACCTTTCCGTAGTCCTGAACAGAACAGTGGACGATGATCTCATTGTTGAATCAGGAGGATGTGCTCCTATTCACAACAGCAAAGACTTGGAACCAACCCAAATGCCCATCAGTGATAAACTGGATAAAGAAAATGTGGCACATAGACACCATGGAATACTATGCAGCCATAAAAAGGGATGCATTCATGTCCTTTGCAGGGACATGCATGAAGCTGGAAGCCATCATTCTCAGCAAACTAACACAGGAACAGAAAACCAAACACCGCATGTTCTCACTCATAAGAGGGAGTTGAACAATGAGAACACATGGACACAGAGAGGGTAACATAACACACTGGGGCCTGTCTGGGGGTTGGGGGAAAGGGGAGGGACAGCATTAGGACAAATACATAATGCAGGCAGGACTTAAAACCTAGATGATGGGTTGATAGGTGCAGCAAACCACCATGGCACATGTATACCTATGTAACAAACCTGCACGTTCTGCAAATGTATACCATAACTTGAAGTGAAGAAGGAGAAGGAGAAGGAGGAGAAGGAGAAGGAGAAGGAGAAGGAGAAGAAGAAGAAGAAGAAGGAGAAGGAGAAGGAGAAGGAGAAGGAGAAGGAGAAGGAGAAGGAGAAGGAGAAGGAGAAGGAGAAGAAGAAGAAGAGGAGGAGGAGGAGAAGGAGGAGGAGGAGAAGGAGGAGGAGGAGAAGGAGGAGGAGGAGGAGAAGGAGGAGGAAGGGGAAGGGGAAAAAGAAGAAGAAGAAGGAGAGGAGGAAGAAGAGGAAGAGGGAGAAGAGGTAGAACAAGGAGAAGAAAGAGAAGGAGAGGAGGAAGGGGAAGAAGAGGAAGAAGAAGAAGAAGGAGAAGGAGAAGGAGAAAAGAAGGAGGAGGAGGAGCGGGAGGAGCAGGAGGAGAAGAAGAAGGAGGGTGTGTTCACATGGAAATTTGCTTCTAGCACCCAGTGGTTAAAAGGCACGCAAAACCTGTAATCACAGAGAGGGTGGTGATGATGGTTTTTAAACATGTCATTCATTTGGAAGAAAACACTTGTGTCTTTACTTGTCTAGATGTAATGCCAAGTACCCACCCTTCCTGTACAGACAGAACTTCATTTACTATTTATTCAAGTTCCTCAAAGAGCAGGGTGAAATAGTTCCCTTTTCTATTTGGGGGGAAATGGGTTATTATTTACGGGGGTTTTGTTAAGAGAATTGTAAATGATTTCTTCCCTGTCATCTGTCCAAACAGCTCAAGGGGGAACTTTATTAGAACCAAAGCATGTATTAAAAAGTCTCGGCCAGGCACGGTGGCTCACATCTGTAATCCTAGCACTCTGGGAGGCCGAGGTGGGGGGATTACCTGAGGTCAGGAGTTCAAGACCAGCCTGGCCAAGAAGGTGAAACCTGTGTCTACTAAAAATACAAAAATTAGCCGGACAAGGTGGAGGGTTCCTGTAATCTCATCTGCTCGGGAGGCTGAGGCAGAGAATTGCTTGAACGCGGGAGGCAGAGGTTGTGGTGAGCCGAGATCGTGCCACTGCACTACAGCCAGGGTGACAGAGTGAGACTCTGTCTAAAAAATAAAAATAAAAATGAAGTCTCTAAAATCTTCATTGAAAACTCATTTCGTCTCAAGACATCATTTATTTTGCAAATGTATTCTTCATGGTGGCATGTGAATTTGTAATGTGATATAGAAATTTTGGAATTTACTTTTTTGTTGTTTTTTGGTTGTTATCTTTCTTTTTTTAAAATTTTATTATTATTATACTTTAAGTTTTAGGGTACATGTGCACGACATGCAGGTTGGTTACATATGTATACATGAATTTACTTTTAAAAAGTTTTAAATAAGAAGGAAATACTTTCTAGGTAAATTTAATTGTATATAGAAGACCTAATGGGTGAGAATCTGCCTTGAAAGCTGGAGACACGTCAATAAATAAGAATACACAATTAGAATAAGAAAGAGTAACAAACACTCTGCCCTCTAAAGCTTCCATCCTGCTTGGAGAAACCAAGAAAAACCCGAGAATCTTGGCCAAATACAATCTAGGGTAATGCAGTCAGGGAGCTGTCTGGTGAGTGTTGGAGGCCCCATAGGAACGCTGAGGAAGAAGAAGTTGAGGAAGAAGAAGACGCTTGTCACTAGAATTCTAAGAATAAGAAAGGACAAAGACAAAGTGATTTCACCAACGATGTCCAAGTTCTAATTATCTCGTGGTAGACAGAATAATGGCCCCAAAGATATCCATGTCCTAATCCCCATGTGGTAGACAGAATAATGGCCCTAAAGATGTTACCAATATCCTATTCCCCATGTGGTAGACAGAATAATGTCCCCAGAGATGTCCATGTCCTAATCCCCATGTGGTAGACAGAATAATGGCCCCAAAGATGTCCACATCCTAATCCCCATGTGGGAGACAGAATAATGATCCTAAAGATGTGACCAACATCCTATTTCCCATGTGGTAGACAGAATAATGGTCCCAGAGATGTCCATATCCTAATCCCCATGAGGTAGACAGAATAGTGGTCCCAAAGATGTCCACATCCTAATCCCGTGTGGTAGACAGAATAATGGCCCCAAAGATGTCCATGTCCTAATCCCATGTGGTGAAAACAATAATGTTCCCAAAGATCTTCACATCCTAATCCCATGTGAGAGACAGAATAATGGCCTCAAAGATGTCCACATCCTAATCCTCATGTGGGAGACAGAATAATGGCCCCAAAGATGTCCACATCCTAATCTCCATTTGGTAGACAGAATAATGGCCTCAAATATGTCCATGTCCTAATCCCATGTGGCAGACAGAATAATGGCCCCAAAGATGTCCACGTCCTAATCCTCATGTGATAGACAGAATAATGGCCCCAAAGATGTACACATCCTAATCCCCATGTGGCAGACAGAATAATGGCCCCAAAGATGTCCACGTCCTAATCCCCATGTGATAGACAGAATAATGGCCCCAAAGATGTACACATCCTAATCCCCACGTGGCAGACAGAATAATGGCCCCAAAGATGTCCACGTCCTAATCCCCATGTGGTAGACAGAATAATGACCCCAAAGATGTCCACATACTAATCCCCATGTGGTAGACAGAATAATGGCCTCAAAGATGTACACATCCTTATCCCCACGTGGCAGACAGAATAATGGCCCCAAAGATGTCCACATCCTAATCCCCATGTGGGAGACAGAATAATGGTCCCAAAGATACCCATGTCCTAATCCTCATGTGATACAGAGAATAATGGTCCCAAAGATGTCCATGTCCTAATACTAGGTAGCAGACAGGATAATGGCCCCAAGGATGTCTACATCCTAATCCCCATGTGGTTGACAGAGTAAGCACCCCCTTCCCCCCCTCAAAAAAAAATCCACATCCTAATTCTAGAAATCTGTAAAAACCTGTCATGGCTAAAAAGATTTTGCAGATGTGATTAGTTTAAGAATCATGAGATGAAATGACCCTGGATTATCCAGCTGGGTCTAAGATCATCACAGGATCTTTGTAAGAGGGAGGCAGGAGTGCCAGAGCCAGAGGAGGTGATGTTAGGACAAAAGCAAAGGTCAGAGTCACAGAGAAATTAGAAGATGCTGCACTACTGGCTCTGAAGTTCAAGGAAGGGTCCAGGAGCCAAGAAATACTCTAGAAACATTCCCCTAGAAGCAGGAAATGGCAAGGAAACTGATTCTCCCCCAGAACTTGCATCAAGAGGGAAGTTTTGCTGACACCTTGGTTTTAGGCCAGTGAGACCCAGGGTGGGCTTCAAAACTACAACACTGTAAGACAATACATTTGTGTTGCTTTAAGCCAATACGAATGTGATCATTGGTGATGGCGGCCAGAGGACACTCACAGAAGGAGTAATGTACTGGAGGTCTGCAGCAGGAATGAATTTGGCATGACTGGGGGGATGCCCAAGGGGGCAGCAAAGAAGAACAAGCAAAGGCTAAACGTGATGACTCCTTGTTTTAGAAGAACCCCCTTCAGAAGAAGAATCAGTAAAGCAAAGGCTGAACTCAACTTTGTCTTCTTTTCTTCCCCAGACATAATTTACGTTATTTTATTGGGACCACAGAGTCCCAGTTGGAGCAAGTGACCAGGGACAGAGTTACAAAGAAGCCATAGGGAAGTAGTTAGATTGTATTCTGACTTCGATGTGAAATTATTGGCGGGTTTTGAGTGGCAATGAGGGATGTCTTATTCAGCTCGGGTTGCCATAACAAAAATTATAGACTGGGTGGCTTAAGTAACAGCCATTGATTTCTCACAGTTCTGGAGATGGGGAAGTCCGAGATCAAGGTATGGCAGATTTATTGTCTGGAGTGGGTCCTCTTGCTGGTTCACAGATGGTGCGTTCAGAGAGAGAAAGAGAGAGAGAGAGAGAGCACTTTTGTGTCTCTCGCTCTTCTTATAAGGATACTAATCCCGTCATGAAGGACCCATCCTCATGACCTCATCTAAACCTCATCACCTCCAGAGACTTCACCTCCTAATATCATCCCATTGGGGATTAGGGTTTCCATATGGTGCATTTTGGAGGGACATGACTAGTAGGGGTTAGGCCTTCAACATACAAATTTTGGGAAACTTTGCTATTTAGTCATTAGCAAGGGATGAGGACCACAAGCTAAAAATCATCTCTATTTTTGAAAGATTTCTCTGCTTAAGAATAATTCCAGGATCAAAGCAGAAACCAGGACAGAAGCCAAGAGATCAATCAAGAGGATGTGGCTATGATCCAGATGACATATGTCATGCATGAGGGTGAAGAAAGCAAAGGCAGGAAAATCTGATCCAATTTGACAAATATTTGAGGTCATTCAAGAGACTTGCCAATGAATTGTATAAGGGGGAGATGAGAGAAAGAAGAGTTCAAAGTTTCCAAAGTCTTCTGCCAAAACACTTCTCAGGGGTGGTGGTGAATCCAGTGAAGGCTTTCCAGATGGTTTGGGATGGGTTAACTTGGAAGCCCTAATCATTTATCTGAGCTGAGAAGTTGAGGATACAGTTACATGCATGAATCTGAAGTAGAGAAAAGATGTCAAAGCCAGAGATGGGAATTTAGGATTTTGAGTGGATGTGTCAAGTCCTGGGGCTGAGTGAGATCCCCTGGAGAGAGAAGGAAGCTTATGTTTGAGCCCTAGTTCAGCCCAACATTTAGAAGAACCCCTTTGGGAAGAGGAGAAGAACGAGCAAAGGCTAAATGTGACTCCCTGTTTTAGAAGAACCTCCTTCAGAAGAAGAATCAATAAAGCAAAGGCTGAACTCAACTTTGTCTTCTTTTCTCCCCCAGACATAATTTATGTTCTTTTATTGGGAGTTTGTTTCCCACTCAACCTTTCAGGTTAGAGCTCTGAAGTCACGTTTGATTTTTCCCTCAACATCAAAGAGACACAACAGTTTGCTTCTGTGGTGACTGTTTTTTGTTTGTTTTTGTATTTTTGTTTTTTTGTTTTTGTGTGTGTGTTTGTGTTATTTTAATTTGTTTGTTTGTTTGAGACAATGTCTCACTCTGTCACCTGGGCTGGAGTGCAGTGGCACAATCTCAGCTCACTGCAACCTCCACCTCCTGGGCTTAAGTGATCCTCCCACCTCAGCTCCCCTAGTAGCTAGGACTACAGGCACACACCACCACTCCTGGCTATTTTTTCTATTTTTAATAGAGATGGGGGTCTCATCATGTTGCCCAGGCTGGTCTTGAACTCCGGAGCTCAAGTGATCTGCCTGTCTTGACCTCTCAAAGTGCTGGGATTACAGGTGTGAGCCATGGTGCCCAGCCTCACTGGTGACTTTGAATGCCTTCTCACTTCTTCCTTCCCACTCCATGCTCCAGGTTCAAAGACTCCATTACCACCATCCATCCCATGCCAGAGTCTCCAGGCTTCCATCTTCAGTGCCATCCCTTCTCATCCATCCTATGCATGGGTTCCAAGGTAATAGGTCTAAACACATTTAGACCTATTTAATATGTATAAGCATAAATGTTGACATGACTGGTCACAAAATGTTGGTGGTTTCTCATCAACTGCAGAGAATAGTTCAGGATCCTTACCTAAGTGTCTGAAATCTTTCATAAATTCACACATGGAAAGATGTGGCCTCTCTGTCTGTACTTCATCACATCACACCCAGCACCTCAATCTCTGACTCCATCATCAATTTCCTAGTTCCCTGAGTTTGCCTGCCCAGCCCTGAGTCATTGTAACATCTGATTCATCTTTTAAAGTTTAACAACAACAACAACAAAATCATCTGCTCTGAGAAGCCAGCCTTTCTCAGGTGCAGAGATTATCCCAGAGATAGACATATGGTTCAAGACAGGCTAGTTAACCTTCCCCTGAATTTGATCAGCAAAGACTGAGAGGGTGGTGGGAGAAGCTCAGACTGTGAATCTATAGCTGCAGCAGCTGGATTTTTTTTTTCCATCCTATATTCCAAGACTTTTTCTGAGAGAATCTAGTCTGGAACCCAGAGAGAAGCAGAGAGTTGAGAGAGTCATCAGAACTTGGGAGATCCCTGAGAAGCTGTCCACCTCTACTTTTTGAGACTGTTTTTCCTAGACTCCCTTGCAGCTCTGTGTGACTGTATGATGAACTTTGAGCTCATGAGAAGTAAGTAGGAATGTATTAAGACCATAAAAATCTCTTTAATTTTGTAAAAAAGTGAATGTGAACTCTTCCCTCTCCTTTTGCTGCTAGCTGCAATGGAGATGTGAGGGCTGGAGACCATGCCACCATATTGAACCATGAGTAGAAAGTCACATACTAAAATAGTGGAGCAACAACATTCAAAATGCCTGACATCTTGAATCTGTACAATAACCTGGACCCCTTGTTCTGGCCTCCTATCATATCAGAGAGAAACAAACTTCCATCTTATTTAAGTCATGGTTATTTGCTTATTTCCATACATTTGTTTATGCAGTTATACGATATTTATTCCATCTATCTATTATCTATCTATCATCTATCCTATCTATCTAACCATCTACCCATCATCTATCCTATCTTTCTATCCCTCTCTCTATCATCTATCATCCTTCTTATTCTATGTGACTATCTATCAACCATCCTATTCTAACTATCTATCTATCTATCTACCTATCTATCATCTCTCCTATCTAATCTATTTATCTATGTATCTATCCATCTTATCTATCTACCTATCATTTATCTATCCTGTGTATCAATGTATCTATCATGTATCTATCTGTCCTAGTTATGTATCAATTATGTATCTATCCATCCTATTTATCTACCTATTTTATGTATCCATTAAACATCTACATATCTATATATATTACCTATCATCTAGCTATTTATCTATCCTATGTATTTATCATCTATTTATTCTATCTATATCTATTTTTTTCTCTATCTATGTCTCTATCTATCTATCTATCTATCTAGAGATTTCTTAAGTCCTTGGGAATCCTGAGGTCAGCTCCATCATAGGATCTCACAGTTATATTAGTTCAACAATTTTCTTTCTCTGCCTAACTTACTCTGAGTTGTGTTTCAGTTGCTGTTGATTGGAACAAACCTCAAAAAGAAATTGGGACTACTATAATATTGCATTTATGGGTGGCTGACTTATGATGCTGCCTTCCTTGTCTCTGGATCCTGAGTCCTGCATCCAACCCAGTTCCACAGCCTGGGTATCTAACCGTTTCCCTGGAACTCAGTAACATTTGAACTGAAATGCCATTTTCTTGTTGGGATCATTATAATACTTTGGAAAACTGCCTTGGAATTAATGTGGTTACCCTTTGCATCTGTAAAATAAACAGGCATTTCTTTAGAAGGAGAAACTAAAGTTTCACAAAGACCTTCAGGGTCTGTTTTTCTTACACCAGAAGTCACACTCAGGCCAAGTAACATGTTCTGGTTCTGGCCCTTAGTGC
This sequence comes from Homo sapiens, assembly GCF_000001405.40. NCBI lineage: Eukaryota > Metazoa > Chordata > Mammalia > Primates > Hominidae > Homo > Homo sapiens. The sequence goes on from NW_011332699.1 coordinate 58,008, forward strand.
TCCTGGTTGGACTAATGCCTGGGGCTCCCTCAAGGATTTCCTTCCCCATCTCTCCCTATTTTAGCCTCTCCCCAGGGGAAGAGGACATTGCTTTCATATACTAACACCTTACCTGAAAATCCCCCATGTCTCTAAAATAAAGATGGAGGAAGCTCCCCCCCCATTATTTATTTATTTACTTACTTTTTTGAAAGACAGTCTCACTCTGTCACCCAGGCTGGAGTGCAGTGGCTCGATCTCCGCTCACTGCAAGCTCCGCCTCCCGGGTTCACGCCATTCTCCTGCCTCAGCCTCCCGAGTAGCTGGGACTACAGGTGCTCGCCACCACGCCTGGCTAATTTTTTTGTATTTTTAGTAGAGACGGGGTTTCACCGTGTTAGCCAGGATGGCCTCGATCTCCTGACCTCATGATCCGCCTGCCTCGGCCTCCCAAAGTGCTGGGATTACAGGTGTGAGCCACCGTGCCCGGCCTCTCTCCCTCTTTCTATGTATATGTCAGTCTTTCTCTCTCTGTGTCTCTCTTAGTGTCTCTCTTTCTTTGTATCTGTCCCTCTGTTTCTGTGTCTCCCTCTTTCTATCACTATCTCTCTGTGTGTTGCTGTCTCTTCATCTCTGTCTCCCTCTCTCTCTCTGTCTGTCTCTGTTTCTGCTTCTCTGTCTCCATCTCTTTCTCTCTCTGTGTCTCTCTTAGTGTCTCTCTGTCTGTCTCTGTCTTTCTCTCCATCTCTGTATCTGTCCCTCTGTTTCTGTGTCTCCCTCTTTCTATCACTGTCTCTCTGTGTGTTTCTGTCTCTTCATCTCTGTCTCCCTCTGTGTGTCTGTCTCTGTTTCTGCCTGTCTCTGTCTCTCTGTCTCCATCTCTTTCTGTGTCTCTCTTAGTGTCTCTCTGTCTGTCTCTGTCTTTCTCTCCATCTCTGTATCTGTCCCTCTGTTTCTGTGTCTCCCTTTCTATCACTGTCTCTCTGTGTTTCTGTCTCTTCATCTATGTCTCGCTCTCTCTGTGTATCTGTCTCTGTTTCTGCTTCTCTGTCTCTGTCTCTCTGTCTCCATCTCTTTCTCTCTCTGTGTCTCTCTTAGTGTCTCTCTATCTGTCTCTGTCTTTCTCTCCATCTCTGTATCTGTCCCTCTATTTCTGTGTCTCCCTTTTTCTATCACTGTCTGTCTGTGTGTTTCTGTCTCTTCATCTCTGTTTCCCTCTCTCTCTGTGGGTCTGTCTGTTTCTGCCTCTCTGTCTCTGTCTCTCTGTCTCCATGTCTTTCTCTCCACCTCCCTGTGAGGTGGGAGCCTCACCCTTAGCCCACTGGCTACCACCCTGGTCCACATCTTTCCCCCTAACACCGACAGACGTAAAAACCACAGCTCCTCCCAGGACACTGCCTCAATGTGGCCCCATTTCTCTTCATCAGATCTCTCCCTTCAATGCTAATAAGTCTGTCTCCAACTCCGTGTTTCTTTTGGGGAAAAAAAAAAAAGGAGAGGAAGGCTGGGCACAGTTGCTCACACCTGTCATCGCAGAACTTTGGGAGGCCGAGGCGGGTGGATCACAAGGTCAGGAGATTGAGACCAGCCTGGCCAGCAGGGTGAAATTCCGCCTCTACTAAAAACCCAAAAAATTAGCCGGCCATGGTGGCAGACACCTATGATCCCAGCTACTTGGGAGGCTGAGGCAGGAGAATCGCTTGAAACCAGGCGGCAGAGGTTGCAGTGAGTCAAGATCACGCCACTGCAATTCAGCCTGGGTGACAGAGCAAAACTCTGTCTCAAAAATAAAAGGGGGAAATATTCGATTAATAAACAACAGCCTCACATGTGCTCACCACTGGGTTGAAGCAAAGCCTTCTTCCAAAAGCAAAAATTGGAAAAATATGCTACCGACAGACTGCCCCTAAAGGTAATATTAAACAGGGACTCCAAAGGCAGAAGAGAAGCTGACCCAATGCGACATGAAAATTCAGGAAGGACACAACAGCGGTGAGAACTCAAGATAATGTGAGTAATTGTAAATACATATTGACCTTATAAAACGAGTCATTGCCAAATTTGATCTGGTGACCTGTATAAAATGTCAGCTTCTGAGGGGAGAACACTGTCCACAATAACAACAAGGCTGTACACATAGGCATGGTGGCCTTGGGGAGCGTTTGCCAGGCTGCAAAAGCCACCTCGCAGGTAGGTAGGCTGGAGCCAGGTGGGAGGTGGGTGGGAGCCAGCAGGAGCCGGAGGGCCCTCTCAGGCCGCTTCTCTGGGTAATGTCGTATTCGCCACACAGCAGCCTGGTGGCCCTGCCTGTTGCCTTCGAAAGAGAGCCTGCCATGATCCTGGCTGTTTCTGTCTCCAGGTACAATGAAGAACTGGCCCAGGATGACAGGGCTGACCGGGAGCTGAGAAGTCGTCAGGGCCAGTCTCTGTGGCCCAGAGCAGGCCGATAGAGAGATCGGGGAGAGCTGTCCTCACCACCTGGAAGTGAGTCCCACCCAGACCTTATCAAAACTACTCACTCCACCTGGGCCGCTGCTGAAGCCCTATTTTGAAATTTCCCTTTTCCAGAGCTTTTTTCCTGTCCTAAGCCCCATAAATAAATGAAGGCACTTCTTTGGAAGGTTATGGAGTCTGTTTGACTAGTGCTAAAGGAAACAATTCACGCAGATGTATAAAACTTGCTTTTTTAAAAAAAAAAATAACCTAAGCAGAATTTTCATATTAAAAACTCACTTTTTTTGACAGAAAGTAACAGCTTCAGCATATAATTTGATGTTTCACAAGGTTTAAACATTAAAAAAACTCTAAATTAAAAACAAAACAAATCTTATAGACTAGTCCTGCCATTAGAGAGGAATGTATTTAACTGACAGCTCTTTTAGTTGCGTTTCTTTTTACTAGACTGTGATATTTTTTTTTTTTCCTGAGACAGAGTTTTGCTCTGTCACCCAGGCTGGCGTGCACTGGCACAATCTCGGCTCACTGCAACCTCTGCCTCCTGGGTAGGCTCCCAAGTAGCTGGGATTACAGGCATGCGCCACCACACCCGGCTAATTTTTGTATTTTTAGTAGAGATGGGGTTTCACCATGTTGGGCAGGCTGGTCTCAAACTCCTAACCTCAGGTGATCTGCCCACCTCGGCCTCCCAAACTGCTGGGATTACAGATGTGAGCCACCATGCCCAGCTTACTTGACTGTGATTTTGAAGAAAAGAGGCAACTAGAAATATTCCTTTGTAATATATCTTTACAAAGGCCTTTGTCTAGGTGCTCCCAGGAAGACCTGTCTTCTTTTCTTTTCTTTTTTTTTTCTTTTCAGATAGGATCTCTCCCTGTCACCCAGGCTGGAGTGCCGTGGTGCGATCATGGCTCACTGCAGCCTCAACTTCCTGGGCTCAAGTGAGCCACCCGCCTCAGCCTCCGGAGTAGCGGGGACAACACAGGCACACACCACCACCCCCACCTAATTTTTAAAGTCTTTTGGTAGAGACAGAGTTTCACCATGTCAGCCAGGCTGGTCTCAAACTCCTGGGCTTAAGCAATCCTCCTGCCTAAGCCTTCCAAAGTGTTGGGATTACAGGCATGAGCCACCATGCCTGGATTCAAATAGACCTGTTTCTACCACTTCAGTTTTGTGGATGAATCTGTTGTAAATTGAAGCAGATGAGTGAAGACAGGTCCAGCTGTGTGCCTTTTATGAAGTCAGCAGCTGAGTTTGCTGCAGGGAAGTGCCATGGGCAGCCAGGAGCTGTGGGAGGAGTGATGGCTGTGGGGACAGGCTGCACGAACATGGTGTTCCCATGCAGTTTCCCAGTAGCCCAGTGACTTACAGGCGTGTATGGAGAGGACCTGAGTTGGTGGGTAGATGGACAGATGCATCTGCGTAATAACTCATGAGTTACAGTGCTGTTCTTAGGAAGGGTCTTTTTTTTTTTTTTTTTTTTGAGGTGGAGTTTCACTCTTAACACCCTGGCTGGAGTGCAAAGGCACAATCTAGGCTCACCGCAACCTCCACCTCCTGGGTTCAGGTGATTCTCCTGCCTCAGCCTCCCAAGTAGGTGGGATTACAGGCGCCCACCACCACGCCCAACTAATTTTTGTATTTTTAGTGGAGACAGGGTTTCACCATGTTGGCCAGGCTGGTCTCGAACTCCTGATCTCGGGTGATCCTCCTGCCTCGACCTCCGAAAGTGCTGATATTACACGCGTGAGCCACCGCGCCTGGCCAGGAAGGGCCTTTTACTCATGGTCATATTAACACGTATTTGCTGAAGTTTCACTCGCTGTCTTGAGTTTATCTTTAAAGCTTGCCACCTGTTTTTGTTGTGATGCTAGTAACAGGAGTTTGTTCTCCCAAATGGCACCAAGGGTATGTCCTTCAGATAAGGGTCTTCCCTGACTTGCCCAAGCTCTCTCAGTACCCATGCATGGATGTGTGTTAAGTGTACATGCTATATTGTGTGTGTGTTTATATGTGTACATATATTTAATGATGTTTCACTGCCAGTTAGGGAAAAATAGGTCTTTTCAACACATATGGTAGAATAGAAAGTGAGAGAAACATACATACAAATGGTACTTGGCTAGACTCCAAATAAACTGCAATTGGTGGACTTTTCAGCCGTTCCTTCTTCATGATCTTATTGGTATGTGTGTTGTGTGTGTTCCCTGGTGTTTAAGTTTTTGTTTTTGTTTTGTTTTGTTTCTTGAGACAGAGTCTTGCTCTGTCGTCCAGCAGGCTGGAGTGCAGTGGTGCGACCTCAGCTCACTGCAACCTCTGTCTCCTGGGTTCAAGAGATTCTCATGCCTCAGCCTCCCAAGAAGCTGGGATTACAGATGTACACCACCATGCCTGGCTAATTTTTGTATTTTTAGTAGAGATGGGGCTTCACCATGTTGGCCAGGCTGGTCTCAAACTCCCAACCTTAGGTGATCTGACTGCCTCAGCCTCCCAGAGTGCTGGGAATACAGGTGTGAGCCACTGCGCCCAGCCGTGGCATTTAGTTTTAATGTGTTTGCTGTTGATGGCGGGTGTGGGATGGAGATCCCCGAGTCAGACTTGGCCTTGTGGCCTGACTCTGCTGTTTATTAGCTGTTTCCCAAGCCTGTCCCTGGGGTCGTTGCACCTTTGTTTCCCACTGTATAAAATGGGGAGTTCAGTGGCCAGGCGCAGTGGCTCATGCCTGTAATCCCAGCACTTTGGGAGGCCAAGGAGGGTGGATCACCTGAGGTCAGGAGTTTGAGACCAGCCTGGCCAACATGGTGAAACCTCATCTCTACTAAAAATACAAAAATTAGCCTGGAGGCTGAGGCAGGAGAATCGCTTGAACCCAGGAGGAGGAGGTTGTGGTGAGCCGAGATCGCGCCATTACACTCAAGCCTGGGCAATAAGAGCGAAACTCCGTCTCAAAAAAAAAGGGTGGGGAGGAGTTCTGCTTGCCTCAGGAACAACCAGTGTCACTGCACAGGGACCCTGCCCACCCACCTCACTGGCTCTGGCGAGCCCTCTTATCCCCCAGGAGGGGGCATCCTTTGAACAGCTGGCGGCTCCACCTCGGCTCCTACACACAGAGGTGAAAGACACCCTGTTAACTGTTCCCAGCTCTTCCACCGGTTTTTACAACCCGGTTTTCAGTTACATTGTTTTGTTTTTGCCTCTCTCTGGGAGAAGGGTGGAGTCCCTGGTTGGGAACGTTGGCCTCTGAGGCTCCGGGGCCACGCAGTCCTAATGGAAGAGTCACACCAAGTGGTTAGTTTGCTGGTGACCCAGTTGCTAGGTGAGGGTGAGGCTCTGCTAAGTGGATTTATGTCATATAGTGACTGTCTCATTAATGATTTACTGATGTCATGTTCCGGGCAGATGTTTCCTCTGAGCACTTCCAGGACACAGGTGGGAAGGGTGCGGTGTTGGCAGCCAGCCTCAGGAGGCTGTCGGGCCAGGAACAGCCCCACTCAGCGCTAGGCCGGGCCCGAGCAGTGAGCCCTGCTGGGAGCTGTCCAGGAGCCGCTGTTGTTTTCTTGTCAGCCCCCACCCACTTGATGGGGTGGGTCCCAGGCCAGAGGGTTACATCCTGTGGTCGTTTTCACGAAGTTTGATAAGATTGGTTTTTCCCAATATAAACCCATCCTCCACTAGGCGCAGTAGCTCACGTCTGTAGTCCCAGCACATTGGGAAGCTGAGGTGGGTGGATCACCTGAGGTCAGGAGTTTGAGACCAGCATGGTCAACATGGTGAAACCCCATCTCTACTAAAAATACAAAAATTAGCTGGGTGTGATGGTTCATGCCTGCAATCCCACCTACTTGGGAGGCTGAGGCAGAAGAATCACTTGAACCCAGGAGGTGGAGGTTGCAGTGAGCCGAGATTGCACCACTGTACTCCAGCCTGGACAATGGAGCAAGACTCCATCTCAAACCAAACCAAACCAAACCAAACCAAACCAAACCAAAGCACTATCCTTCACCTCCTTTGCACACGGGCTTCTCCCTGGGTATTAGTGAGGGCCTGGTGACAACCTTCTCACTGTCTCCCTTCTCCTCCACCTCCCACCTGGGCTCCCATGGAGACCCCATCAGTCTGGGCCCGCATCTGGTTGCGCTCCACCGGCTGCTAGGACTTTCCTCACAGGGGGCCATTTCCCCTCCACACAGTGGTTCTTCAGGGGGATCCATAAAGCCTCCTATGCTTGCTGCCCGTTGGCCTGTTGGCTCACACTGCCACACACCATGTCCACAAGCGCCAAACACACGCAACTCCTCTCTGAGTCCTCCCATGGGCCAGCGCACTCTCCACCCTCCCCTCTGGAGCCATTCCCAGCTGTGTTGCGGCCATCTGGCCCTCTCCCCACAGCACCCCTGCAGCCTCTCTGGTCCGGGCAGGCGAAGGTCTCCTGCAGGGCCCTGCCCGCCGGTAACGGCACAGCGTCTGGGGCTGCTCAGCGACTGGGCACCCTCAGGCTGTTTGTGTGTCACCTAATGTGGACTGTGCCCCAGCAGAGGGCCCTGGGGCATGTGAGGACCCTTTGTGAGCAGGCGGGAGCACATCCACCTTTGATTCTAGTCCCTCATTGTGGAAGATGAGGGATTTTGATCTTCACTGATTTGCCCCAGCCTGAACCATATTAGATCTCACATCCTATGAACAATGGCAGCCTCCTGCTTTTGTCCTGAGAAGCATTCGGAGCGCTCCTCCAGCGACAGATGCAAACCCACCTTGCTCATGCTCCTGCCCAGCCGCTGGCGCTCTGTCAGCAGGAACAAGTCTAGGGGCCTATGGCTTCCCTCAGGCCCAGGCCCACCCTGCCTGCCACTTGGCCAACATTCCCCCCCCAACTCCAGTTTAACTCACCTGATCTCCCCTCCCCTCCCCAGGTTCACACCATTCTCGTGCCTCAGCCTCCCGACTATGTGGGACTACAGGCGTCTGCTACCATGCCCAGCTAATTTTTTGTATTTTTAGTAGAGACAGGGTTTCACTGTGTTAGCCAGGATGGTCTCCATCTCCTGACCTCGTGATCCACCCACGTCGGCCTCCCAAAGTGCTGGGATTACAGGCATGAGCCACGGTGCCCGGCCTAGTTTTTTATTTTTAGTAGAGATGGGGTTTCACCATGTTGGCCAGGCTGGTCTTGAACTCCAGACCTCAAGTGATCCGCCAGCCTCCACCTCCCAAAGTGCTGGGATTACAGGCATGAGCCACCATGCCCAAGCCACCGTGCCTGGCTTCCAGTCAAATGTTTTTGAGTGATGGCATTAGTGTTCTTAGAGATGTGCCTCTGGGGCAGTTCAGAGGATGACGGAGCTGGTGAGAGGCTGGAGGGAGATCTGGCAGTGCAGGCCAGAATGTGAACTCAGGCGGAGCCCTAGGGACAGGAGGAGGGGAGTTGTGCACAGGGAGCCTGCACACTGCGTGGAAGGGGACCTGAAGAGACTAGCAGTTCTCAATGGCCCAGTAGGGGGCGTGTGTTAAACGGGGTTTGAGCCCTGAACGTAGAAGGAGGTAAACTGCAAAGCTGCAGTAACAAACGTGCTTTTCAGAAGCTGTTCAGAAAGGCCACGCTACTCATGGTTATGAATAATGCAGCCTTAAGGCCATGGCTGAATAGCAAGAACGTCACTGGGCAGCTTCCCTTCCTGTATCTTGTACTGGTTAAAATGAAATCAGAACTTTTTGTTTTTTTGAGACAGAATCTTGCTCTGTTGCCCAGGCTGGAGTGCAATGGCGTAATCTCAATTCACTGCAACCTCCACCTCCTGGGTTCCAGTGATTCTCCTGGCTCAGCCGGGATTACAGGCACCTGCCACCATGCCCGGCTAATTTTTGTATTTTTAGTAGAGATGGGGTTTCACCATCTTGGCCAGGCTGGTCTTGAACTCCTGATCTGGTGATCCACCCGCCTCCCAGCACTGTATTCCCAAAGTGCTGGGAATACAGGTGGCAGCCACCACGCCCAGCCTGATAGCTCTTTTTTTTGAGACAGGGTCTCGCTCTGTCGTCCAGGCTGGAGTGCAGTGGTATGATCACAGCTCACTGCAGCCTTGACCTCCTGGGGTGATCCTCACACCTCAGCCTCCCAAGTAGCTGGGATTACAGGTGCATGCCACCACACCCTACTAATTTTTATTTATTTTATTTTACTTTATTTTATTTTATTTTATTTTTTCAAACAGAGTCTCACTCTGTCACCCAGGCTGGAGGGCAATGGTGTGGTCTCAGCTCACTGCAACTTCTGCCTTCTGGATTCAAGTGATTCTCCCACCTCAGCCTCCTGAGTAGTTGGGATTACAGGCATGTGCTACCACATGCAGCTAACTTTTGTATTTTTAGTAGAGACAGGGTTTCACTATGTTGGCCAGGCTGGTCTTGAACTCCTGACCTCGTGCTCCACCCGCCTCAGCCTCCCAAAGTGCTGGGAATACAGGCATGAGCCACCGTGCCCAGCTGCTAATTTTTTATTTTTTTGCAGTGACAGAGTCTCACCATGTTGCCCAGGCTGGTCTTGAACTCCTGGCCTCAAGCAATTGGCCTGCCTTGGCCTCCCAAAGTGCTGGGATTACTAGTGTGAACCACTGCTCCCCTGAAGTGGTATCTTATTTTGGTTTTGATTTGCATTTTTTTCTGATGGCTAATGAGGTTGAGTATCTTTTCATGTGCTTATTGGCCATTTGTATACCTTCCCAGGAGAAACTGTTCTGATTTTTTTTCTTGAGACAGGGTCTTACTCCATCACCTAGGCTGGAGCACGGTGGCACAATCACAGCTCACTGCAGACTCAACCTCCTAGGCTCAGGTGATCCTCCCAGGCAGAACCACTTCAACCTCCCAAGTAGCTAGAACTACAGGCATGTGCCACCATGCCCGGCTAATTTTTTTGTATTTTTTGTAGAGATGGGGTTTTGCCATGTTGCCCAGGCTGGTTTCAAACTCCTGGGCTCGGCCAGGTGTGGTGGCAGATGCCTGTAATCCCAGCACTTTGGGAGGCGGAGACGGATGGATCACAAGATCGAGACCATCCTGGCTAATACGGTGAAACCCCGTTTCTACTAAAAATACAAAAATTTAGCCGGGCGTGGTGATGGGCGCCTGTAGTCCCAGCTACTCAGGAGGCTGAGGCAGGAGAATGGCGTGAACCCGGGAGGCAGAGCTTGCAGTGAGCCAAGTTCGCGCCACTGTACTCCAGCCTGGGGACAGAGCGAGACTCCATCTCAAAAAACAACAACAACAACAACAACAACAAAAAACAAACAACAACAAAAATAAATAAATAAATAAAAAACCATAATAATAGTGATAAGGCCGGGTGCGGTGGCTCACGCCTGTAATCCCAGCACTTTGGGAGGTCGAGGCGGGAAGATCACGAAGTCAGGAGTTTGAGACCATCCTGGCCAACACAGTGAAACCCCGTGTCTACTAAAAATACAAAAATTAGCTGAGCGTGGTGGCGGGCGCCTGTAATCTTCTCAGACACCCAACCACCGGCTCCTGAGCCGCGACAACTCCGTGTCACCTTTTCACCGCCCCCCACCTAGCCCCAAATCCCCAATCCAGCCCCAAATCCCCGATCCAGCTCCAAATTCCCGCTCCAACCCCCCATCCGCGATCCCAAATCTGCGATCTAGCCCAGAATCCGCGATCCAGCCAGGTCCACCACAGCCTTCAGCAGCGACACTCCCAGCCTCCGACCTCTTAGACCCACTGAGCCTCGCAAGGGCATTAGCAGCGCCCCTGCACGGCGGGGGCCGCTCGGCTCCCAGAAGCCGCTCCCAGGCGGCGCGCCGGCAGATGGGGCTCCAGCCCCGGGCAGTCGCCGCTGGGCTCGCGGGTTCTCCTGAGCTGGTCCGGGCTGCCCCAGGACCACAGGCGCAGGATCGCAGGCGCGCAGCCTGCCCGGCCTCAGGAGCAGGGCCTGTCTGGCCGTGCAGCCCCACTTAATCTTAATAGCAAATAAAACTCAACCGTATGCTGTGGTATATTCTACAATGATTCTACACAATTGTAGATTGCATTAGAATAATGTTTTTTAAAATTATTTTCTCGGTAACAAATGGATACTCGAAATTTTATTTATTTTAATTTTATTTATTTTTTAAACAGAGTTTCACTCTTGGTGCCCAGGCTGGAGTGCAATGGCGCGATCTCAGCTCACTGCAACCTCCGTCTGCCGGGTACAAGTGAATCTCCTGTCTCAGCCTCCTAAGTAGCTCGGATTACAGGCATGCGCCACCACACCCGGCTATTTTGTGTGTGTGTGTGTGTGTGTGTGTGTGTGTGTGTGTGTGTGTATTTAGTAGAGACAGGGTTTCATCATGTTAGGCTGGTCGCAAACTCCTGACCTCAGGTGATCCACCTGCCTTGGCCTCCCAAAAGGCTGGGATTACAGGAGTAAGCCACTGCGCCTGGGCAAAATTTTATTTTTTAATAATGCCAAGTGATTTCATTTTAAATTAAACTGCACCATAGATTGGATTATTTTCCTGCATGAGTACCTTGCTCTTCAAACAAAAACATTTTTTGAAGACCAAATATATTGCATAGTTTTTTTTAAAAAAGCTCTGCCTGTGTGCATTGGCTTACGCCTGTAATCCCAACACTTTGTGGAGGCTGAGGGAGGAGGACTGTTTGAACCCATGAGTTTGAGACTGGCCTGGGCAACACAGTGAGACACTGGCTCTACAAAAATCTTTCTTTAAAAGTTAGCCAGGTATGGTGGTGCACAGCCATGGTCCCAGACACTTGGGAGGTTGAGGTGGGAGGATAGCTTGATCCTGGGAGGTTGAGGCTGCAGTGAGCTACGATTGCACTCCCGCCTGGGTGACAGAGCAAGAATCTGTCTCAAAAAATGTTCTTACTGTATAAGAAATTATGAATGACATTTATTTTGTTAAAACAGTATATTTTATCTACAAAAGGAGTAAAAGACAGTAATAGAAAAAATGGCACATAAAGAAACAAAAATGCTAAAAAATTCAAATTTACCAATAATCCTATCACCTAAATTGATAATTTTTAATATAATTAAATGTAGGATTTTAAAATAAATTTCTTTTAATTTATTTATTTAAACATATAGATTATTTTTAGACCCTCTTCAGACATCCCCTGTTGAATAAGTTCCATGATTTACAGGCTTACTCTCTCTATTGTTAAATACTGTATTGCTTTCAATGAACAACATTTTTTATAAACATATTCACAGAAACAAATTTGGGCACATTGAGACATGTTTTCTTTTCAAAAAGTCCTAGCACTTTAATTACTGTGTAAAGACATATTAGTGTATAATTTTCACACATATTGACTAACATCCCTGCAAAATGTTGAATCAATTTATACTTTCAGCACCAATCGGCAAATTAATGTCCATTATGCTTTAGCTTCACCAAAACTGATACCTATATTTTATTTTGCTAGACAAAAATACATATTATCTTAATTTGCATAACTGTATTTAATAGAAAGATTAAATTTTTTTCAGATGTATCATAGGGCATCATTTTTTCTTGAGTCTGGTGGGTGCTTAGTTCCTTTAAAGCATTAATCATGTATACATTAATTTTATGTGCAAAACAATCATTAAGTACAATTTGAAATATGGAAAAATAAATAGCTGGATTAAGAAAAAAACAAATAGAGCTTCTGGAATTAAAATAATCACTAATGGAATTTCAAAACACAGCTGGAATCTTTAACAATAAACTAGACTAAGCAGAAGAAATAATTTTAGACTTTGAAAACTGGTCTTGCCAAGTAACCCAGACAAAAATAAAAGAAAAAAGAACTGAAAAACAAAGCCCTTAAGAAATATGGGATTATGTAAAGTGACCAAACTTATAACTTATTGGCATTCCTACAACAGAAGAATAAAAAGTAACCAACTAGGAAAGTATATTTAAGGGAATAATTTAGGAGAAGTTCTCTAGTCTTGCTAGAAAGGTTGACATTCAGATATAAGAAATTCAGAGAACACCTGTGGGATAGTAAATAAGATGCCCATTCCTAAGGCATCCACAGTCATTAGAATAGCCGTGGTCAATGCACAAGAAAATATATTAAAGGCAGCCCAAACAAAGGGCCAAATTACCTATAAATTAAATTAGATTAACAACAGACTTATCAGCAGAAACTCTGCAACCTAGAAAAGATTGGGGCCTAGCATTAGCCTTCTTAAAGGAAAAAAAATGCCATCCAATTATTTTTTTTTTTTTTGGAGACAGAGGCTCACTTTGCCACCCAGGCTGGAGTGCAGTGGTGTGATCTCAGCTCACTACAACCTCCGCTTCCTGGGTTCAAGCAATTCTCCTGCCTCAGCCTCCCCAATAGCTGGGATTACAGGTGCCCGCCACCACACCTGGCAAATTTTGGTATTTTTAATATAGATGGAGTTTCTTCATGTTGGCCAGGCTGGTCTTGAACTCCTGACCTCAGGTGATCTGCCTGCCTCAGCCTCCCAAAGTGCTAGGATTACAGGCATGAGCCACTGCACCCAGCCATGCAAGAACTTCATAACCTGCCAGATTGAGCTTCATAAAGAAAGGAAAATAAGATATTTCCAGACAAGAAAATGCTAAGGGAAGTCATTACCTCCAGACTGACTCTAAAAGAAATGTTTAAAGGAGTTTGACTAGTGAAAATAAAAGAATGATACTTGCTACCATAAAAGCACACGTGAATACAAAATGTACAGAACCTATAAAGCAATTAAACAATTGAGACTACAAGGTAACTAGCTAATGCTATAAAAGGAAGAAAACCTAACACATCAATATTAAGCTTGAATGTAAATGGCTGAAATGCTCCACTTAAAAGACACAGAGTGGCAAACTGGATAAAAAAACAAGACACTTCTGCTGCCTTTGAGAGACCCATCTCATGTGTAATGATACCAACAGGCTCAAAGTAAATGGATGGAAAAAGATTCATCACATAAATGAAAAACAAAAAAGGAGAGGTATTGCTATTCTTGTATAAGATAAAACAGACATTAAACTAACAACAGTAAAAAAAATACAAAGAATGGCATTATATAATGATGAAGTGTTCAATTCAACAAGAAGACTTAACTGTCTTAAATATATATGCAGCCAACATTGGAGCACCCAGATTTTTAGAATAAATATTACTAGACCTAAGAAAAGAGATACACAGCTGTACAATAATTGTGGAGGACTTCAACACCCCACCGACAGCAGTAAGCAGATTAGTTAGGCAGATTATTAGGCAGAAAACTAACAATGAAACTGTGGACTCAAATTGGGCTCTTGACCAAACAGACCTAATAGATATCTACAGAATACTCCACCCAGAAACCATAGAATGTACATTTTTCTCATTTGCACATGGAACATTCTCCAAAATTGACCACATGCTCAGTCATAAAATAAGCCTCAATAAATTTTTAAAAATCACAACTATATTAAGTATCTTCTCAGACCACTGTGGAATAAAATTAGAAGTCAATATCGAGAACTCGCAGAACCACAGAGGTACATGGAAACTAAACAATCTGCTCGTGAATGACTTTTGTGTAAATAACAGAATTAAGGCAGAAATTTAAAGAAATTCCTGAAACAAATGAAAATAGAAACATAACATACCAAAACGTCTGTGATACAGAAAAAACAATGTTAAGAGGAGAGTTTATAACACTAAATGCCTACATAAAAAGAGAGAAAGATCTCAAATTAACAAGCTAAAATAGCCAAACACACTAGAAAAGAACAAACCAAACCCAAAGCTAGTAGAAGGAAATAACAAAGGTTAGAGAATAAGGTAATGAAATCAGGACCAAAAAAGCCATACAAGGAGTCAGCAAAATTAAAAAGTTGGTTCTTTGCAAGGACACATACAAATGATAGATTGCTAGTTAGATTATGCAAGAAAAAAGAAGATTCAAATAAGCACAATCAAAAATGACAAATGAGACATTGCAAAGGATACCACTGACATAAAAAAGATCCTCAGAATATCTTTGTGTGCAGAAACTAGAAAACCTAGAGAAAATGGATACATTCCTGCAAACACACCACCTTCCAAGACTGAATCAGAAAGAAACCAAAAGTCCACTAGGGCAGTGCCAACAGGAAATGTGGGATTGAAGCCTCCACACAGAGTCCCCACTGGGGCACTACATACTGGAGCTGTGGGAATGGGGCCGCCACCTCGAGATCCCTGAATGGTAGAGCCATGGGAAACTTTCATCCTGAGCCTAGAAATACCACAGGCATGCAACTCTGATCCAAGACAGCAGCCATGGTGACTGTACACTGCAAAGCCACAGAGGCAGAGCTGCATAAGGTCTTGGGAACCCACCCCTTGCACAAGTGTGCCCTGGATGCGGGACATGAAATCAAGAATTATTTTGGAGCTTGAAGGTTTAATGTCTGCCCTACTGGGTTTCAGATTTGCCTGAGGCCTGTTGCCCCTTTCTTTTGCCCAACTTCTCCATTTGGGAATGGGAATATTTACCCAACACCTGTACTGCATTGAATATTGGAAGCAAATAAGTTGGTTTTGATCTCATAGGCTCATAGATGGAGGAATGTACCTTGAAGCTCAGATGAGATTTCGGACTTTTGAGTTGATGCTGAAACAGCTTGAGATTTTTGGGGACTACTGGGGGAGGATAATTGTATTGTGCAATATGAGAAGGACATGAGATTTGGGAGCCATAGGGATGAAATGACATTGTATTGTGCAATATGAGAAGGACATGAGATTTGGGGGCCATAGGGGTGAAATGACATTGTTTGGATGTGTTTACCCTCCAAATCTCTTGTTGAATGTGACCTTAAATGTTGGTGGTGGGCCTAGTGGAAGATGTTGAATCATGGGAGTGGACCCTTCATAAATTGCTTAGCTCCATCCCCTTGGCGATCAGCAAGTCCTTGCTCTGTTGTGTCACACGAGAGCTGGTTGTTTAAAACACCCTGCCATGTTCCCCTTCTTGCTCTTGATTTCTCTCTTGACACGTGATACACTGGCCCTCCCTTTGCCTTCCTCTGTGATTCGATGCTTTCTGAGGTCTCACCCAAACCTGAGCAGGTGCTGGTCCCATGCTTCTACTGCCTGCACAACTATAGACCAAATAAATATTTTTTCTCTATAAATTTAAAAAAATCTGAACAGACCAGTAGTTAATTATGAAACTGAATTTGTAATAAAAATATTTATCAAGCAGGAGAAGCCCAGGACTAGATGAATTCACAGCTGAATTCTACCAAACATACAAAAAAATATATGGTATCAATCTTACTGCAACCATTCTAAAACATTGAGGAGAAGGAATTCCTCTCTAACTCATTCTACAAAACCAGTATCATCCTGACACTAAAATCTAGCAAGGAAACAACAACAACAAACTACAGGCCAATATCTGATGAACATAGATGCAAATATCCTCAACAAAATGCTAGCAAACCAAATCCATCAGCATATCAAAAATGTAATTCATCGTGATTACATAGGTTTTATTCCTGAGATGCAAGGACTATTTAACATATGCAAATCAATAAATGTGATTTACCACATAAACAGAATTTAAAACAAAAATCATATGATTATCTCAATAGATGCAGATAAAAACATTCAATAAAATTCAACATCCTTGCCAGGTGCAGTGGCTCACACCTGTAATCCCAGCACTTTGGAAGGCAGAGGTGGGGCAATCAACAGAGGTCGGGACCAGCCTGACCAACATGGAGAAACCCCATTTAGAACTAAAAATGCAAAATTAGCTGGGCGTCGTGGCGCATGCCTGTAATCCCAACTGCTCAGAAGGCTGAGGCAAAAGAATGGCTTGAACCTGGGAGGTGGAGGTGGCAGTGAGCCAAGATCACACCACTGCACTCCAGCCTGGGCAACGGAGCGAGACTCCATCTCAAAAAACCAAACCAAACCAAACCAAAACAAAAAAACCCTGAAATCATATCAATTATTTTTTCTGACAGGAGTGGAAGAGTATTAAAAAATCAGTAACAGGAGGAAATTTTTTCCCGACCGTCTTTGGCTCCCTCTCTCGCCACCCTTTTTCTTCCTCCATCTACCCCAAAACTTTTTCCCCACCATTTTTTCCCCATTGTCTTTTTGCAAAGCCTTCTATACTTTACCGCTCACTTCCGTTTTCCCCACCCATCTACCCCAAAACTTGTCCCCACCGTCTTTTCTCCCTCTCTCTGGCCACCCTTTATTCCGCCTCCCGCTCTCATCATCCTCTTTTGCTCCTTCATCTCCCCAAAAACATTTCCCTCATCTTTTCCCAAAGCCTTCTTCCCACTCCTGCTGCTCGCCACCCTCTCTTTCCCCTTCTGTCTACCCAAAAACTCTTTCCCTATCGTCTTTTTTCCCTTCCTCCTTGCCACCCTTTCCCTTCTCCATCTACCCAAAAACATTTTTCCCGCCGTCTTTTTACAAAGCCTCTTCTCTACTCCTGCTCACCACGCTCTTTTAACCCATCTACCTCCCCAATTTTTCCCTGCCATCTTTTCACAAAGCCTTCCCCTCTTCCCGCTCGCCCTCTTCTTTCCTCTATCCTGCTTGCCACCCTCTTTTTGCCCTCCATCTACCCCAAACTATTTTCCCCATTGCCTTTTTCCCAGTCCTCTTTCCCCACTCCCTCTGGCCACACTTTCTATTCTCCTCCCGCTTGCCACCCTTTTCCCCCTCCATCTACCCAAACACTTTTTACACACTGTCTTTTCTTTCTACACTTTCTTTTCTGCCTATCGTCTTTTCGCAAAACCTTTTCTCTTTCCCGCTCGCCACCCTCTTTACCCTTCTCCCACTGGCCACCCTCTTTCCCCCCTCCATCTACCCAAAAGCTTCTCTCCTCACTGTCTTTTTGCAAAACCTTCTCTCCCTCCTGCTCGCCACTCTCTCTTCCCCCTCCCTCTCTGCAACCTCTTTTCTCCTCCCACTTGTCACCCTTTTCCCCCCTCCATCTACTCAAAATCTTTTTACCCACAGTCTTCTTTCCCTTTCTTCTCTCCCCACCATATTTTTGCAAACCTTCTCTCTCCTTCCTGCTCATCCCCGTTCCCCTCTCACGACCCTCTCTTACCCCCTTCCATCTACCCAAAAACTTTTTCCCCACCATCTTTCTGTGAAACCTTCTCTACCTCCTGTTCACCACCCTGTTTTTCCCCCTCCATCTACCCCCCAATTTTTTTTTCCCCAACATCTTTTCCTCATCGTCTTTATGCAATGCCTTCTCCGGCTCACCATCCTTTTTTCCTTTTGGCACTAACCACCCTCTTTACCCTTCCATCTATCCCGAAACTATTTTCCCCTTCCTACCTTTCCAGCCACACTACAGTGTCTGTCGCCACCAACTGCAGGGAGGCCAGCCACGGTGCAGCAGGCTACAGCCTCCAGTCTGTCCTGGTCCTCTAAGCCGGGCTTGGAGCAGCTCGGTGAGCAGACACAGAAGAACCTGGAATAGCCTGACTCTTCTTCAGCACCATTTATGTACTGAAGTTATGCATATGCGGTTCGTGGACTACACGTTCCAGGATTGGATAAGAGAAAGCCCAGAGGCCTACTCTGATTGGACTTTGTTATCATGTTCTGATTGGATGAAAGAAAGTCTTAGGACAACCAATCAGTGTATGAAAATAAAGTCCAATCAGAGAAGGCCTAGAGATTTTCTCTCACCCAATCAGAACATGTAGTCCAGAAACCATGCGCGTAACCCCATGTGCATGCTGAGGAGGCCTCACGGCAGTTTAGGGTCTCTGGTATCTCCCGCTGAGCTGCTCTGTTCCCGGCTTAGAGGACCAGGAGAAGAGGGAGCTGGAGGCTGGAGCCTGTAACACCGTGGCTCGTCTCGCTCTGGATGGTGGTGGCAACAGAGATGGCAGTGCGGCTGGAGTGTTAGGAGGGTGGCCTGAGCAGTAGGATTGGGGCTGGAGCAGTAAGATGGCAGCCGGAGCGGTAAGAGTGCAGCCTGAGCGGTAGGAGGGTGGCTGGCAGCTGGAGCTGCTCTTGACCGGCTAGAGGTCTAGGAGAAGGTGGGGACCGTGCCCAACACTGGCGGCTGGAGCCTTGGCCACCGCGGCTCGCCTGGCTGCAGTTGGAGGTGGCGACGGAGACTGCATCTCTGTTAGAGTAGTAGAAAGGTGGCAGGGTAGGTGCGCTCTCTGTGGCTGCACTGCCCGCTTGCGGGGTGGTGGGGGAGCGGGTTTGGTGTGCTTTTGGAGCTGCACTGCCTGCCGCAGGGGGCTGGTGGGTGGCACTATCAGGTGTTGAATTGCTGGCAGTGGGGCAGGTTTGCTGCGCTATCAGAGTCTACACTGCCTAAGGTGGCGGGGGGTTGGAGGCAGGTTGTGTGTACGGTCGTGCACTGCCAGCAGCGGGTGGTGGGGGATTAGGGGCATTATTAGCTGCTACACTGGCCGATGCAGGGGGCGGGTTTGGTGAGCTATCGTGAGCTACAATGTCAGCAACAATGCCAACTGGCAGGCAGTCGGGGGTGCTTTAGGGGAGCTGTGAAATGTTGCATTGTCTGTGGGGGAAAGGGGAAGGTGGGGTCCAGGGGTTTGTTGGGTGCACTACCCCGGGCGTTCACTGCCTGCGACAGGAGCAGACTGGGGGCGCTATCTGGGGCTATACTGCTTGTGGTCCGGGTGGGGGGTGGGTTTGATGGGGTGCTATTTGGTGCTGCAACACCCATGGTGGGGATGAGTTGTGGACACTATCGAGTGTTACACTGCCAGGAGCAGAGGGGTCATTTGGGGGCGCTATCAGTGTTACACTGCCTGCAGCAGTCTCTGGGTGTGTTGTGGGCACAATCCGGGGGCTAAGCTTGTGGTGGAGGGGGCAGGTTAGGGGCGCTATGGGGGGAAGCTGCACTGCTGCTTCCAGCAGCAGGTTGTGGAGGTGGCCACGACAGTGGTGGCCTCTGAGGAAGGGGCCCTTCTCCTCTTCCCGGACTCAAGGCTCTAGAGTGTGAACAACTTCTGCTCGTGTTGGAGCGTGGAGGGTGCACAGAGTTTCTGTGGCAATCCTCTGACCACCGCAGGGCCCTCACACCCACCATGGTTACTCGTCCCTTGCCCTCTTGCTCTGTGTTGTGGGGACCATCTGGGAGCCCCAGGCATGGAGTAATGGGCACCACGGGGGCTCAGGGTCCTGTGGGTGGAGGAGTAAGGAATGGGAACTGGTACTTGGGTTGGGAGGACTGGCTGGGTCTGAGTTTCTGCTGTTCTTGCTCCCCAAGGAGCCGCGGACACTGTGGTGTCTCCAGTCCCCACCCCAGGTCAGGAGGCCAGCTCGGTCTAGGAGGAGAGGCTGGACTTTGGAGGGTGGGTGTAAGTGCCTTCGCTGAAACTGGCCCCAGCCACCCAGTGGGCAGCATGACAGGGTGAGGCTCTAACACTGCCACTTTCTGCATCCTATTGTAGGTTTTTCTGGCATTGTCTGCCCAGCTGCTCCAAGCCAGACTGATGAAGGAGGAGTCCCCTGTGGTGAGCTGGAGGTTGGAGCCTGAAGACGGCACAGCTCTGTGCTTCATCTTCTGAGGTTGTGGCAGCCACGGTGATGGAGACGGCAGCTCAACAGGAGCAATAGGAGGGTACCCGTGGAGGCCAAGTGGTAGGATCCTTGGAGGGTGGGCAGGTGCATGGAGGGTGACAGCAGCGCTGATTCCTTTGGCGTCGGCGCTAATGGTGGCAGCAGCAGCAAGTCTAGGGGCCAGGAAGGGGAAGTAGGAGAGCTTTGGGGCCCGGCCTGGCCTGGGGTGGGTAAGAAGCTGCTGGTTCTGTACTGCAGGCCTCAGTGACAGTGGTGGAGGTGCAGCCACGGCAAGGAGGAGTCCTCCCCTTTCTCCTGTGGTCTCTGGTCTCTGGAGGGTGCCCTCCTTCTGCTAGCATCTGAGTCAGGTGTGAGTGGCAGCATTGTTTCATTCTTAACAGAATTTAGGGGCTTACTATTTGTGTATCTTTTTGTTTTTGGTTGTGATAACCCTTAAGGGACAAAAGGCTTCTTTGGCTGGGTTTTGGTGTTGTGGGATCCCCCCATGTAAGACACAGGGTGCTTTCCTGGCAAGCTGTGTGTTGGAGGGAGTTCACCAAGGGGAAGAAAGGGAACCTCTCAGGAAGGTGGCTGCTGTGGCAGGTCCCCTGCCTCTGGGCACCCTTTGGGCCACCTAGTTTCCCCTGTGGAAGAGGCGAGGCTTAGACCAGTATCACTTGTATCATCAAAGAGGCATCCTGGCTGGGCCAGTTGATTTGACCTTCCCACTTCTTCAGCCCACCTGCCCATGGTGTCACCTGGGGAAACTGGAACCTCAGGCCACAGGGGCAGAGGCTTCTCCGGCAGGCTGATTGCTATAGAGGATTCTGTTCTGCCTGCTGCTCAGGAGGGCTTCTATGGCCACCGATCACTGCAACCTCCGCCTCCTGAGATCAAGCGGTTCTCCTGTCTTAGCCTCCCAAGTAGCTGGGATTATAGGTGTGCTACCATGCCCGGCTAATTTTTTTTGTTGCTGTTTGTTTTTTTTTTGAGATGAGTCTCGCTCAAGATGAGTCTCGCTCTGTTGCCCAGGCTGGAGTGCAGTGGCGTGATCTTGGCTCACTGCAAACTCCACCTCCTGGGTTCACACCATTCTCCTGCCTCAGCCTCCTCCCAGGTAGCTGGGACTACAGTCGCCTGCCACCATGCCCGGCTAATTTTTTGTATTTTTAATAGAGATGGGGTTTCACCGAGTTAGCTAGGATGGTCTTGATCTCCTGACCTCGTGATCTGCCCACCTCGGCCTCCCAAAGTGCTGGGATTACAGGTGTGAGCCACCGCGCCTGGCCTACGCCTGACTAATTTTTGTATTTTTAGTAGAATACTAAAAATACAGGGTTTTGCCATTTTGGCCAGGCTGGTCTTGAACTCCTGACCTCAAGTGATCTCCCCTGCCTTGGCCTCCCAGAATGCTTGGATTACAGGCATGAGCCACCATGCCCAGCTCTGATCTCTTATTTTTATTAAAGTTTTGAAATGCCACTCCCTAAAAAGGCTGCATCAATTTGTAATGTCATTAGCAATGTGTGATAGGTCTAGTTTTATCAAACCTTTGTCATGTATAATATATAAAAATCTTTATCTTAACAACTGAAAAAAAGTACTTTAGTCCTAAGTTTTTGCTTACTTGATTAGTAGGACTAACGAATATTTTGAATTTCTTTTTCTTTTTTCTTTGAGACCTGAGTCTCACGCTGTTGCCCAGGCTGGAGTGCCGTGGTGTGATCTTGGCTTACTGCAACCTTCGCGTCCCAGGTTCAAGCAATTCTCCTGCCTCAGCCTCCCAAGTAGCTGGGATTACAGGCATCCAGCACCACGCCCAACTAATTTTTTGTATTTTTAGTAGAAATGGGGTTTCACTATGTTGGCCAGGCTAGTCTCGAGCACCTGATCTCATGATCCACCCGCCTCAGCCTCCCAAAGTGTTGGGATTACAGGCATGAGCCACCGCGTCAGCCTTTTTTTGAATTTTATTATTTGTGTTTCTTGTGAATTGTCCAGTCGTATTTTGTCCATACTTTATTGGGGTGGGGGCATTCTAACTGTTTCATATTATTAACTTAAGCTTGTTGTATGACATACTTTAAGACATTTGCTCTAAGAATTTCACCTCATTTCATTGTATAGGTAATTATCTTTTGTGTAGTGAAAAGTCCCATTATTTCTTTTAGTTCCTTTAAGATTTTATTCAATTATTTATAGAAGTAGTAAGATAAATATTTGTAGATTAGGTAAACAAAGCATTAGAATTTTTGACTTTTAGAAAGTAAAAAACATTTGATTTAATGTCTATTTTTGTTCATTCCCATTTCTTATCTAATTAATAGAACACAGTACTGGGAGGAGGAACAAAAATTTAATCATGATATTGCTGTTTTTCATAATAATCTAGGACTAGTAATAAGTCTTCTCTTTCATCAAGAAAATATTGAAGGCTGGATGCCATCACCTGTAATCCCAGCACTTCAGTAGGCTGAGGCAGGCTGATAGCTTGAGCTCAGGATTTCAAAATCAGTCTGGGCAAAATCGTGAGATCCCGTCTCTACAAAAAAATAAAAAATAAAAAATTAGCTGCATGTGGTATGCACCTGTTGCCCCAGCTGCTCGGGAGACAGAGGAGGGAGGATCACTTGAGCCTAGGAGATTGAGGCTGTAGTGAGCTGTGATCATGCCACTGCACTCTTGCCTGGTGGCAGAGCAAGACCCTGTCTCAAAAAGAAAAAAAAAAAAGAAAGTATTGAGAAGTTAACTTATTTCATTACCTTAATGAAAAATAGTTAAGGCCGGGTGCAGTGGCTCACTCCTGCAATCCCAGCACTTTGGGATGCTGAGGTGGGTGGATCACCTGAGGTCTAGAGTTTGAGATCAGCCTGACCAATATGGCGAAACCTCTTCTCTACTAAAAATACAAAAATGAGCCAGGCATGATGCCGGGCGCCTGTAATCCCAGCTAAAAAAAGACAAAAAATTTTTCCAAATATGGTATTTTTATTAAATCTTATTGAGTAGTTTTCACATTGGCAACTGTTTGTGTTTCTTTCTTTTTTTGAGATGGAGTTTCGTGCTTGTTGCACAGGCTGGAGTGTGATGGCACAATCTCGGCTCATGGCACCCTTCGCCTCCCAGGTTCAAATGATACTCCTGCCTCAGCCTCCTGAGTAGCTGGGATTACATGCATGCACCACCATGCCTGGCTAATTTTGTATTTTTAGTAGAGATGGGGTTTCTTCATGTTGGTCAGGCTGGTCTCGAACTCCTGAACTCAGGTGATCTGCCCCCCGCCCTCCGGCCTCCCAAAGTGCTGGGATTACAGGTGTGAGCCACCACACCCAGCTTTTTGTGTTTCATATGCATTTTTTTTTTGAAACAGAGTCTCACTATGTCACCCAGGCTGGAGTGCAGTGGCACCGTATTAGCTCACTGCAACCTCTGCCTCCTGGGTTCAAGCAATTCTCCTCCCTCAGGCTCCTGAGTAGCTAGGATCACAGGCGTGCGACACCACGCCCAGCTAAGTTTTGTATTTTTAGTAGAGACAGGGTTTCACCATGTTGGTCAGGCTGGTCTCGAACTCCTGACCTAGTGGTCTGTCCGCCTTGGCCTCCCAGAGCGCTGGGATTACAGGCATGAGCCATCGCGTCTGGCCTCATACATTTTCTAAATGAGTTTTGTAAATTTTTTTTTTTTTTTTGAGACAGAGTTTTGCTCTTGTCACCCGGACTGGAGTGCAGTGGCACGATCTCGGCTCACTGCAACCTCCGCCTCCCGGGTTCAAGCGATTTTCCTGCCTCAGCCTCTCAAGTAGCTGGGATTACAGGCGCCCGCCACCACACCTGGCTAATTTTTGTATTTTTAGTATAGACGGGGTTTTGCTATGTTGGCTAGGCTGGTCTCGAACTCCTGACCTCAGGTGATCCACATGCCTCGGCCTCCCAAAGTGCTGGGATTACAGGTGTGAGCCACCATGCCCGGCCAATTTTTGTAACTTTAAAGAGAACAAAAATCCTGAGATGGAAACCTATGTAGAATTTTATTCATAATTGAAGTTAGTTACATTACAGTGGAAATAAAAACTAGAAAGTTACATTGTATCTTCTAAACATATGCATTTAACATAACTTCACATTTCATTATAGATGGTTCTTTGGAATGACATTTAAAAATTTTGTGGCTGGGCGCAGTGGCTTACACCTGAAATCTTAGCACTTTAGGAGGCTGAGGCGGGCGGATTGCTTGAGCTCAGGAGCTCAACTAGTCTGTGCAGCATGACAAAACCCTGTCTCTACAAAAAATATGTAAATTATCCAGCTATGGTGGCCCGCATTAGTAGTCCCAGCTACTCGGGAGACTGAGGTGGGAAGATGACATGAACCCAGGAGGTCGAGGCTGTAGTGAGGTAAGATCGCACCACTGCACTCCAGCCTAGACAAAGTGAGACCCTGTCTCCGAAAAAAGAAATTGTTATAATGAAAGAATAGATTTACATTGTTAGTTTTGTTTGTTTTTTTCTCAGAAGTGTAGAGTTGGTTCTTAGTCTGTCCATCTGTATACAAGCATGAACTGTACAGTCAACTGCCTTGTAGAGAGGGGCTGGTTTTTGGTTATGTCTTAAATCTTAACTCCTTTTAATTATTCTGAATTTTAGTGGGATTCCTGTATCATTGTAGATTTGGAAAGTATTGAGTAGGAGATGATAATCTATAATCAGGATTCTGAGTTGGTAAGATTTTATAGATCTGAATAAAGTAATTTCTTGACCTTGGCCTCAATAAGAAAGTCAGAACTTGACCCTTATTTACCAGCACCATCCCCCTCCCCCCACAATATTTGAAGTGTTTAAATCATTTATTTTGAAATTCTTATGTGATCCAAGACCACTGTTCACTTAAGCTAGTTTATTTGTTTATTAAAACAAAAGAAGTAGGCTGCAGTTACGTGTTTCTTTTTTTGTTGTTTGGTGTCAGGAGTAGAATACATTTGGCCAGCTTCATGAGAGGATTAGAAAGTTGGAGAAGGAAAAATAGAATTGTTTATGGAGCCAGGAGAATAATTGTCTATAATTATAGATGCTTGTTTTGAGGTTTGGAAAAGGTGGTTTAAAAAACTTTTAAGAAAAACCATGATAAACATCTATAAATATGAGGAAGAAAAATTGTTTGCAACATTTAAAAAAATTTTTTTTGAGAGGGAGTCTTGCTTTGTCGCCCAGGCTGGAGTGCAGTGGCAGGATCTCAGCTCACTGCAACCTCCGCCTCCCGGGTTCAAGCCATTCTCTTGCCTCAGCCTCCTGAGTAGCTGGGATTCCAGGTTCCCGCCATGATGCCCGGCTAATTTTTGGATTTTTAGTAGAGATCGGGTTTCACCATGTTGGCCAGACTGGTCTCAAACTCTTGCCTCAAGTGATCAGCCTGCCTTGGCCTCCCAAACTGCTGGGATTACAGGCATGAGCCACTGCTCTTGGCCAGGTTGCAACATCTTCATTAGAATTGTTTAAATGAAAATTTTCCTTTGTTAAATGGAAGAAAATAAGCTCTGTTTGGGAGAGTGAGGACCAAGTAGGACATCCTTGATACACATTGAAGATCTATTTATTTATTTATTTAAATTTTTAGCTCTGCAAAATTGACCAGAGTATGAAGATCATTTTAGTTGGTTAATATTTAAGTTTTGACTTCCTGGCCAGAGATAGTAGATTGGAAAGGATTTAAAGATTTACTGAGGGAGTTAACCCAAGTTTTTAACATTGTGATGCAAAATGATGTTAAAACGCGTTTGTTTCCCTTTTATTATTTAAAGAAATCCTAGATGTTTTTAAATAATACAAAGTAATTAAATGGACCTGTTGGGTTATTTGAAATTAAGCAGTAGACAGGGGAAGTTCTTGTAAGTGGTTACTAAAGCGTTAATCTTAGAGGCATTCTCCACTGGCTGTCTGTAGCAGCGTCCCTGATCTGGGCTTTGGAGAAATCCATCCCACCTTTTTTAGGTGCCTGCTTTACATCGGATCTACTTTCTCTTCTCGTGCCTTTTCTTCCACCTTCTTCCCCGTCCTCTTTCTCATAGATGGTGTGGAGGTGGGAGAGAGGGAGGGAGAGGGAGATCAATTGATTGATTGTGTGTTGAGGGGGTTGGGGGTCGGAGATTCTCAGGGCCATAAAAGTTGCACGAAATAAAATTCTCTTTTTTTTTTTTTTCTTGTGTGGGCCCTGCCATGAGATCAGGTTGTCAGGACTTGATTGGGAGCCACGGATCCCGCCCTACTGAAAACATTGTTGCAGGATGGGATGGGATGAAGCTGAAAGTGTTATCAAGTGGTATTATATCTGGCACAACAAACGGCCAGAACCCCAAAATACCCTAAGGATAAAAAGTTTTTGTTTGATACAAAAAAAGTTTTTGTTTGATACAAAAAGTTTATATTTGATACAAAAATATCATAGGATATTTTTGTATCTGGTTTGGAAAGACGACTTGAGTTGGATTGTACTGTTAAAGACAAAATGAACGATTGTATTTATTATGTATTTAACCTTATTAAAGCATTAAGTATGATAGCACTAGTTATAGAGAATTGTGTGCATATGCACACATACACATATATATAAACATATACACACATATACATATATACACACACCATATATATATATATTTTTTTTGAGACTTGGTCTCGCTCTGTCATCCAGGCTGAAGTGCAGGAGTGAGATCTTGGCTCACTGCAGCTTCGACCTTCCGACCCCAGTGATCCTTCCACCTCAGCCTCCCAAGTAGCTGGGGCTGTGGGGATGTGCCATCACCACCAGCTAATTTTTTTATCTTTTATTTTTTGTAGAGACGGCATCTCTCGATGTTGCCCAGGCTGATCTCGAGCTCCTGGGTTCAAGTGATCCACCCACCTTAACCTCCCAAAATGCTGGGATTATAGGCGTGAGTCGCTGGGCCCGGCTGACATGTATATATTATATATACATCTCATATACATATACATATATACATAATCTCATACATAAAAATTATACATAATATATATAATATTTATAATATAATATATGTAATACATATAAATTAAAAAACTAAAAAAAATTATTTTATTTGAGATGGAGTCTTGCTCTGTCACCCAGGCTGGAGTGCAGTGGCACTGTCTCGGCTCACTGCAGCCTCCACCTCCCAGGTTCAAGCGATTCTCCTGCCTCAGCCTCCCGAGTAGCTGGGATTACAGGGGTGTGCCTCCACGCCTGGCTTTTTTTTTTTTTTTTTTTTTTTGAGACGGAGTCTTCCTCTGTCGCCCAAGCTGGAGTGTGAGGGTGCAATCTCGACTCAGTGCAAGCTCCGCCTCCTGGGTTCACACCATTCTTCTGCCTCAGCCTCCCAAGTAGCTGGGATTACAGGTGCCAGCCACTACGCCCGGCTAATTTTTTGTGTTTTTAGTAGAGACGGGGTTTCACCATGTTGGTCAGGCTGGTCTTGAATTGCTGATCCGTGATCTGTCTGCCTTGGCCTCCCAAAGTTCTAGGATTACAGGCATGAGCCACCGTGCCTGGCCTGTATTTTTAATAATGAAATCAGAACTAGGTTTGTAAACAGGGAAAGAACAAATAATCATAAAAGTTTTATGTTCTGGATTTGGAAGTTGGTTGATTTAAGAGTAATGAGAATAAATAATATCCCCTCCCCCTTTAGTTCTCAAGGTTTTCCACTTAGTTTAAGTAGTTTTATTAGCTATAGTAGAGTAACTCAGCATTTTGAAATATTTGTATAATTTGAAAAGTCTCTGAAAGAATACTGATTCAGGTATAGCATTGCAAGTTTGAGGGGTTTCAACAGATTTCTTCATGTGTGTTTAATTCCATGATGATTAAAAAAAACCCAAGAAATAAAACCTCTGGTCACTTAACCAGCATTTTATTTTATTTATTTTTATTTTATTTTATTTTATTTTTTGACACAGAGTCTTGCTCTGTCACCCAGGCTGGAGTGCAGTGGCGGGATTTCAGCTCACTGCAAGCTCCGCCTCCTGGGTTCAAGCAATTCTCCTGCCTCAGCCTCCCAAGAAGCTGGGACTACAGGTGCCTGCCACCACATCTGGCTAATTTTTTTTTTTTTTTTGTATTTTTAGTAGAGATGGGCTTTCACTGTGTGGTAGCCAGGATGGTCTCGATCTCATGACCTCCTGATCCGCCTGTCTCGGCCTCCCAAAATGCTGGGATTACAGGCATGAGCCACTGCACCTGGCCCACTTAACCAACATTTTAACATATTCTGAAAATCTGATTGCCAGAATTTAATGACATTAGAAGAAATTAGAAGAAATTTTTTAAAAAGCTCATAACTATTACGTAGCAAGTATGTTTTCAAAGAACTTGTTTTAAGGTGGGTCTTGGTGGCTCACACCTCTAATCCCAGCACTTTGGGAGGCTGAGACAGGTGGATCACTTGAGGTAAGGAATTCAAGACCAGCCTGGACAACATAGTGAGCCCCTGTCCCTACAAAAAATACAAAAATTAGCCAGGTGTGATGGCACATTCTTGTGTGATCCCAGCTAATCGGGAGGCTGAAGTGGAAGGATCAGGTTGAGCTCTGGAGGTCAAGACTGCAGTGAGTTGAGATGGCGCCACTGCACTTAAGCCTGGGTAACATTAAGCCTGGGTAACAGAGGGAGACTCTGTCTCAAAAAAAAAGAAACCCACCCAGTTTGATGAATTAGATACATGTTAAGTGAAACTATTTTTCAGATAGTGTAGAATTAACTTCATTATGTTCACAATTAAATTCATATTAGACTGTTACCTATTCTAAGATATTTGATATTAACCCTCAAGGGACATTGGCTACATTTTTTTTTTTAACAAAACCTTGTAGTTTATGTCAGTGGTCTCCAAACTTTTTGGCACCAGGGACTAGTTTTGTGGAAGATAGTTTTTTCCACAGACCCCAGGGGGAGCAGGGAGGGGATGGTTTTGGGGTGAAACTCTTCCACCTTAGGTCATCAGGCATTAGTTAGACTAGTTAGATTCTCATAAGAAACACACAGCCTAGGTCCCTTGCTTGTGCAGTTCACAATAGGGTTTGTGCTTCTATGAGAATCTAATGCCGCTGCTGATCTAGAGGAGGCCGAGCTCAGGTTAATGCTGGCTTGCCTGTCGCTCACCTGCTGTGAGGCCTGGTTCCCAACAGGCTACCGACTGGTATTGGTCTGCAGCTAGAGGTGGGGGGAACCCTGAGTATGATAAACTATCTTCTAGAATAATTTTTTTAATATATTGAAGCAGTAGTGCCTAGTTTATAAGCAGACATATGTATAGTATAAACTATATAGTTTATATTCAGAGTACAAAATCCACCGTGGCCACTATTTTTTTCCCTTTTTTGAGATGGAGTCTCACTCTGTCACCCAGGCTGGAGTGCAGTGGCACGATTTTGGCTCACTGCAACCTCTGCCTCCCTGGATTCAGCGATTTTCATGCCTCAGCCTCGCAAGTGGCTGAGATTACAGGCACACGTCACCACACCCAGCTAATTTTTGTATTTTTGGTAGAAATGGGGTTTCACCATATTGGCCAGGCTGGTCTCAAACTCCTCACCTTGTGATCCGCCCGCCTCGGCCTCCCAGAGTGCTGGGATTACAGGTGTGAGCCACCCCACCCGGCCACCTTGGCCACTATTACAAAAGTAAAGCTAAATAATACTGAAGTATATGTTCCATGTTTTGTAAGGACTGTTGATTTGGAAACAGTGTATTCTAACAATAAATTTTAAATGTAACTAATAGTATATGTTTCTGAATAAATAGGTTCTACTTCTAATATAAAGTGTCATATTTGTTTTAAAATCATTGCTCAAGTTGTATAGTTGTTTTGGGCACATATTTTCAACTTCCAGACCAATACAAAATGTAAAATAAGTAAAAAACGTGATATAGTTGTATCCTTTCTAAACACTGACCTATTTTTTTTTCCTTTGCTACCCTTTTTTTTTTTTTTTGAGACAGAGTCTCGCTCTGTTGCCCAGGCTAGAGTGCAGTGGTGTGATGTTGGCTCACTGCAGCCTTCGCCTCTCAGGATCAAGTGAGTCTCTGGCCTCAGCCTCCCAAGTAGCTGGGATTACAGGCATGTGCCACCATGCCTGGTTAAGTTTTCATATTTTTAGTAGAGACGGGTTTTATCATGTTGGCCAGGCTGGTTTTGAACTCCTGACCTCAAGTGATCTGCCTGTCTTGGCCTCCCAAAGTGATAGGATTACAGGCATGAGCCACCACACCCGGCCCCTTTGCTACATTTTAATGATAATGAAAATGTAATCCAAGTGTCAGATTATTCAATAGCTTCCTGTCTTTTGGTTTGTGGGAAGTTTGATACATCATTTTTTAATGTTTCTTAGCCCTTTGTTATATTTCATGGATAGTGGGGAAGTGAGTCTGTGACTTGATTGAAATATATTGTACAATGCGTTCATCTGCATCATAGGCACTTGGCTTTTAGTGGTGAAGTGGAAGCTAAACTTCTCCTTAGGAACAATTGCACTGATTTATTTAACTGATATTGATGACGCTCCATAAAGATAAAAATGTCATTGCATGGAGTCTTACTTGTGATGTAATTTGTATTTTGGAGAAGTAAATCATAGTATGATTTTAGATGTTTTATTAACATCTAAAATGTTTCAATTTCTAGAGTAGAATATTGTTAAACAAAATGGTAAACACTGTAAACCATAATACTACAGCAGTCCCCTTCAGCTGTCTTCTCCTTCCCAAGAAGAAACCATTACCACCACTACCTCTTCTCCCTCCAAAACAGAAACCATTACCACCTCCACCTCTAACAACAGAAAAAAAAAACCCAAAAAATAAAAAAACCCTTTTTGGCCCCACACTGTGGCTCACACCTGTAATCCCAGCACTTTGGAAGGCCAAGGCAGGATCCTCTTGAGACCAGGAGTTCGAGCCCAGCCTGGGCAACATCAGGAGTCCTCATCTCTACTAAGAAAAAAAAAATGGCTGTGTGTTGTGATACACCGATAGTCCCAGTTTTTTGGGAGGCTGAGGCAGAAGGATCACTTGAGCCTAGGAGTTCAAGGCTGCAGTGAGCCATGATTGTACCACTGCACTCCAGCCTGGGCAGCAGAGGAGGACTCTGTCTCAAAAAACAAACAAGAACACCTTTTTAATCTGTTAACTCATGGTTTGTTTAAGATTTTCTTTTGGCCATTTTTGATGCCTTTTTTTTGAGACAGATTCTCACTCTATCTCCCAGGCGGGAGTGCAGTGGTGTGATCATGGCTCATTGCACCCTCGACTTCCCAGAATCAGATGATTCTCCTACCTCAGCCTCCCAAGTAGCTGGGACTGCAGGCACACACCACCATGTCCAGCTAATTTTTGTATTTTTTGTAGAGACTGGGTTTTGCCATGTTGCCCAGAGTGGTCTTGAACTCCTGGGCTCAAGTGATCCACCCACCTTGGCCTGTCAGAGTGCTGGGATTATAGGCATACGCCAGCTGCACCCAGCCCATTTTTGATATCTAAAATCTTTCATCATAGTTTAGTCAGCCATATTTTTCCTAGAATTTTTTTAAACTATTTTGTCTTGCTATCAAGCTATTACTCTGTAGTTTTACATACATTCTTTATTTTAACTAAACTGTTATGAGCAATAATTTGTGATAACTTTTTTTTTTTTGAGACAGAGTTTTGCTTTTGTTGCCCAGGTTGGAGTGCAATGGCACATGTGATCTTGGCTCACTGCAACTTCCGCCTCCCAGGTTCAAGCTATTCTCCTCCCTCAGCCTCCCGAGTAGCTGGAATTACAGCCATGCGCCACCATGCCTAGCTAATTTTTTATTTTTAGTAGAGACTAGGTTTCTCCAAGGTGGTCAGGCTGGCCTCAAACTCCCAACCTCGGGTGATCTGCCCACCTCGGCCTCCCAAAGTGCTGGGATTACAGGCGTGAGCCACCACGCCCTGCCAATTTGTGATAACTTTTTAATCTTTTTGTATTGTGTATTTAAACTTTAAGTTCTTTTCCCTGTCAATTTCTGACAGATTAAACAATAATAATCTTTATATTACTTAAAAGCTTCTTCTAAAAGGTACAAAGGAAAAAATGGAATGAAAAGTGAACTAGGCAGCGTGTAGTGGCTCCTGCCTGTAATCCCAGCACTTTGGGAGGCCAAGGTGGGCAGATCACATGGGACCAGGAGTTTGAGACCAGTCCGGCTAACATGGCGAAACCCCGTCTCTACTAACAATACAAAAATTAGCCAGGTGTGGTGGTGCATGTCTATAATCCCAGCTACCTGGGAGGCTGAGACATGAGAATCACTTGACCCTAGAAGGTGGAGGTTGCAGTGAGCAGAGATCGAGCCACTACTCCAGCCTGGGCAGAAATTAAAAAAAAAAAAAAAAGTGAAGTTGAACTAAATTAGGTCTGGTGAGTTTGAAATGATGGTTGTATATACCTCTAAGATCAGTAAAACCTAAATCAATCTAGAGAACAGGTGTTAAAGATACATTTTTGGTGGGGCGTGGTGCCTCATGCCTGTAATCCCGGCACTTTGGAAGGCCAAGGCGGGTGGCTTGCTTGAGCTCAGGAGTTTGAGACCAGCTGGGCAACATGAAGAAACCCCGTCTCTACAGAAAATACAAAAATTAGCCAGGCACGGTGCTACATGCTTGTGGTCCCAGCTCCTCAGAAGGCTGAGGTGGGAGGATTGCTTGAGCCCGGGAGGCAGAGGTTGCAGTGAGCTGAGATTGTGCCACTGTACTCCAAACTGGGCAACAGAGGGAGACCCTATCTCAAAAAAGAAAACAAAACAAAACAAAAAAACAAAAAAGATTTTCATACTCTGGTAAAGTAAGTATTAAAATTAGGAAACTATGGATGAATTGGATGTTTTGGTCTGGTCGAAGTACTGTGAATTAAATTTTTGGTTACACTTTACTTTGATAAGCAGTGACGGTCCAGTAATTTTGATGATAGTCTATATATCATGTAACTTGACTTATTTAGTTGTCTACAAATATCTTTTTTTTTTTTTTTTGAGTCCTGAGTCTTGCTCTGTTGCCCAGGCTAGAGTGCAGTGCTGCGATCCTGGCTCACTGCAACCTCTGCCTCCCGGGTTCAGGAGATTTTCCTGCCTGCACCTTCTGAGTAGCTGGATTAGAGATGTGCACCACCACGCCTGGCTAATTTTTGTATTTTTAGTAGAGACAGGGTTTCAGCATATTGACCAGGCTTGTTTGAACTCCTGATCTCAGAAGATCTGCCCACTTTGGCCTCCCAAAGTGCTGTGATTACAGGCGTGAGCCACCGCGCCCGGCCTACAGATACCTTTTAAGGTGGTTCTAAAGCCTCAGAAATTATTTATCCTGAAGAGGAAGGTTAAACTAAAGTTTTATTCATTGCATTATGGGGGAAAGTTTAGGCAGAGTATCTTACGGTTTTGTTTTTCATTAAAAGATCAGTATTCTTTCAGATTTTAAGTCCATTTAAAAACTTCAAATAGTAATATATGTATGTAGTTGAAAAAAGTCTAATAGCCCAGAATGCTTGTAATAAGGATCAAGAATTCTGTTTCACTCCTTAGTGCCACTCTCCAAACAACTTTTTTGTATCAATTTAAGGGCTACAGGTGCAGTTTTGTTACATGAATACATTGCATAGTGCTGCAGTTTGGGCTTTTAGTGCATCCATCATCCAAATAATGTACGTGTACCCATTCAGTAATTTCTTGTTACTCAGCCTCCTCCCAGCTTCCCAACCTTCTGAGTCTCCAGTGTCGTTATTCCACACTGTGCCCACATGTACACATTATTTTGCTTCAACTTATAAGTGAGAACATGGCCTCCAGGTCCATGTTGCTACAAAAGACATGATTTCATTCTTCCTTTATGGCTGAATAGTATTCGTGTGTGTGTGTGTGTGTGTGTGTGTGTGTGTGTGTGTGTGTCCCAATTTTTCTTTATCCAGTCATCTGTTGATGGGTATGGAGATTGATTCCCTATCTTTGCTATTGTGAGTGTTGCTGTGATAAAGGTACGAGTGCAGTTATCTTTTTGATATAATGATTTATTTTCCTTTGGGTGTATACCCAATAGTGGGATTGTGGGATTGAATAGCAGTTTTATTTTTTATCATTTTTACTTTTTTCAGTTGGAGTTTCGCTCTTTTTGCCCAGGTTGGAGTGCAATGACATGATGTCGGCTCAGTGCAACCTCTGCCCACCAGGTTCAAGTGATTCTCCTGCCTTAGCCTCCCAAGTAGCTGGGATTATAGGCACATGGCACCATGCCCAGCAAATTTTTGTATTTTTAGTAGAGACAAGGTTTTACCATGTTGGCCAGGCTGGTCTTGAACTCCTGACCTCAGGTGATCCACCTGCCTTGGCCTCCCAAAGTGCTGGGCTTACAGGCGTGAGTCACCGTGCCCGGTCAGTAGTTTTATTTTTTAGTCATTTGAGAACTCTTTATATGGTTTTCCATACAGGTGATACTAATTTACATTCCCGCCCACAGTGTGTAAGTGTTCCCTATTGTCTGCATCTTCCCCAATGTCTGTTATTATTATTGTTTCTTTAATAGTGGCCATTCTGATTGGTGTAAGATGATATGTCATTGTGGTTTTTATTTGCATTTCCTCGATGATTAGTGATGAGCATTTTTTTCACATACCTGTTGACTGTTTGTCTTCTTTTGAGAAATGTCTATTAATGTCCTTTGCTAACTTTAAAATTCTTAAAAATTTTTTATTTAAATTTTTTCTTAAGACCAGTTAAGTGCAGTAGTGAAAGGGGAGTAAAGAGTATAGAACAAGGAGTTTGATTGGTAACTGACTGTGAACCATCAATTGGGATAACTCACTACCAGTTATCAGTAGTGAGGTATTCAGAACAGCCCTTTGCTTACTTTTTGTTGGGATTATTTGAGTTCCTTGTAAATTCTGGATGTTAGTACCCTGTCAGATACATAGTTTGAAACTATTTTCTCCTATTCTGTAGGCCATTTGTTCAGTCTGCTGATTCTTTCTTTTGCTATGTAGAAGCTTTTTAGCTTAATTAAGTCTCATTTGTCTATTTTTGTTTTTGTTTTTTTGCTTGTGCTTTTGAGGTCTTAGTCATGAATTCTTTCAATTCATGAATTCTTAGTCATGAATTGTATAGAGCAGTGTCCAGAAGAGTTTTTCCTAGGTTTTCTTCTAATGTTTTTTGTAGTTTCAGGTCTTTGGATTAAGTCTTTAATCCTTCTTGAGTTGATTTTTGTATATGGTGAAAGATAGGGGTCCAATTTCCAAAGGAAACTTTCAAATTATTTCTTCCTGTGGTATTGTTGTGACTATATAGTATACGTATGTTATGATTTATGATTTATGATTGATTTCTGCTCTGATAAAGGAGGATTTGGCTTCTTTACATCTACTTCTCCAATAGATTTTTAAAAAATCACTTTTAATTTCTTTGCTAGTTATCTCTGCAGTTTATATCAG
Source organism: Homo sapiens (assembly GCF_000001405.40). NCBI lineage: Eukaryota > Metazoa > Chordata > Mammalia > Primates > Hominidae > Homo > Homo sapiens. The sequence continues at coordinate 93,468 of NW_011332699.1, forward strand.
AACTTTCCTTCATGTTATATAGACTGTCGATCTTGATTTACCAATCAGTAACTTTTTTTTTTTTTGAGATGGAGTTTCATTCTTGTTGCCCAGGCTGGAGTGCAATGGTGCAATCTCGGCTTGCTGCAACCTCTGCCTCCTGGGTTCAAGCGATTCTTCTGTCTCAGCCTCCCGAGTAGCTAGGATTACAGGCAGGCGCCACCATGCCCGGCTAATTTTGTATTTTTAGTAGAGATGAGGTTTTACCGTGTTGGTCAGGCTGGTCTTGAACTCCCAACCTCAGGCGATCCACCTGCCTCAGCCTCCCAGAGTGCTGGGATTATAGGTGTGAGCCACCACGCCCAGCTGCAACTCTTCTTTTTACCTTTCCTTTTCCCTTTATGTGCTTACATCTGTCATTTCTAACATTGACATTGTCAAGGTTGAGAACAGTTATGCACTGTATTGTACTCCTTACTGCTTTGTTTGTTTATTTATTTATTTTTTTGAGACAGTCTTGCTCTGTTGCCCAGGCTTGCGTGCAGTGGTGCGATCTTGGTTCACTGCAACCTCCACTTCCTAGGTTCAAGCTATTCTCCTACCTCAGCCTTCCAAGTAGCTGGGACTACACGCGCGTACCACCATGCTTCGCAAATTTTTGTATTTTTAGTAGATATGGGGCTTCTCCATGTTGGCCAGGCTGGTCTTTAACTCCTGACCTCAACTGATCCACTTGCCTTGGCCTCTCAAAGTGCTGGGATTACAGATGTGAGCCACTGCACCTGGCCTGTATGACTTTATTTTAATACTTGAAAGTTAATGGGCTGGACGTGGTGGCTCACACCTGTAATCCTGGCACTTTGGGAGGCTGAGGCGGGCTGATCACCAGAGGTCGGGAGGCCGAGACCAATCTGGCCAACATGGTGAAACCCCGTCTCTACTAAAAATACAAAAATTCGTGGTGGCGTATGCCTGTTATCCCAGCTACTTGGGAGGCTGAGGCAGGGAGAATTGCTTGAACCCAGGAGGTGGAGGTTGCAGTGAGCAGAGATGGTGCCATTGCACTGCAGCCTGGGTGACAGAGGGAGACTGTCTCAAAAACAAAACAAAACAAAACTTAAAAATGGTTAGGCACTGTGGCTCATGCCTATAATTCCAGTACTTTGGGAGGCCAAGACAGGAGGATCACTTGAGCACAGGAGTTCGAGACTAGTCTGCTGGGCAACATAGTGAGACACTGTCTCTAACTGGGGGGAGAAAATAAAAGCCAGGTGTGTGGCCACGTGCCTATAGTCCCAGCTACTCGGGAGGCAAGATGGGAGGATTACTTGAGCCCAAAAGGTTGAGATTGCAGTGAGCCATGGTTGCGCCACTGCACTCCAGCCAGTGCAACAGAGCAAGACCCTGTCTCAACAAACAAAAACCCTTAAAATTTTTTTAATGCTACTAATGTAGTGAGTCATATTAAGTGGGATTATACATGTACCAAACTTATTTTTTCTTGAGTGACATTATTTCATGGTTATTTTAATTTGCATGCCTTATGATTGAGTTAAATTGATTATATTTGTCACTTTTTTTTTGCAAACTGCCTACCAGTACCCTATTTTGGGTACTTTGCAGCTTCAAATAACAAAAATTTTAATTAAAAATGGCTTAAACTATAAATAAAATTTACCTCACATGACTAGAAGTCCAGGTGTAATTCAATGGCTCAATTAAATTGTCACGGACCTAGATGGTTTTCATTTTCCTGCTGTTTTATACTCAGCTTGTTGTTGATAGTTGCTAAATTAATTCACTTAAATAATCATTTAGCACTTAAAATGTATTAGGCAATATTCTATAAGCACAGGAAATACAGCAGTGAGCAAAACAAAGTTCATTGCCTTCCTTCACGGAGCTGATATTTTAGTGGGGATAAGGGAGAAGACAGTCAAACAAATAGGTAGAATTTATAGGGTGTCAGAAGACGTTAAGTTTTATGGAAAAAAATAAAGCCATGGAAGGGACGGGAAGGGCTGGGTTGGATTATTTTAAGTGGGGCCATCAGAGAAGGCCTCAGTGAGCTGATGTTTGAATAGAATCTTAAAGGAAATAAGAATGCAAAGGCAGACATTTGGGGAAAGAGTATTGCTGATGCAGGGAACAGTGAGTGCAAAAGCCCCGAGGCAGGAATGTGCTTAGCATGTTCATAGAACTGAAAGGGCTAGTGTGGCAGGAGCTGAGTTATGGAGAAAACATCATAAGAGAAGTAGCGTGGGGAGTCAGATTGTGCAGGGCCTTGTAGACCATTGTGAGATCTTTTGCCTTTTACTCTGGATTAGATGAGAGTCCTTTGGGGGCTTTTGAGTGGAGTACTGGCTTTATCTGACCAAGACTCTCAAACTCTCATGCTGGCTGCTGTGTTGAGACTAGAATGAAGGAGATCAAGGAAGAAGCAGGCATGTTAGTTAAGATAATATTAGCAGGGTGACAGATGATTTGAAGCATGATAGGCATCAGAGAAATGTTGAAGTAATTCTGCATATGTTGAGGCAGAGCCCAAAAGATTTGTTGAGGGATGTGGCATGTGAGAAAAAGAGGATTCGTAGTTCACACCAGGTTCAATGACCAGTAAAGATGAAGTATATTTGTTCATGAACATCTATTTTATTTGGAATTAAAAACCTTTCCTGGAAGCCCTTAGCAGATTTTTTTTTTCTTTTTTTGTGACAGAGTTTTGCTTCTTGTTGCCCAGGCTGGAGTGCAATGGCACGATCTCGGCTCACTGCACCGCATCCTCTGCCTCCCAGGTTCAAGCGATTCTCCTGCCTCAACCTCCCGAGTAGCTGGGATTACAGGTGTGCACCACCATGCCCGGCTAATTTTGTGTTTTTAGTAGAGATAGGGTTTCTCCGTATTGGAACAGGCAGGTGATCTGCCTGCTTCAGCCTCCGAAAGTGTTGGGATTACAGGCATGAGCCACTGCGCTCGGCCAACAGATTTTTTTCTTAAATCCCATCAACCGTGACTGGTATCCATCCATGTCCTAGGTACAAGTGAGGGTGAGAGAGCAAGGATGTTCCTTTCAGCCATGATAGTGGGAGGTGAACTCTGTAAGGAACAGGTTGTGAGTGGGGAGTGGCTATTGGTTAGGTAACTAATAGTCTATTTGTCATTGCCCATTTTTCTGTTAAGTTGATCATCCTTTTTAAATGATTTGTAAATAATTTTTCATGCTAAGAAAATAAGTATTTGTTATATAATTCTAGATTCTAAATATTTTGAAGCTGTAAATGAGGTTTTAAACTCTGAGATCAGTTTTCTAATTTTGAAGTAAAGTGAATCTCCATTGAAATTTACAAGTAGGGGCTGGTGATTGCAGAGTCCAATGCATAATTTATAGTTTTTCCTATTCTGGGTGCTGTTGCGATTTTAACCTGAATGCCAGGTAGTTATCTTTATAAAACTATCATGTGTGAGTTATAGAGGTAGCATTGGGGTGGTGGAAAAAAACACACTGTGCCTCTATATGTGCAGTTTTGCCAGAGGCAATTTTTATTCTTATTTTTATTTATTTATTTATTTTTTGAGGTAGGATCTCACTCTGTCACCCAGGCTGGAGTGCAGTGATGCAATCATGGCTCCTTGCAGCCTCAACCTCCCTGGCTCAAGTGATCCTCCCTCTACTCAGCCTCCACAGTAGCTGGGACTACAAGTGCATACCACCACACCCGGCTAAAGTTTAAATTTCTAGTAGAGACAAGATATCACTATGTTGCCCTTTCTTCCTTCACCAAAGAAAGCTGATAAACTGGCTTATTATATAACAAGGAATTCTCATTTTATTCTATTTATATTGTATTCTTATTCTTTAATTTCAGTGATGCGAAGCAGTGTTTTTTGGAGGTTTTGAGTGTGAGCTTTCTCATCAGACACTGAAGTTTTTGAGCCTTAACTCCATTACTTAATTAGCTGTGTGACCCAGACCACTTCATTGTACAGCTCCGTTCTTGTGCTGGGGAGGGCATTCACACAAAATACAATGAAATTGTGCTTCCTGGTGGTTCTGATGTGGCTTTAGGCAAGTTCATTAAACACTGCGCTTTCAATAAGATAATGCATGTGGAATGCTGAGCACAGTGCCTTTAAGACACTTAACTGGATATGAGAACTGTTCCATAGCCCTTCATTTTTAATTTTGATTAAGAGTTGTTTACTAATAACTAACTGGGTGAGTTATAAATGGAGAAGTAGGGTCACTGTGAAGTGGCTATGAAATAGCACAGAGGATATATTTAAAAAGCTGTATTTTTACTACATATTTTCAAACTACATATTTCATTTTAGTTTGGAGAACTTTACTGAAGAATAAAGAAGTAGTAGTATGTGAGTTTGGATCATTTCTATGGTTAGGTGGTGGCTGCACTAAGGCCTTTCCAATGCTTAGTCCTGTGAGAGGTAGATAGCGTTGTGGGGGGTAGGGGAGAACAGATAAATGAGATACATTTATATTTTTTTGCATGGTAACTTATAAGGCATTGCCAAGAGAGGGAATTCATTGGAGGCAAAGAAAAATATAAAACATAGTGTATATAGGGCTTTGTAGCATCCGTGGTTTCAGGCATTTATGGGAGCCAGGCAGGGGTGGGGTATGGGGTTGAAATGTATTTCCTATGGATAAGCACAGGACTACTTTATACCACTTAATCCAAGACCCTTTTGCTGGTGAGGAATCCAGCATTTAAATTTATGTATGTATATGATAAAGCTAGACTTTTTCCAGATCTGAGACTCAAAGCTCTTTGTATTTTCATTTATACTCCAGCTCTTTTGAGGAGCTTTAAAGTCTAGTTACAAAGACAGGAAAAACAAGAACGGACATAGTGGCTCACGCCTGTAATCCCAGAACTTTGGGAGGCTGAGGCCGAGACCAGCTTGGTGAATATAGTGAAACCCCGTTATCAACTAAAAATACAAAAATTAGCCCGGTGTGGTGGTGTGTGCCTGTAATCCCAGCTACTCAGGAGGCTGAGGTAGGAGAATTGCTTGAACCTGGGAGGCAGAGGTTGCAGTGAGCTGTGCCACTGCACTCCAGCCTGTGTGCCAGAGACTCTGTGTCAAAGAAAAAAGGCCGGGCACGCGGTGGCTCATGTCTGTAATCTCATTGCTTTGGGAGGCCGAGGCAGGCAGATTACCTAAGGTCAGGAGTTCGAGACCAGCCTGTTCAACATGGCAAAACCCTGTCTCTACTAAAAATACAAAAATTAGCTAGGCGTGGTGGCAGGCACCATAATCTCAGCTACTCGGGAGGCTGAGGCGGGAGAATGGCTTGCACCCGGAGGCGGAGGTTGCAGTGAGCTGAGATGGCACCAGTCAGTGCACTTCAGCCTGGGTGACAGAGCGAGACTCTGTCTCAAAAACAAAAAGCAAACAAAAAACAAACAACAACAAAAAACCTAGGAAAAACATACATGCAACAGAATGTTAAAGACGAGATTCTAAGGCTTTTTTTTTTTTTTTTTTTGGAGACAATCTCACTCTGTCGCCCAGGCTGGAGTGCAGTGGTGCGATCTTGGCTCACTGCAGCCTCCGCCTCCCTGGTTCAAGCAGTTCTCTGCCTCAGCCTCCCAAGTAGCTGGGATTACAGGCGCCTGCCACCACGCCTGGCTAATTTTTGTAGTTTTAGTAGAGATGGGGTTTCACCATCTTAGCCAGGCTGGTCTTGAACTCCTGACCTCGTGATCCATCTGCCTCAGCCTCCCAAAGTGCTGGGATTACAGGCGTGAGCCGCTGCTCCTGGCAGAGATTCTAAGTTTTTTGAGAATAGTGACTGTGTTTCTTGGGTCATGGCTCTATCTTATACATCTGGCACAGTGTGTGTGTGTAGCAGGTGTTTAATATTTGTTAAACACAAGTGGTCCTTAATATCAAACAGCATGGGATTTAAGACATGAACTTAGGTTTGAGTCTCAGCACTTTCACTTCTTAGTTGTATGACCTTGGCCATTTAATCTCTTTGATCTTGAATTTCCTTATCCGAAAAATAGGGGACATACTAATTAACATCTATTGTGATGGGTTGTAATGAGAATTAAATGATAATGTGTACAAAATACCTAACTTGATTGGATTTGTGGTACGCAGTAGCTATAATGACCATTTTAACCCCAATATGAGAAGGATTCACTCATCACACTGTTGTATACTTCGTAGCTATTACTTCTTTAATCCCCAAGGACTTAACAAAGTGTTCTTCAGTTTCTACTTCCCAGTTCCTTTGTGGAACTGGTAAAAATTTAAAATATCTTAACATAATATTTTATTTCAAATGATAAACTGTAAGGTAAAATGTGGTTTTTCTTGGACAACAAATGGTAGAATGATGTCTAGAATATTTAGTTATGTCATTTAATACTTTTTTTCTTTACCATTTTTTTAAAAAATATTTTATTTTAGATTCGGGGGTACACATGCAGGTTCGTTACATGGCTAGATTATGTAATGCCGAGGTTTGGCCTGCTAGCGCAGCCATCATCCAAAGTGATCCTAGTACCCAATAGGTAGTTTTCAACCTGTGTACCTCCTCTTCTACCTTCTCTTTTGGAATCTCTAGTCTATTACTTCCATCTTTATGTTCACATGTACTCATTGTTTAGCTCCCACTTAGAAATGAGACCATGTGGTATTTGATTTTCTGGTTCTGAGTTACTTCTTTTAGGACAAAGGATGAAAAAGAATGTAGCCTCCAGCTCCATCCATGTTGCTGCGAAGGACATGATTCCATTCTTTTTTATGGCTGTATATTTTTACCTTTTTTGTGAGGGGGAGAGGATTTAAATATGGACCAGCATAATGAAGAAAATATCTGTAATCCCACTATTCACATAACCCCTGCTAGTTTAAAAAAAGTTCATGTAGGCTGAGCATGGTGGCTCACACCTGTAATCCCAGCACTTTGGGAGTCCAAGGCTGGAGGATCACTTGAGTTTAAGAGTTTAAGACCAGCTTGAGTAATATAGTGAAACGTCATGTCTACAAAAAATAAAAATTAGCCAGGTATGGTGGTGCATGCCTGTAGTCCCAGCTACTTGGGAGGATTGCTTGAGGCCAAGAGTTCGAGGCTGCAGTAAGCTGTGATTGTGCCACTGCACTCCACCAGGCGTTTAAAAAAAAAAAGTAAATAATTAGAAAATTTAAATAGTGTAAACCAGAGTCCTCTCCTATTAGTTTGCTAGAGTTACCGTAACAAAATACCACAAACTGAGTGACATAAGTGACACTATTTTTTTTTTTTTTTGAGATGCAGTCTCACTCTGTCACCAGGCTGCACGATCTCGGCTCACTGCAGCCTCGGCCTCCCAGGTTCAAGTGATTCTCCTACCTTGGCCTCCCGAGTAGCTGGGACTTCCAGCCTCCAGAATTGAGAAATTTAATTTCTTTTAATTTTAAAAAATTAAGAGTGACACTTGGCCGGGCGCAGTGGCTCATGCCTATAATCCCAGCACTTTGGGAGGCTGAGGTGGGCAGATCACGAGGCCAGGATATCGAGACTATCCTGGCTAACACAGTGAAACCCCGTCTCTACTAAAAATACAAAAAGTTGTTTGGGCGTGGTGGCTCATGCCTGTAATCCCAGCACTTTGGGAGTCCGAGGTAGGCGGATAACCTGAGGTTGGGAGTTTCAGACCAGTATGACCAACACGGAGAAACCCTGTGTCTACTAAAAATACAAAATTAGCTGTGCATGGTGGTGCATGTCTGCAATCCCAGCTACTTGGGAGGCTGAGGCAGGAGAATCGCTTGAACCCGGGAGGCAGAGATTGCAGTAACCCAGCTCACGCCATCGCATTACAGCCTGAGCAACAGGAGCAAAACTTCATCTCAGGGAAAAAAAAAAAAGTCTAAGTAGTCCCAAAAACATAAAATTTGAGCCTAAAATAAGAACTGTTTTAAAATTTTAATATATTGTGTTTTTTCGCCATGTAATCCCAGGTATTCTTCAGGTTAGAACTCAGTTTCACAAGAAGGGGTGTGCTTGGAAAACTTACCAAAATCTCCTGATTAGATACTTTTTTCGTTTGTTTCTGTTTTTTTGAGACAGAGTCTCGCTCTGTCGCCCAGGCTGGAGTGCGGTGACACAATCTCGGCTGACTGCAACCTCGGCCTCCCGGGTTCAAGCGATTCTCCTGCCTCAGCCTCCCGAGTAGCTGGGACTACTGGCACACACCACCATGCCCGGCTAATTTTTGTATTTTTAGTAGAGACAGGGTTTCACCATGTTGACCAGGCTGGTCTTGAACTCCTGACCTCAGGTGATCCACCCACCTTGGCCTTCCAAAGTGTTGGGATTACAGGCGTGATCCACAGCGCCTGGCCAGAACATACTTATTTAGCAGGTGTGGATATGTGTATTTAAACAGACTTGTAAATAGATGTATAAATGTATACCCATAATGAAATTGATGAAATTATATATATATTTATATATTCATTATAAGGGGTTACATTTCTTCCCCCAGCCTAGAAAGCTTCACTACATAACATGATTATGTGGGAGTTTGAGAGTTGGATCGCTTTGCATTACTGTAAATGATAGAGCTTTATTTTAAAGTATTTTTTATTCTAAAGGTATATGTGCCTTTCATAAATTCAAATTCTAACAAAAGGTATACATCACAAGTTCAGTTTTACTCCCCAGAGGTTATCACTGGAAACTTTTTTTGTATATTTTTCCAGATGTTTTTGGTTTGTAGATAAGACATGTTTGTACGTAGAAAAAAAATACAGACATAGGCATATATGTTCTTTGAAAACAAATGAAATTAGGCCGGGCATGGTGGCTCACACCTGTAATCCCAGCACTTTGGGAGGCCGAGGCGGGTGGATCGTGAGATCAGGAGATCGAGACCATCCTGGCTAACACGGTGAAACCCCATCTCTACTAAAAAATACAAAAAATTAGCCGGGCATGGTGGTGGGCGCCTGTAGTCCCAGCTACTTGGGAGGCTGAGGCAGGAGAATGGCATGAACCCGGGAGGCAGAGCTTGCAGCGAGCCGAGATGGCACCACTGCACTCCAGCCTGGGCCACAGAACGAGACTCCGTCTCAAAAAAAACAACAACAAAAAAACAAATGGAATTATACTATAAATACTGTTTTGTGCCTTACTTTTTTTTGGCATACTAGTATATGTTATACATCTTTTCATAGGTATATCATGATTAATGTAGGTGCAGTTCAGTAATGATTCAAATGAAGTTTTCATTATATTCTATTTTTGAAAAATTACCAATAACTACATATATAACTGAAATCACATTATGTAACTGTCAGTATAAAGGAATGGCTCAGGTAAAACCAAATAGAAGTTGTATATTTAATATTTTAATAATTTTTTTAATTAAAAAGTTAAAACTTGTACTACATGGCTATTTATTAGGGTAAGGAAGTATGATCTCTTTAACGTACATGGTATTTTAAAAATATCTTATTCTGGTGTGTCTTCTTGATTGTAAAACCCCACTTAACATTTTGGGCTTCTATTTATATCTTTTTACTTTAAAGTAACACTATTCTGTGGTTATTCTTGTGGCATATTAAAGTGATATTTTAAGGAATACTTAACCAAATTCTATATAAAATGTATCTACTCTAAGTTAGAAATCTTGGTGCCCTTACTGGTCTTATGATCTTGGAAGTCACTTAAGATCCTGAGCTCTGTGTTAAGCCAGTGCTGGTTCAAGTTCTGGATCTACCATTGAATAATTGACCATGACTTCTTTATACTTCAGTTTCCCCAATTGTTGAATAGGAATAATGATTGTTGTGATGAGTCCATAAAAAATACAGTCTTACTGACTTTATGGTGGCCGAAATTTCAAGAGTAACACAGTAACAGTTAAGTCATACTGGGACTCAGGCTAATCTTTTCTCCGTTGCCCTAGGCATTGATGTCCCCCTGGCAAATGAGGGTGAGAAGCGGTGAGGGATTGCATGGGAGGTTTGGGGACAAGGCCTGAGAGTAGTAAAGAGGCATCTTTCACTTTTGCCCACATTTCATTGTCCAGACCAGTCATGTGAAAGGGAAGCTGGGAAATGTAGTTTAGCCATATGCCAGGAGGAAAAGGAAACGCTTTGGTAAATAGCCAGTTTTTGCCACCAGTGCTAAGCACAGTTCCTGGAAGATGGTTTTCAAGTCATTAAGCAAGTCACTTTTCACCTCTCCAGGTCCGTGTTTCTTTCTGTAAAGTGGGAAGGGGGATGATAATGAAAACTTCTATGAAGCATGTTTTGGGAGAACTATATGTTATAACCATCTTAACTCACTTAATTCTTACAAAAGTCCTCTGAAGTAAAGACTATTATTGTCCTTTTTTTTTTCTTTTTTAACAGCTGAGGAAGCTAAGGCTCAGAGTGAGTCATGGACACAGGATTTGAACCCAGGCAGTCTTTTCTGTAGGGTCTGTGCTTTTATTTATTTTTATTTTTATTAATTTTTTTTTGAGATGGAGTCTCATTCTGTCGCCCGGGCTGGGTGCAGTGGTGTGATCTCAGCTCACTGCAACCTCACCTCTCAGGTTCAAGCACTTCTCCTCCCTCAGCCTCCCAAGTAGCTGGGATTATAGGCGAGTGCTACCACACCAGGCTAATTTTTGTATTTTTAGTAGAGTCGGGGTTTCACTGTGTTGGCCAGGCTGGTCTTGAACTCCCGACCTCAGGTGGTTCACCCGCCTCAGCCTCCCAAAGTGCTGGGATTACAGGCATGAGCCACTGCACCTGGCCTCAGGCATAATGTGATATCATTTATAAATATTAGAGAATGTAGTTCTAAAAAGTGAAGGCTTAAGAAAAACCTAATACCACCATCATACTCAAAAAAAAATTGACAGTTAAATCCATAATATCATCAAATATTCTATGTTCAGGTAAACATGTCTCAGTTTTTAAAAGTATTTGAATAAGGCTTACATATTGCGATTAAGTCTCTTAATCTGTAGGTTACCACCTTCCTTTTTATTCTCGCAATTTATTTGTTAAAGAAATGGGTTATTTGCCCTGTAGAGTTCCCGTAGTCAGGATTTTGCTGATTCCTGAGATTCAATACCAGGTTTATCCCTGATATTTCTCTATTTTCTGTATTTCCAAATGAGTAGTTGGAACCAGAGGCTTGGTCAGAGTCAGGTTCAGTCTTATTTTACAAGACTGCTTTGTAGTTGTGGTGCATTCTTTCATCAGGAGGCACAAAATGTGATTGTCTCTTTTTGTGACACTAGCAACTGTTGGTGACTAATGCCTAGATCCGTTGATTCATTAAGGGTTGTAAAATGATAATGTTCTAGTTGTGTTACTCCTTCATTTTATTATCTGGAATACTGTTTTATAAAAAGAAAAGTTTCCATCACCTCTTACTTGGTTGCCCAGTGTAACTGTTCATATGAGAAAGGCAGAATAAATGTTTGCTTGTTTACCTTTCTTTACCAGTTTCCAGTATAGTCAGTAGGTTCACTGTACTTTCCAGCTGTGATTAATAAATTTTTAAAATTATTATTTTTAATGTATCTGTTACTGTATAGGACAGTATCTGGAAATACCCAAAGACAAGATCTCTAAAGAAGTCATTGGCTAGTGGTGGATCAGTGCAGTGTGGTGTTGATGGTGGTGGTGGTGGTGATGGTGGTGGTGGTGGTGGTAGTGGTGATGGTGGTGATGGTGGTGGTGGTGGTGGTGGTAGTGGTGGTGTTGGTGGTGGTGGTAGTGGTGATGGTGGTGGTGGTGGTGATGGTGATGGTGGTGGTGGTGATGGTGGTGGTAGTGGTGGTGGTGGTGATTGTGATGGTGGTGATTGTGATGGTGGTGGTGATTGTGATGGTGGTGGTGGTGGTGATGGTGGTGGTGGTGGTGGTGGTGATGGTGGTGGTGGTGGTGGTGGTAGTGGTGGTGGTGGTAGTGGTGGTGGTGGTGGTAGTGGTGGTGGTGGTAGTGGTGATGGTGGTGGTGGTGCTGGTAGTGGTGGTGGTGGTGGTCATGGTTTTAGTGGTGATGGTGGTGGTGGTGGTAGTGGTGGTAGTGGTGGTGGTGGTGGTGGTGATGGTTGTGGTGATGGTAGTGGTGGTGGTGGTGGTGATGGTGGTGGTGGTGGTGGTGGTAGTGGTGGTGTTATGCACAGGGGGGATAATATAGCAGAGGCATTAAGCTTGAAATCAGGAAAGAGCTCTGGAGTTATCCTTGAGCTGTGTTTTGAAGGTTGAGTAGCAGTTTGCTATTGGAGGAGGTAGAGGTTACTTTTCAGGCAGAGGGAGCAGCATTTGCAAAGGCTCTGAGATGTGAGAGTTTGTTACTGAAGAAATTTGGTAGGGCTGGAAGCTCAGTGAGCTTGGTGCGAGAGAGTCAAGAGATGAGGCTTTAGAAGTAGTATGGGTTTTAAGTCATTCCAAGGAATAGTTTTGATTTAACTCTGAAGGCCATGGAGAGACATTGAAAGGTTTTATCCAAGTGAATGATGGAAGGAGCAAACTGTGGAACCCTTGGGGCAGCACTGAGAAGAGCGACTCATGATGCCCCTTTTCTGAACTGCTTATACAGATTTGATTCTCATTCTTGGCATTACTCCTGATTCCTCCTTCGTCTACATGCACACGCACCTACACACACACACAAACACACACAGAGACACACGTCTGCCTCTCGGATCTCCTTCTAGAGTCTTAGTTCTTGTTTTTTTCAGAATTTGGGCAACTAACAAGGCTAGAAAGGAGGCCATCTAAAAAAGCGATTGGTGTTGAAAAGTTGCTGCTCCCGTCCTAGCAGCACAACTCTTCACTTCATAGTAATGGGAGTAATGACGATGATGAGTGTGGACAACTAATGAGCACTTAACTGTAGTACCAGGGACTATTCTCAGAATTCATTAGTGTGACAACCCTCTAAGGTAGGGTCTGTTATCCCCATTATACAGATGTGGCAGAAACGGCAGGGAGAAGTTAAGTGACTTGCTTAAGGTAATAAATGTAGTAAGAAGCAGAGGTGGAATTGAACCTGAACAGTTTGCATCTAGAGTTCATGCTCATAACATTCTATTTATTGCCTTTCTGGTTTTATGACCCCCTTCTTATCTAAGTGTATGCTCTGTGCCCCGCACATACAAACTAGTTCCCATAACATGTGTAATATAATCCCTCCTTTCCCAGGGTTTCCCAGCTTCCTATCCTTCCCCTTAGCTTTCTGTCATCAGTTTTTCCTAGGATTTCTGGTTCAGCCTATGTCAAAGTGAGAGTCACCAACATAGTTGATGATAAATACTGTTTGATTACAGGAATGTAGGAAGATGCGCAAGCATTCTACTAAAAATGCTTTTCCCACAGATAGAGTAAACCAAGGTTGTTTAGGTTTTGTAAGACTGGCATTCAACTATAAATAGGCCTTATGTATGTTTACTAAATCAGAAAACATTTAATATAGCTAAATTTTAAATAATCAACAACAGAAAATAAAAATATTTTGCCCCACCGTCTTAAGGTTACAAAGACTTAGAGGTATATTTTATTTACATGCATGCATACACACACACAAACACACAAACACAAATCATATATAGATGTGTAGAAAATATAGAAAAGTAGAAAAATGTATACAAATATTTGAAATACATTATGTGGAATCATGTTTGTATTTTTTTAGCTTAGGAAAGAAAGCCATTAAAAGACTTACATGTCAATAACCATGATACTATAGGATTTTAGTAGTTGCAGAGTATTACATTACTTAAATAAATGATTCATGGAATAGTCTTTTTTTATTGGACAAGGGATTTTACCCTCCCCCTCAATCTTTGAGAGTTAGAAACAATGCAGAGATGAGTGTCTTTATAGTTAAAACTTTGTACATTTCATAATTTACTCATGATAAATTTTCAAGTTGAATTCCTAGGCCAAAGGGTATACAGATTTTAAAGACTTTCAATGTTGGCAGATATCACTGTAGGATAATTATACCAATTTATACTCTTAACAGTAATATATGAGTGTATATATTTACCTATTCCTTGCCAGTTCTGGAAATTGTGAATTTAACAGAATCTTCCAAAAAGCATTGAAAATTGGCCTGGGAATGTAAATATCCTTTTCTTCCCCATTCAGCTTACTAATGAATCTATCATAATCTCAGCTGTCTGAATCTAAAAGAGAACCAGTAAAATTGAGATAACAAGTTTATTGCAAAATAAATGACCTGAAAGCCACAGGCATTGGGTGGGGTAGGAGAAGGGCAGGTAGTGGTGACTGAGGTGACTCTGTGTTTGGGTTTTTGAAAAGATTGTAGATTTGAAGGATAATGAGTTCAGAGAAGTAGAAAGGCAAATAGGGGCTGTTATAAATAAGGACAGTGGCATGAGCCAACGGGGTTATCTCTCATATTTAAAGAACATGGCTAGATCTGGTTTCCCTATAAGTTGATTCCTTACTGTTATTCTGAGTTGAATGCATATCTTTTGTCTCAGTGAAGCCTGAATGGCTTTTGATGTCTCTGATCTGGAAAGGTTGTTTGTGTATCTCAGAATAAGTCATTTTGCTAAAAAAGGCTACTCCTGAGGGAGAACAGTGGAAAAAAGAGTTGGAAAAGTGGATTGTAGCTAGTTGAAAAAAGGATTTGAATGTCAAGCTTTAGGAATTAGGTTCTTATTTGGTATGTTACAGGCAACCATATGGACTTTTGAGCAGGTGAAAAGTACAGTATTAATGGGTAGGGATAGCTTGGGAGGGAAGGAGACATGGACATTGAGCTTCAGAAAAACCAGTTAGTAAAATGTTTCAGATAATACATTGGTAATAGAAAAAGATCCATTGAAATGTGAGGCATTCACATGGAAAGAACTGGCAGAATGTGGTAATTAACAGCTATAAGGACCCCAAAATAAAAGGAGTAATCAAACATCACTCAAAGCTTTTAGCACAGTTTTTGAGAACAGTGTCAGAAGGAGAAGACAACTTTGTTCCTAAAAGTTATATTGTAAAATAAATGTAGCTTATACATTTTTGAAAGTGAAATCTCAGGATTCATGGTATCATTACTTCTACTTGCCAAATTATTAAAATGGTGTTATATTTCTTAAGATATTTTAAAGCCTCTATTGTAGAACAGAAATAGTAGAAAATGGAACTAATGTTTATTAACAGTTACTATGGAAGAGGGAATAGAAATGTGTTGCTCTTGAACAGGTTTATTCAACTTTGGCACTATTGACATCTTGGGCTAGCTAATTCCTTGTCACGGGCAGTATGTCCTGTGTGTAGGATGTTAAGCAGCATTTCTGGCCTCCACCCACTAGATATAGTAGCACACCCATGCCCCTCCCCTCCTCCCTGCCTCTGTGACAACCAAAAATGTCTTTAGACATTGCCAGATGTCCCTTGGGCAGCAAAAATTGCTCCCTCTCCCCAGTTAAGAGCCATTGTTCTAGAGTACAGAATCAGTACCACTAAATAAATGTTATTGGTGTGTTTAGAACAGTGCCTAGCACATAGCTGGTACTCAAATATTTGTTGAATAAATGAGTAGTCAGATTTTCATTGTGAATTAAAAACAGAACAAAACTTGATGTCTGACCTTTCAAGTTGCTTTTACAAAAGAAATGGGATGTCCATTGAACATCTGTTTTAGATCTGATTTCCCAATCTGGATTATTAAAATGAGGAGGCTATTTTTTTCCCAGTATATAAATGATTCTAATACTTTTTGCTGTAAAACTTTTGGAGTCTCTCTGCTAAATTATGTTCCAGTTTCTTAGCTTGGGATTCAAGTCATAAATATACTAGGTCTGTCTTACCTTTCAGTGCTTTTATTTGTTCCCTTTTGAACATGGCTGAATTTTACCTTTCTGTCTCCCTGCCCGCCATTCTTGCTACCCCTCCTTCCTTTTTCCACTCTCATCTTTTTCCCATTTTCCAGTCTGTAAATCCTACCTATCCTTTTATTTTTTAAATTACAATATCTCATTCTGTTACTTAGGCAGGAGTGTGGTGGCACAATCATAGTTGACTGCAGCTTCGAATTTCTGGGCCCAAATGACCCTCCCATCTCAGCCTCCCAAGTAGCTGGGAATACAGGTGCACAATACTGTGCCCGGCTAGTTTTTTTTTTTTTTTTTTTTTTTTGAGACAGAGTTTCACTCTTGTTGCCCAGGCTGGAGTGCAATGGTGTGATCTCGGCTCACTGCAACCTCTGCCTCCCGGGTTCAAGTGATTCTCCTGTCTCCGCCTCTCGAGTAGCTGGGTTTATAGTCGTATGCCCCCATGCTCAGCTAATTTTTGTGTTTTTAGTAGAGGTGGGGTTTCATCATAGTGGTCAGGTTGGGCTTGAACTCCTGACCTCAGGTGATCTGCCTGCCTCGGCGTCCCAAAGTGATGGGATTATAGGTGTGAGCCACTGTGCCCAGCTTAGTTTTGTTTTTTTTTTTTTGAGATGGAGTCTCGCTGTGTTGCCCAGCCTGGAGGGAAGTGGTGTAGTGGTGTGATCTCAGCTCACTGCAACTTCTGCCTCCTGGGTTCAAGTGATTCTCCTGCCTCAGCCTCCCAAGTAGCTGGGACTACAGGCGCATGCTGCCACCCCTGGCTAAGTTTTTATATTTTAGTAGAGATGGGGTTTCACCTTGTTACCCAGCTGGTCTCAAATTCCTGAGCTCAGGCAATCCGCCTGCCTCGGCCTGCCAAAGTGCTAGGATTACAGGTGTGAGCCACCATGCCCAGCCATTCCCAGCTAGTTTTTGTAGATACTGGGGTCTCGCTGTGTTGCCTAGGCTGGTCTCAAACCCATGGGCTCAAGTGATCCTCCCATTACAGCCTCCCAAAGTGCTGGGATTACAGGCACGGGCCACTGTGCCCTGCCCTGTCTTCCTTTTTGAAGTCTCTCTCTCTGTGTCTTTACTTTTATACTTATTTTTTCTCTCGTCATGTCTTTGCCCCTGTCTTTTTTGGAGTCTTACTCTGTCACACAGGCTGGATTGCAGTGGCACAGTTCTAGCTCACTGCAGCCTTGAACTCCTGGGGTCAAGTGATCCTCTAGCTCAAGTGATCCTCCTACTTCAGCCTCTGAGTAGCTGGGACTCTATGTGTGCACCACCACGCCTGGCTCCTTTGCCCATTTTTGTTTGTTTTTTGGAGACAGAGTCTTACTCTTGTCACCTAGGCTGGAGTGCAGTGGCATGATCTCGGCTCACTGCAACCTCCACTTTCTGGGTTCAGGCGATTGTCCTGCCTCAGCCTCCTGAGTAGCTGAGACTACAGGCGTGCACCACCATGCCTGGATAATTTTTGTGTTCTTAGTAGAGACGGGATTTTGCCATGTTGGCCAGGCTGGTCTTGAACTCCTGACCTCAGGTGATCCACCCGCCTTGGCCTCTGAAAGTGCTGGGATTATAGATAGGAGCCACCATGGCAGGCCTCCTTTGCCCATTTTGAAATTGAGTTGTTTTCTTTTCTTTTTATTAACAGGTCCCCCCCCACCCTCCACACACAGTCTTGCTTGTTGCCCCAGGCTGGAGTGCAGTGGCACAATCTTGGCTCACTGCAACCTCTGCCTCCTGGGTTCAAGCAATTCTTCTGCCTCAGCCTCCTGAGTAGCTGGGATTACAGGTGCCTGCCACCATGCCTGGTTTATTTTTGTATATTTAGTAGAGATGAGGTTTCACCATGTTGACCAGGCTGGTCTTGAACTCCAGACCTGTGATCTTCCTGCCTTGGACTCCCACAGTGCTGGGAATACAGGCATGAGCCACTGGACCCTGGCCTTAACTACATATTTTTTACATCTGCACAGTGTTTTGGAAAAAGTGGTTCAACTGAAAGAATGAAAAGTTGGGGGCAGAATTTGCTTTAAAAAAAAATTAAAAAAAGGGCATTGAAAAAAGTTTCAGTGGTGTTGGGAGGGCCTTGGAACAAGGAGTGAATGGAAGATGAGGGAGTGGAGGGAGGCCATGTATGGACTCTTTCTACAGACCAGGCTGTTGAAGGAGAGAGGGCTAACGGGAAATGTAGTGCAGGGGGAAGTTTTTTGAAGATGGGAGAAAGAAGACAACTTTTATATATTTCATTTCATTTGATTCCTTATAAATTTGTAAGGAAGATAGAGCTTGTATTATGTCAGTGAAGTTGAAAATAGAGCACAGAAAAATTAAGATACAGCACCCCCAAAACTGAGAACTTCTGACATAATACACTGTTGGAAATATTTATTTCAGAGTGAAGAAAATATTGGAAGTTAGGCTTGTTAATTGGTCTGCATGGTTCATAATTACTCTTTCTTATTAACTATTTAAGGAACATGAGACCAGGAAGTTAAATACCCAGGTATATGCAGATGTATATCTAGAATTGGTACCAAAGTAAATACAGGCATACCTTGGAGATACTGTAGGTTCCATTATAGACTACCACAATAAAGTGAATATCACCATAAAGCAAGGCACACAAATATTTTGGTTTACCAGTGTATGTAAATATTATGTTTATATTCTACTGCAGTCTATTAAATGTTCAATAGCGTTATATTTAAAAAACCAATGTGCATACTTTAATTTAAAAATACTTTATTGCTAAAAAATGCTACTGATCATCTGAGCTTTCAGTAAATTGTAAGGTTTTTTGCTGATAGAGGATGTTGGTGGCTGCTGACTGATCCCAGCAGTGATTGCTGATGGTTGGGGTGCCTCTGGCAGTTTCTTACAATAAGACAACAATGAAGTTTGCTACATTGATTGCCTCTTTCTTTCGTGAAAGATTTCTCTGTAGCACTTGATGCTGTTTCATAGCATTTTTTACCCAAAAGTAGAACTTTTTTTCAAAATTGGAGTCAGCTCAAACCCTGCCACTGCTTTAACAACTAAGGTTATATAGTATTCTAAATCCTTTGTTGTCATTCAATAATTTCACAGCCTTTTCACCAGGAGTAGTTTCCATCTTTAAGAAACCACTTTCTTGGGTCATCTGTAAGGAACAACTCCTAATCTGTGCAAGTTTTATCATGAGATTGCAGCAATTCAGTCACATCTTCAGGCTCCACTTCTAATTCTCTTGCTGTTTCCACTACATCTGCAGTAACTTCCTCCACTTGAGTCTTGAACCTCTCAAAGTCATCCATGAGAGTTGGAATCAACTTCTTCCAAACACCTGTTCGTGTTGATATTTTGACTTCCTCTCATGAATTATGAATGTTCTTAATGACATCTACGGTGGTGAAGTCTTTCCAGAAGGTTTTCAGTTTATTTTGCCCAAATCTACTACAGGAATCACTTTTTTTTTTTTTTTGAGACAGAGTCTCTCTTTGTCGGCCTGGCTGGAGTGCAGTGGTGTGATCTTGGTTTACTGCAACCTCTGCCTCCCGGTTCAAGCGATTCTCCTGACTCAGCCCCCCGAGTATCTGGGACTACAGGTGCGTGCCACCACGCCTGGCTAATTTTTGTATTTTTAGTAGAGATGGGGTTTTGCCATGTTGGCCAGGGTGTTCTCGAACTCCCGGCTTCAAGTGATCCTCCTGCCTTGGCGTCCCAGAGTGCTGGGATTACAGGCATGAGCTGTCGTGCCTGGCTGAAATGTATTTCTTGAACAATAAGACTTAAAAATTGAAATTACTCATTGATGCATGGGCTGCAGGATAGATGTTGTATTGTACTGGCAGGCATGAAAGTAACATTCTTCTTTCTGAACATATCCATCAAAGCCCTCTAATGACCTGGTCCATTGTTAGTGAGTGCTAATATTTTGAAATGAATGTTTTTTCCTTAGCAGTAGGTCTTGACAGTGGACTGAAAATATTCAGTAAGCCAACCTCTAAACAGATGTGCTGTCATCCAGGAGACTGTTGTTCCATATGTAGATAGCAAGCAGATTAGATATAGCATAATTCTTAAGAGCTCTAGGACTTTTTTGAGTGGCAAATGAGCATTAGCTTCAACGTCAAGTTACCAGCTGCATTAGCCCCTAACAAGAGAGTCAGTTTTTATTTATTTATTTATTTATTTATTTATTTTTAAAAGAGACAAGAGTCTCGCCTTGTTGTCCAGGCTGGCCTTGAACTCCTGGGCTCAAGTGATTCTCTTACCTTGGCCTCTCAAAGTGCTGGAATAACAGGTGTGGCCCCAGCCTGACCTTTGAAGCAAGGCATTGATTTTCCCTCTCTAGCTGTGAAAGTCCTAGATGGCATCTTCTTCTAATGGAAGGCTCTTTTGTCTACTTAAAACACCTTGTTTAGTATAGCCACCTCCAGCAATGATCTTAGATATATATTCTGGATAACTTGCTACAGCTTCCATGTCAGCACTTGCTGCTTCACTTTCCACTTTTATGTTATGACAAGAGCATTTTTCCTCATGAGCCAACCTCTACTTGCTTCCAGTTTTTCTTCTGCAGTTTTCTCACCTCTCTCAGCCTTCATAGAACTGAAGAAGGTTAGAGCCTTGCTGTGGATTAGGCTTTTTGCTTAAGGGAATGTTGTGGCTGGTTTGATCTTTCATATGGACCACTAAAACTTTCTTCATATTAGCAATAAGATTGTTTCATGTTCACTGACATAGTGCTTTTAATTTTATTCAAGAATTTTTCGTTTACATTCATAATTGGCTGAATGGTACAAGAGGCCTAGCTTTAGGCCTTTCTCACTTTTTGATATTCCTTCCCCACTAAGATTAATCATTTGTAGCTTTTCAGTTAAAATGAGAGGCACGTGACTTTTCCTTTCCCTGAATTGTTTGGGCATTATATATGACTTCCGTTGCACTACAGTGTCAGAGTTGGTTGCTGCAGAGAGCACATATATTTCAAATTGCTGCTCTGCATGCTACGAATCACAATAACATAGTTACTGTTTGTCAGTATGTGTGTGTGTGTGGGCACCACACATATTGCCCTGGCATCTTATTTATTTCTCTCATTACCAGTGCATACTTACCTATCATGTTAAAACAAGAAAAGGAGAAAAGTGGACTTTATATGTAACACTTTAGAGGCATAGTGGAATGTATATTATTATTAACAAATTAGATAGCAAAGCATTATATTTGTTATGCTAGAAGACTATGGCTGTGCTAAAAGAATATAATATATGTCAACATTGCCAGACTGGGCACTTCTCACAATATTCCCAACCAACAGGAATAAAACTAAAGGTCAGAAAAAAAAAATAGTAAATTAAAACAAAATTTTATCACAGCAGAATTTCTTCTCAAAAACAAAAAATGGAAATTAGGCTATAATTAAAGTAAGTTTTTCAATGGCTTGTTAGCCAAGCAAGGAAAACCATTACCAACAGTAGTTAATTAAATTATGTTTTATTATGGTAACCAAAGATGTGTCCATAGAAAATAAACTTTAAAAAAGACTATTAGCCTTTCAGTGAGAGTAATTGCTCTAAAAGTTAAGGACATTGGGAGTAATATCAAGTCATTTTGGAAAGAAGGGTGAATGATTTTTCATGGTTTTCTTAGGCTTTTGATGGATGAATAGGTGTTACCAGTACTGTTCAGTTGTTACATATTCCAGAAGTCAGTGCTGAGTTTGAAGTGATTGAAGAATTAGTATTTATGCATAGTCTATGTGAAACAAGTACAAGAGAAAATATTTTCAGAAAAGTTGAGCAAACACTAACTTAGTACAACCTGAAGTGGAATCCGCTAAGATGCGTTACAGTTGATAGTGGCAAAAATAACTGTGGAGCAGAAAGACTTGAGTTGGACAAATTTACAAAGCTTGTTAAATGTCAGGTGTTTAAAGCCTGATTATTTATTGTATTATTTATTAGCAGGTACTTTGCAGAAAATATTTAAATCTGTCATGTTTTAGTGAACGATTATATAATAGTGTCAGCAGTGATTTTGACTTGCATTTGTGGACTTCATCATCAAATCCTATGAATTTTTGTTAGATATAGAGGCAGAATATACTGAATTGCCATTATACAGAGCAATTTAATGACTTGGCAGTGGTAAAGTTTTATTTCAGTTTTTTGCGCTGAGGAATGAGATTGAAATTTTTCTGAATAATATTGCCCTCAACTGTTAAGTCAAATGCTTAATAGCTTTGAAAGTTGGCTTTTCCTATAGATTTCATAATATTTTGTAACAAATTCACCTAAAATTACAAGGCAGAACAGTGATTATAAGTGAACCTTATACTGTGGTAAGGTCACTTCTACAAGAATAATGAATCATGAAAATCAAGAGAAAGAACAAATAGTAGGAAAATATCTTCCAATTCCTTTTGGCCCTTCATATTTCCACCTAAACTCATAAGCTTTTAAAAAGATAATTATTTTTATTTATACTTAAAAAGATAATATAGGATAATATTTTTGTAAAAGAGTTCTTGAGATACAGCACTGAATGTAAAGAAAATATTGGAGCATTCAACTACATTTGAGAAATAACTTCTGTTTATTAAAAGATACCGTAAGAATGAAAGCACAAGCCCTAATGAATATTCCTGTTTGATACTAAACCAAAGCTTGAGAAGTGGTAGTTTCTCAAGTTTTTCAAGTGGTTTGGTGCAATCTGAAGACTGCAATCCCATCAATGAACTTTATATCTTTACCCTTTAAAATTATAATTTATGGGCTGGGCGCAGTAGTTCACGCCTGTAATCCCAGCACTTTGGGAGGCTGAAGCGGGTGGATCACGAGGTCAGGAGCTCAAGACCAGCCTGGCCAAGATTGTGAAACCCCGTCTCTACTAAAAATACAAAAATTAGCCAGGCATTATAGCAGTCACCTGCAATCCCACCTACGGGGGAGGCCAAGGCAGAGAATCGCTTGAATCCAGGAGGTGGAGGTTGCAGTGAGCCGAGATTGTGCCACTGCACTCCAGCGTGGGTGACAGAGTGAGACTCCATCTCAGACAAAAAAAAAAAAAAATATATATATATATATAAAATTTATTAGACTACCTTGCAATTTCAGGGGATCTTTTACCCATATATGATTTTATTAGATTACTAAGTGGTCTTTGGAAAATATTGATTCACTGAGTGATCCAGATAGTCCAACTATTCATACGGTTGTTTTTGTTTGTTTGTTTTGTTTTGTTTGAGACAGAATCTCACTCTGTTGCCCAGGCTGGAATGCAGTGGTGCGATCTCAGCTCACTTCCATCTCCTGGGTTCAGGTGATGCTCATGCCTCAGCCTCCTGAGTAGCTGGGACTATAGGCATGCACCGCCAGGCCCAGCTAATTTTCGTATTTTTAGTAGAGATGGGGTTTCACTATGTTGGCTAGGCTGGTCTTGAACTCCTGACCTCCAGTGATCCCAAAGTGCTGGGATTACAAGTGTGAGCCACCTTACCTAGTCCTACATATTTTTAATAAATAACAAAATTCACATTTGTTATAATCGACTGATCTCATCAGAAAAGTCTTTAAGTATTGGAATTAGTTAAGCTTACATTGTTGGTTGTAAGTTTTTCAGATCTTATTGTCCACTCATGTTCTAAGTTGTTTTCCTTGAAGTGACAGGCTCACTTTATTCATTTTTGAAGAAATATGTCAGATAATCAAGTTTTAATAATTGTGGTTTGTTGTTCTTACATGTAAAAACAGTGTTCCATGAAAAAAGCAGTTATTTCAGTTTATAAATCACATGATCACAAATTCTTTCCTCAAGAAAAACTATGGTGTAACAATTATTTTATGCTTTATTTCTCGTTTTGTCACATAGATAATTAAAAGATGTGTATTCATGGATCAAGACTTAAAACATTAAAGATTTTTGCTGCTTCATCAGTGATATTCTCAATGATACTCTACATTATTTTTACTGTAGTTGTAGTGCCAGTTGAGAATGTGACAACTTCTAATACAGCTTGGTGCCAGCTGCCTTCAGTTTTGGAAATGCATCAACAGTATTACCCACCATAGCTTTTGCACCATGTAACAATTTTTGCTTCAATTGTTAAACATTATTTTGGAAACTCAAGGAACAGTAAAGTCTGTTTTATTGCCCATATTTTTACTATTTGTTTGTTCTTTCTTCCTTCAGGATGTTCTGAGAATCCTTCTTTTTATCATTCTCCTTTCTGGTTCAATAACTTTTCTCACTATTCTTTTGCTGTAGTTTTGTCTCATGACTAATTTTTAGTTCTCATTCATCTCACAATTTCTTGATTTCCCTTTCATTACTAATGGATGTTTTTGCTGGATATAGAATTCTTTGTTGTCGGTTCTTTTAGGACTTGCAAAAATGTTATGCTGCTTTGTTCTGGCCTCCATGGTTTCAGGTGAGAAATCTGCTGTCATTTGAGTTGTTTTTCATCTGTGGATAAGGTGTCATTTCTCTTATTTATCTCAAGGTTTTTAAGTTTAGTCATTAGTTTTCAGAAGTTTATGATATATATTAGCATTGATTTATTTGTGTGTATCCTCTTAGGATTTATTCAATTTCTTGAATCTGTGGGTCTTCGAATAATTGTTCAGCTGCATCATGTTCCTTTTCTGAGATTCCAGTGACAGGAATGTTGCATCATTTATTATATTCCCACAAGTGTCTTTAATGCCTTTTTTTAAAAAAAATATGTATTTATTTGTTTATTTATTGTCAGAGTTTTGCTCTTTTGCCCAGGCTGGAGTGAAGTGGTACGATCTCAGCTCACTGCAGCCTCCGCCCCTGGGTCTAAGTGATTCTCCTGCCTCAGCCTCCTGAGTAGCTGGAATTATAGGTGTGTGCCACCATGCCCAGCTAATTTTTGTATTTTTATTAGAGACAGGGTTTTGCCATGTTGGCCAGGCTGGTCTTGAACTCCTCACCTGAGGTGATCCACCCATCTCGGCCTCCCAAAGTGCTAGGATGACAGGCCTGAGTGACCGCACCTGGCCACTGTTTTTTTTTTTTTTTAATCAGTTCATTTACTTCTCTAGGTTGGGTAATCTCTCCCATTTTGTTGTTCAGTTTAGTTTGTATTTTATTATTGCTAGCATATTTTTTAATTTTCAACTTGGTATTTGTTTCTTTCTTGATTTCTTTGTGAAACTTTGTATTGTTTCCTTTGTTTCAAAATTAAGTTTGTAATTGCTTTTTTTTTTTTTTTGAGGCAGACTCTTGCTCTGTTGCCCAGGCTGGAATGCAGTAGAATGATCTCAGCTCACTGCAACCTCTGCTTCCTGGGTTCAAGTGATTCTCATGCCTCAGCCTCCCAAGTAGCTGGAATCACGGCGTGAACCACCATGCCTGGCTAATTTTTGTATTTTTAGTACAGATGGGGTTTCATGATGTTGGCCAGGCTGGTCTTGAACTCCTGACCTCAAGTGATCCAACCACCTCTGCCTCCCAAAGTGCTGGGATTACAGGCGTGAGCCACTGTGTCCAGCTGTAATTGCTTGTTGACGCAGTTTTATAATATATAGTTTAAAATCTTTGATAGATAATTATGACCTCTATGAATTCTCATTGTTTGCACCTTTTGACTGTATTTTCAAATTCCTGTTCAGATTTTCCTGGTTCTTAGTATGGTATGACATGGTATATTTGGTTGAATCCTTTGCATTTTAAGTGTTGTGTTATGAAGCTCTGCATTTTATTTAAATCCCCCCTTTTAGTAGGATTTATCTGAAACTTTGCTTTTGGGGTGGAGGTGGGGCACAGCCTTGTTACTACTCCCAGGTGTATGTGAAGATTCCAGTTTCATAGTAGGCCTTTGTTGACTCACTGATGGAGACGTACACCTAGTAAATGCTGAGTAGGAATGAAAACTCTGGACTTGCATTATACCTTTGTGAATACCACCCTGGCTCAAAAGGTTCCTGCTTTTCACTTGGCCTCCACTGACACTGGGATGGAGGGGTGGTTAAGTTATCACTGAGCAGTGCTTTGAGTTTGGATTCTCCAGTAGGCCTCTGCTGTCATATCTCTGTAGAGGGAGGGATAGGGATATGTCCTTATCATTGGGTGGGTGTTGAACTCAGGCTCCCCACTTTTTTTCCACCCACACTCTAGAGGGAGGAAGCCACGTTACTGCTCAGTGGGTATGAGTGTCCTGTGTCCCCACTTGGCCTGCTGTGGTATCATGTTGTCTGTGGGTAGGAGTGGGGAATGGCTGACTATGTCCTCCTTTTAAGTCTTGGCAAAAGGTATATGGCTTGGGGTTTTATTTGTACCCTTTGGCTTAAACTGGTTGGTTGTTGTCTGTGAGTTTTTTTTTCTTGGTAGCCTGCCGCTTCCCTGCTTTTTTGACAAGAGACAGCAGAATTTTCTTGGAGTTTTATGTATGTGTGTGCCTGTTGGTGTTTCTGAGTTGTCTGCTTCTCTAGCAACTTTTCTTGTATATATGAGTCAGAAAGGAAACCTAGGGAATTCATCCTCTTGTGTTTCTTGGCACCTGAAGCCCTAATTGGTCTGCCCTCTCTCTACATTTTGTTGTCTTCCTTTGTTTGTCTTATGTATCACGGCCAAGGGTTTTTAAAGCTGTATTTAGTGGAAAGAACAGGGAAAAGTACATTTTCTGCATTTTGCCTGGAAGTGGAAGTCTGCATGCATTTTTGTCTTTTTTTCCCTGAATATAGAGTTCTGGGATGATTATGTTTTTCTTCTTCAAGCATTTAAAAGATGTTGCATTGTTTCCTGTCTTCCATGGTTTCTAATGAGAAGTCAGGTGTGGTGTCAGTAGTATCATTATTCCCATGTATATAGTAATGTTTTGATATTCTCTGGCTGCTTTCAGGATTTTCTCTTTATATTTGGTTTTCAGCAGTCTGACTATGATGTGCCTAGGTGTGGTTTTCTTTGTATTCATCCTGCTTGGGGGTTGCTGAGCTTCTTGAAAGTGTAAGTTGATATTTTTCACCAAATTTGTGAAAAGCTTGACTTTTATTTCTTATTCTTTTTCTGTCTCATTTCTCTCTCCTCTTCCTCTGTAACTCTAATTACATGAATGTTAGTATATTTGATATTTTGTAGGTTACTGAGGGTCTGTTCGTCTTCTTCCCAGTGTTTTTACTTTTAGTTCCTCAGAATAGATACACTATTCATGTATTTTCAAGGAGATGGGCCAATTTTCTACCAATCTCTTGTTAAGCCCATCCACTAAAATTTTCATTGAAAGTACTATACTTATTAGTTGTAGAATTTTCTTTTCTTTTCTTTTGAGACAGGGTCTCTGTCGCCCAGGCTGGAGTGCAATGGCGCAATCTTGGCTCACAGCCACCTCCACCTCCCAGGTTCAAGCGATTCTTGTGCCTCAGCCTCTCAAGTAGCCGGGACTATAAGGTGCCCACCACCACACCCAGCTAATTTTTGTATTTTTAGTAGAGGTGGGGTTTCACCATGTTGGCTAGGCTGCTCTCAAAATCCTGGCCTTAGGTGGTCCACCTTCCTCGGCCTTCCAGAGTGCTGGGATTACAGGCAGGAGCCATCGTGCCCAGACTGAAACTCTATTTAAATATAGATTTTAGCCAATGATATTCCGCTTTTTTTCCAAGGGTAAAATGTCCTCCCATTCCAGCCAGTTTTTGGTTATTTACAGGTAACTTCAATTAGTTAGCTTTTACATTTTCTTCAGATTTGAGACATTTTAGGAAAGTTATTCTGATATTAGTCCCTATGCTGTTACCCAATAAATAAATAAATTTATGTGTGAGAGTCATTGTTTTGTTAAGGTATATTTTGCATACACTATAATTCACCCTTTCTAAGGTGTGTATTGAATGTGATTTGGTAAATATGAACAGTCATGTAATTACCATCATAGTCAAGATACAGAATAGACCCTTTACCCATAAATTCGCTCATGACTTTTTGAAGTTACTGCCTACCTCCCACTCCAGCTCCTGGCAATCACCGATCTGTTGCTTTCCTATAGTTTTGCCTTTTCTAGACTAATATATGAATGGAACCATACAGTATAGAATCTTTTCCATCTGCCTTTTTTTTGCTTAGCATAATCGTTTTGAGATTGGTCCATTCACTAGCTTACAGTTAAGTTTCGTTCAATTTTTGGCCAGTATATAAAGCTGCTGTGAGCATTTATGTAACATGCTTCGTTGTAGATGTATCTTTTCATGTTTCTTGGGTAAATACCTAGGACTGGAATTTCTGACTTGTTGGAAATAATATTCTTAACTTTGGAAAACAGTTTCACAGTTTCTTAAAAAGTGTCTGTATACTTTTCCATTTCTAGAGATCTGAGAGTTCCATTTGCTGTACATTGTTGCCAGCACTGGATATTGCCACTGTTTCTAAATTTTAGCCATCTGGTTGGCATTTAGTGACAATTTATTGTGGGTTTGATTTTGCATTCTCTGATGATTAATTAGATTGAGCTTCTTTTTATGTCTTTTTTTTTGCCATTTGTGTATCTTTGGTGACATGTCTGTTAAAGTATTTTGTCTCTACCACCATTTTTTTCCAATTGATTTGCTTGTCATCTTCTTGAGTTCTAAGTTTTTTTTAATATATTATTCACAGAAGTCAGTTATTGGAGATGCATTTTATAAATATTTTTGCCTAATGTGTGACTTGTTTTCATTTATTTAGCAATGTTTATTGAACAGCAGAGGGTTTCATTTTGATGACATTTGTCATTTGTTAATTTTTTGAAGTTGAAAAAATTATGCTCTTTATGCTTTATTAAAAAATCTTTGCTTGCCGCAGTGTTACTTGTAGGTTTAAAAAATCCATTTATGGTTAAATTACACATATGATAAGAGAATACGAGATAAGATTCATGTTTCTTTGTTTTCCATATGAATTATTTGGCAGTTCCAGCATCATTCTAAAAGATTATTTATTGCTCTCTTGAATTACCTTGACCCCTTGCTCAAAAATTAATTGAATATGGGAAAGTTTGCCTATTTCTGTATTTTCTGTTCTTCTGACTTATTTATCTCTCCTTTTACCAAAACCAAACATAAAAAAGATTTTTTTTTCAAAATCATGAGTTGATATTTATGTTTTCAGTTTAATTCAATAGCACAATTACATATCTTTAAAACAATTTTATACCTGTAGCTAAGCTATGGTTGTATATCTTCTTTTAATATCATCTTTCCTGTAACTGAAAAAGTCATTAAAAGAAGAAAAGATTATTGTTTTTGCTTCAATTTCAAAGTAATCAAAACTAAGTGTACTAGTATTAAATAGTTAAAGCTAGTAGATCAATAATGAAATTTAATGTTATTGCTTTTTGCTATATTTTTTGAGTTTACTAGTGATGTAAAAGATTTGAGTTATTTGCTGTGATTATATAAATACTCTTTTGATGCATAAATCAGCTGTTAACATCATGTTAATTTGTGACATTAATAATTTTACTGATAGCCCTTCTGTGATTCTGATTTTTGGCAGTGGTTTTTACCTGGTAAGTAGCATTTTGTCAGCTGGCAGGTACTGGAAATCTGCTTTATCACTTCTTTTTTTAAGAAAAGTGGAAAACACAAACAGTTTGTTCACCAAAGTTATATTTCAAGGATTCCATTCAACCAGAATCTGGTTCACCTTATTGACTCAACTTGGGGGTATATGTACTAGATTTTTACATACATCTGTTTGGAGAAACTCGTTTTATCTGTGTAATGTTTGTAAGACCAGAAGTTCTTTTACTGTTCTTGAAATAAAACTTTTAAGAAGCTGAGTATTCTTCTGTTAGTTTCAAATTTGGACTAAAATTACACCAAGGTTTTGGACTAAAGAGGAAGCAAATAATCTGTTCTTATGTTCTTAAAAGACATGATTTAAGTGTATCCAACTAGATTCTTAGTGTGTCTGTGTTTACTCCTACTCAAATGAAAGCTTTTAAATTCTTTCCCACTTTTTGAAGTATTTAACTCTTCTGTAATATGCAGTGTTTTCTTATTAACTTTAAAGTTGTGTTAAGCAAACGTGTTTAAATTAATATTTCAATTTCAAAAACCCTAATTTGAAACAATAAATTTTATCATTGTATACATTATGAGCTTTTAAGAATAACCAAAAAAATGAGGGTGGATGTTTTATGTGGAAGTTATGTGTATCCCTTTTCTGCTTTTGGCTAAGGACAGATACCTTAGAATTAGCTTTATGGCGCAGTCATCTATCTGATTATTTCAGTTAATATCATCTTAATATAATACAGGTTACTTGAGAAGAAAAACTCTTAACCCAGTATTGGAGAGATGCCAGGTAGGATACTAACCTTGATAGAGGATTTCATGTGAGAAAGAAAAAGGAAAATATTTTCCATTAAAAGTTGAGTTTTTATCTAAAATTCTCTTGATTTTCTAAAAAAACTTAATTTTTCTAAAAATATGTTGAAGAATTATATATAAAATTCACTTTGCTATATATATAGAGCAAGTGAATAATAGGTACACATTTCTAGGAATACCCCAAATATTAGAACCTATATACTAAAATCACATCAGGAAACAAATAATAGCGCCCCAGACATTCCATTCAAGCCTCCTGTTGGTTACTATTCCTAACTCCCCAGAGACATGCACTATCATCTAGTAACAACATAGGTGAGTCTTGCCTATGTTTGTACTTTGCGTAATTGGCTTTGTACTTCGTATAATTGAGCTACTAAGTCGTTTATTTTTCTCATTGATATATAGTATTCTGTTGTTAAGAGTACTATAATTTATTTATTTTACCGTTGGGCATTTTGAGGACTTTCAATTTGAGGTCATTATGAATTGTGTTCTGTGAACATTGCAGTACATTTCTTTTGGTTGACACTGAGAGTATTATGGATTCTAACCCCAAAGTGGCTACTTTCTTTTCTTACTTTCTTTTTTACTTTTTATTTTTTTGAGACAAAATCCAGCTCTGTCACCCAGGCTGGAGTGCAGTGGTGCAATCTTGGCTCACTGCAACCTCCACCTCCCGGGTTCAAGCGATTCTCCTGCCTCAGCCTCTCAAGTAGCTAGGATTACAGGCGTGCACCACCATGCCTGGCTAATTTTTGTATTTTTTTTGGTAGAAATGGGGTTTTGCCATGTTGGCCAGGTTGGTCTCGAACTCCTGGTCTCAAGTGATCCGCCTGCCTTGGCTTCCCAAAGTGCTGGGATTACATGCACGAGCCACCGTGCCTGGTTATATGTTATTTTCTTACAACCTAAATAAAAACCATTATGTAAACAAGACAAAATACTCAGTACATTTCCATAGTCAATGAATTTGTCTTTATTACTTGTATATAAATAATTATGAACTCCTTGAGTTCAGTTCCTTTTTCATTTCCTGACTCTATGGACTTGAACAAGGAAATTTAACCTCTCTGCTTCATTTGTAAAATGAAAAATAGTGATATCTACCTAAAGTGGTGGTGGTTAGATGGGAATAAAGTAATTTCTTTGTTTTTGTTTTTGTTTTTGTTTTTGAGATGGAGTCTCACTCTGTTGCCCAGGCTGGAGTGCAGTGGCATGATCTTGGCTCACTGCAACCTCTACCTCCTGGGTTCAACTGATTCTCCTGCCTCAGCCTTCCAAGTAGCTGGGATTACAGGCACCTGCCACCAGGCCCAGCTAATTTTTGTATTTTTAATAGAAACGTGGTCTCGCCATGTTGGCCAGGGTGGTCTAAATCTCCTGACCTCAGGTGATCCACCCACCTCTGCCTTCCGAAGTGTTGGCATTACTTGCGTGAGCCACTGTGCCTGGCATAGATGGGAATAAAGTAATTCTTATAAAGTACTTGGCTTAGCTGCTGGCAAATAATAATGCTTACTGATTCTTGCATATTACCCATAGTTTATTGGCTAACTTTATGTCTTCCTTAAATTATGAAATTCTATAAAGTATCCTTGTCTATTTTAAAATTATACTCATTTTTATAACTTACATGCTTTATTTGTATATATCCAGGATACTAGATATTTGTAATCCAAATTGGAGGTTATTTTTTGTCATTTGATTTTTTTTTCTGTAATGTGTGTTCTCACCACATAGAAGTTTTTACATTTTTATGTAGTCAGATTTATTCATGTTTTTATTTATGGTTATGTTAAAGATTATAGCTATTAGGGACCTATTTCTTCAGGGTTTATAATTTATGTATGTTGTTACAAATAGAGAAATTACTTTTTCTTTGACCCAATAGGTAGAGGGCACTTTTGTGGACTCAGAAAGCTTGCCTCTCCTATTTTATTTTAGGAAAATTTCTGAGATTCTGCCTCCTCATTTCCAAGCCAGAGTTTAAAATATTTACATTTTTACTTCATAGTGTTAAGACATTGTGTAATGTAAGTATAATGTGTAAAAAAAAATCTTAAAAATCTAATAGTGATTTGGCAGAGACCAAAGCATGGAGGGCCTTGAAATGCTGCTCTATTTGTTATCTATTATTATAAAGCAACTACCATAAACTTAATATCTTAAAACAGCACCCATTTACTTAGGTCAGAACTCAGGGCAGGCTCAACTGTGCTCTCTGTTTAAGGTCTCACAGGATTCAAATCAAGGTGTTACCTGGGTGGAGGCTCCGGGGGTGAATCCTCTTCTGGGGCATTCAGATGTGGGAGGAATTCAGTTCTATGCAGTTGTAGGGCTGAGCTCGCCATTTTCTTTTTCTTTTTTTTTTTTTTTTTTTTTTTTGAGACAGAGTCTTGCTCTGTCGCACAGGCTGGAGTGCGGTGGTGCAGTCTCGGCTCACTGCAACCTCTGCCTCCTGGGTTCAAGTGATTCTCATGCCTCAGCCTCCCAAGTGGCCGGGATTACAGGCGTGCACCACCATGCCGGCTAATTTTTTTTTTTTTTGTATTTTTAGCAGAAACGGGGTTTTACCGTGTTAGCCAGCATGGTCTCGATCTCATGACCTCGTGATCCTCCTGCCTTGGCCTCCCAAAGTGCTGGGATTACAGGCATGAGCCACCACACCCTGCTGAGCTCACCATTTTCTTACTGCCTATTGGCTTGGGTCACTCTCAGTTCCTAGAGGCCACTCTTTGGTTTTTGCTCCTGGCTCTTTTTATCTTCAAAGATAGCAACAGTGTATTGAAATGTTCCCTTGCTATGAATTTCCCTTTTGCTACTAGCTGGAGAAAACTCCAGCTTTCAAAGAGGTTATTTGATTAGATTAGGCAAATCTCCCTTTTGATTAATGCAAAGGCAGTTGATTGGTGGCTTTAATCACATCTGCAGAATTCCTTTGCCATATAATATATTAATGGCATTATCCTTGCCATGATATTTCATCATATTTACAGCCTCTGTATTAGGGTAGGAAATTTGGTGGGGTTGGTGGTATGTGGGCATTTTAGAATACTGCCTACCACACATTCTGTATTGAGGGGTTTGCGTGTGATTCAGAATATATTTGTATTCCTTTAGAAAGATTGCTGTGGAAGCAGGGAGGAGGATGTGGCAGAAAGGAAAGATACTGGCAGGAGAAAAATCCCACTCTTAGCAGTCTCCATTTTGATTTTGTAATGTCGTTTGATGTTATTTAACAGATGTTTCAATCAGAAATGTGTGTTTAATAGTATGCCAACTAGAATGATTAACCTGGACCAGAACAAGAGTCATAAGCCAGTCATTGAACTGTTCATTACTTCAGGTCAATTCATATACAGAATAATTTCATAGATTAGGTTTTATTTCAGTCAGCTTTATTTCACTTTCTAAAGTGAAGAGTTGTTTAAACCTCGGATCTCATTAACAGCATTTTAATAAACACAGTATTAGGGTGGGTTTACTTCCCTAGATGGCGAATCTCATGGATTATATGTTGATTCTTATTGGCTTAATTTTTGAATCGGGCATTATTTATTGTAATTCTTTAGTCTTACAGTTTTGCATGTTTGAAGCTATATTTTTTCCTCTGAATACCACATTTGCCACATCTCAGAGATATTTTTGATGTTTCTTAATCATTTAAAAATAATACATGATTTTTCTTCTTGATTGAAACTCTGCCGTTATATAGAAAGGACTTTTAAATTTTGCCAGTGGATAGATTTGGGAGTTTATCCTTATATTATGAATTTCTAATTTTTATTGTATTAGGTCTAGGGACGCATCTGCTTTTACTGGATATAACCTAGGAAATACCTGCTTTTTAAAATATGTGGACATTTCTTTATGACCATACATGTGAAGTTTTTTTGAAAATTCTATGTACATTTGAATAGGATGTTTTCTCTATTTTTGGAATTCAGAGATCTGCGTGTATTTTATGTGTCTGTTTGAATCAAAACCGATCATTGTTATTATTTATTTCATATCTACTTAATATCCTCATTTGAGAGCTATGTTAAAGTCTAATCTATGCATGTTATTTCTACTCAGCTTTACTTTCTATATGTGACATATATTTATTAGGTGTATAAACTTTAATGACTATGGCTTCTTTTGGAATTTACACTGCAACATAAAACTTATGTTATTATAAATTATCTTTGACTTGTTCACTGCTTTTTAGTTTAAATTCTGTTTCTTTGCAATTATTGCTATACCTGCATTTTTTGGATAGCGTTTGTGTTTTTTCCCCTCAAGTCTGTTTTTGAATTGTGTATGTCACTGTGCATTGTGCATATGTATGAATATATATGTATGTATATATATATATATACAGCCGCTCCTGTGTTGCTGTAAAGAAATACCTGTCGCTGGGTAATTGATAACAAAAAGAGGTTTAATTGGCTCACGATTCTGCAGACAGTACAGGAAGTGTGGTGCTGGCATCTGCTTCTGGTGAGGGCTTCAAGAAGTTTGAAATCATTTAGCCGGTTGCGGTGACAGGTGCCTGTAATCCCTGCTACTCAGGAGACTGAGGCAGGAGAATCGCTTGAACCTGGGGGGCGGAGGTTGCAGTGAGCCGAGATCGGGCCATTGCACTCCAGCCTGGGCAACAGAGTGAAACTCTGTCTCAAAAAAAAAAATAGATAATAAATTTAAAAAAAAAGTTTGAAATAACGGTGGAAGGAGAAAGGGGAGCAGGCATCTCACATAGCAAGAACAGGAGCAGAGGAGATGGGTGGAGATGCCATACACTTTCGAACAACCAGATCTTGTGAGAACTCACTCGTTATCGCAAGGACAGCACCAAGCCATGAGGGATTTGCCCCCATGACCCAAACACCTCCCATAAGGCCCCACCTCCAACATCGGGGATTACATTTCAACATGAAATTTTGGCGGGGACAAATATCCAAAGTATTTCATTCATTTTATATTATATATGTGTACACACACACACATACATAAATGAAGTCTGTAGTATAGTTACATGTAAAATATGTGTATGTGTTAAGTAGTATATTTTGCATATTTTGAAAGTTGCTGTCTTTTACTAGAGAATTTAAACTATTTACATTTGTTATCCGTGGACTTGAATGTTAGCTTAACAGACATTAAAATTTTGGTTTTAAATAATTTCTTATAGACCTAGGAAAATAATGATTTTTTGGGGGGTTTCTTTTTAATTCAGTATTGGTAATGAGAACTGATGCCCGATTCTTCTTTTTTTGTAATGATCTGTTTTCTTTTTTATGTGGCTCCAAGAATTTTCCTTTTATCCTTGTTATTTCAAACTTTCTGGGAAGTTTTTACCTGAAGCTGCCATTCAGGGAGTTTAAGGAGGCATTGTTACAGATCAAGAGTGAGTATTTTTGTAGGGATACAGAGATAAGTGGAACAGTGATAATGACTCTTTGGGTTTTAGATTCCTCATCTGTTGAATGAGGATTATGCCTAATTAAATGTTAGCTTTTATTATTAGATATATGCATAACTTTTCCTTTAGAATTTTGGTGATTATAATCCCTCCTATTTTCTCCCTTTCTGGTACTCATATAAAACAGACGTTACACCTTCTGGATCAGATTTTCATGTCATTCTACCTCTTTCTCTTGCTTTCCATCTTTGTTCTTTATTACTGCATCCTGGGAGAATCCTAGTTGCCTAACACTAAAAACAGATTGGTGAAGATTAAAAACAAATTTGGAGCATGGGGAGCCTTACAATACTTATTTATTGGAGCACGTAGCCTAAAACCATTGCTATAGTTGGTACAGAATAAATACTGGATAATTAATTAAATGAACTGTGGAATATTTAACTTCTTGGTATTTTTTTATGATACAACTTTAATCTCAGAAATTTTGTTCATTCTGTTGTGTTTTATAGATACATTTTGACAGATTATTTCAATCTATTAAATAAAAGTTTTGAAAATTCCTCAGACTCATTCTTAAAATTGGTAATATGAGTTCTCACTGAGTTTTTGTTGTTCTTATTGTGTTCTTGGATTAATATGGGAAAATATTTATAACATGTTACTTTTTTTCCTTTTCTTACTCCCTGTCTTTTTAATGACGAATAAAAGTAAAAAGAAAAAATGCTGTCTAGGAATTTTCATTATTGATTCAAATAAACCATTTAGTTGATAAACCATTTAAGGGCTTTTTTTTTTTTTTAATTTTTATAGACAGGTTCTCACTTTTGTTGCCCAGGCTAGAGTGCAGTAGCGTGATCACAGCTCACTGCAGCCTCAACCTCCTGGGCTCAAGCAATTTTCCCACCCCAGGCTCATGAGTAGCTGGGACTATAGGTGCATGCCAGCCACCATGCCTACCTAATTATTGTATTTTTTGTAGAGATGGAGTTTCACCACGTTGCCCAGGCTGGTTTCGAACTCCTGAGCTCAAATGATCCACCTGCCTCAGCCTCCGAAAGTGCTGGAGTTAAAAGCGTGAGCCACCATGCCCGGCCAAGAGCTGTTTACTTTATCCCTCCTTCCCAAATGTTAATTAGCTTTGTAATTGTTACTTATGTATTATATATTACTTATTATATTATTAATATTTTAACTTGCTTGATTTCTTTTATGTGTAGTGTATAAGAGTGTTGACATTTGAGAAGTTCCCTGTAGAAATCTATTCTTTGATATTGTCTATGATTTTACAAGTCCTTTTTATTTGGTTTAGGAAGATACATTCCAGACTGTGTATATATAGTAAACGTTTTCTTTTAATGCCGAGTGCTCTTCATTAGCTATTTAATTGTAACATATGGGTTTGAAGCGTTCCCCTAAATGTAGTGTTTTATTTTCCTTCTTTTATTCACTGATACCTTTATATGATATTGTAAATTAGTATGTTAGATATATTCCAGTACTTTTCGTAATAGTTTAGCTAATATAATATTTTTCATTGCAGATATGATTAAGAGAACATATTGGTGTTTCTAAAATGAGAAAGACATTGAGAAGCTGGTCAATTTAAATTATTTTCTGTTATTATGTACTTACCTCTCATTATATTTTATCTGCCAAGATTATTTTTAGTGCAAAAGGCTTCTGCAAAACTTGCCATATGGTATCAAAATAAGCGATTTTAGATTTTAACAATTTAGCAGAAATTAGTTATGCTAATGAGTTGTTATAAATATTTTTCAACAGATTGATTGTACTTTTTCTTTCGACATTTATGTGAACTTTCTGTTTGGACATTTAGACTACCAAGGTGTTGTATTTGCAGTTAATTCTGGGTTCTGTTAATGCACTAAACATATTTAGATACCTTGGGAGTTACAATATAAAAAATTACCTGTTTTGTAAAAGCTGGTTATTACACTTTATCAATGAAGACAAATATTTTTTCTGTGTTTCTAATACATTAATACCCTTGAGTGCCAAAATAGCACTGAAATGTTATTCTGTATACTTATAAATATTATATAAAATTAAAGTGTCACAACAGTAATTAGTGTTTATGAGTTATTTAGAAGCTTCTCCTGCTTCAGCCTCCTAAGTAGCTGGGACTACAGGTGCCTGCCACCACGTCCGGCTAATTTTTTGTATTTTCAGTAGAGATGGAGTTTCACTGTGTCAGCCAGGATGGTCTCGATCTCCTGACCTCGTGATCCGCCCGCCTTGGCCTTCTAAAGTGCCAGGATTACAGGTGTGAGCCACTGGGCTGGCCAAAGTTTTGTATCTCTTTCTTTTCTTCTTTCTGATTCGGCCCTCAGGAGTCATTTAGCTTTGTTATGTTGATTCAATGCAGTAGACTGATGACAGTGAGGAAGAGTTTGATAGTATGTGAAATACAGATTTACACATAAAACATTGAAAACAATTATAATTTTAACTGCTGTAGTCCCTGGTTAATTAGCAGAATATAAAGTCAGTGTAGTAACATGTGAAGATATCCACAGTAATGTTAGCAGGGTCCAACTGTCTCTGCTACGTGAGGCTCCAGTTATCTCAGCTAAGCTGTTTATGAGCCACACTCACAAACAAGATCACCAAAAGTTAAGACTTTTTGGTATATGTATAGGAACACTTATCTATTAGGGCCTGTTTGAAGCAGCATTTTTGGTGCTTTGGATACAAAGATAGTATGGTGCCTCAACTGAAGGATCTTGGATTAGGATGAGAAAAAGATAAACTGATCATGTAATGGCATAAGCAAGTAGGTACTATGTAACGGTGTAAACAAAAATTTATGTTAGATAGTCATTTCCCACAGAGAGATTTCATACTGTACAGTACAGGGCCCATCAGACTCTCTTCAAAGAAAATGATGCTCAAAATGGACTTGGGAGAATGAGGAAGAGTTTGTGAATCATTCTAAGGGAAAACTGAATAAGTAAATGCAACATTTTACATAATTTCTTCTGACTTCTTATGTGTTCACTTGCCCTAGACTGCCCCTCTTGTTTGGGGCTTATTTCTGTGTGTTTTACCACTTGCAAGATAATGGAGGCAGGTTGAAATGGGAAAGATACCAGATGACTAATTTTTTTCCCCCACATTTCCATCTTTTGTTAAGAAATTTGAAGTTGATTGCTACATTGAAGTATGTAGTTTTTTTTTTGTGAGTCTAACTATTTATGTCCCTGTTAACTTATAATTGATGAGTTTATTTTGTATTTATTTTTAGGCAGGGTAAAAAATAGTAATATGTCTCATAAATAATATATGTTCCTATTACTAGTTTTGGTGGGATTTAAAAACTTTATAATAATCCTCAATATAGAAACCTGCCCCTTTAACCATATTACTATTTGCTTTAAAAAAAAATCTTTAGGTTTTGTTTCAAAAATGCTTCACAATTTATTTTTGAAAATATAAGGAATGAAATTCTAACTTTCTAATTTGAATGGAAGGATGAGTTGGTAGCACACGAAGCACTAAATTGAGTAATGTAGATTTTATTATTTCTAACGAATCCTTTGTTTAATATTTTGCAGGTTCCATTTGTTTACTTGTGATGTACAGAGTTTTTTATACCTTCCCAGCTTATATTTGAATATTCCTTTTCAAGGTTTTATAAAGCGATTTCTCTCCTTTACCCCTTTCAGCGATGTGCATTTTGTAAGCACTTTGGAGCCACTATCAAATGCTGTGAAGAGAAATGTACCCAGATGTATCATTATCCTTGTGCTGCAGGAGCCGACACCTTTCAGGATTTCAGTCACATCTTCCTGCTTTGTCCAGAACACATTGACCAAGCTCCTGAAAGATGTAAGTTTACTACGCATAGACTTTTAAACTTCAACCAATGTGTTTACTGAAAATAACAAATGTTGTAAATTCCCTGAGTGTTATTCTACTTGTATTAAAAGGTAATAATACATAATCTTTAAAATCTGAGGGATCATTGCCAGAGATTGTTGGGGAGGGAAATGTTATCAACGGTTTCATTGAAATTAAATCCAAAAAGTTATTTCCTCAGAAAAATCAAATAAAGTTTGCATGTTTTTTATTCTTAAAACATTTTAAAAACCACTGTAGAAAGATGTAAATAGGGACTGTGCAGTATTTCTGACTTATACTATAAAATTATTAAAAAGTCAATCAGTATTCAACATCTTTTACACTAAAAAGCCATCCAGTTGAAGAATTAGAAGACAGTTCACTCAGGTGTTATTTCAGGATTTACGTTAATAGGAACACCAAACACTTCTGAAATTCTTGGAAATTGTGTATCCCTGATAGGTGTGATAGAAATCTCTGCTAGCACCTTTTCATGATTCATCTATCTTAGTCATCTGTAATCTGCAGTTGTGCTGTTTTTCTTTCTTTTCCAAATAGTATTTTATAATTCAATGAAAATGTTTAAATGCTTGAAATTTACATTATACAGGAAATTATAACTCTACTGTTGTATCATTAAATAGAGATCTCTCCTTTTTCTTACTATGTGTTTTCCCAATGAGCATGTATATTTTGGGATATTTTTTCTCCTAGTCTATTGAATTTCCAATCTTATTATGAAACCTCCATGATATTTTATTCAGTCTTTTTTATGTCACCTCTTAGTCACCTAATGTTAGCTTTTACCTGTTCCTTAGCAATGTTGATAAAAGCTTTTTTTCCTATCTTCTCCAGGTCTGTGAAACATAAGTATAGCTACCCCAGGCTTAAACTAATCTCAAATACGGTTAGTTACATGATCATTACCCTTTATCTTTGTTGAGTAACCTAATTTCATTTTCCATTAAAATTATTTTGTGTCCACATATGTAATCATATCACCCTTAGTAACCTAGTGTACAGACAAATTATAGGTAAGGCAAACCAAAATTTTAAATTATATTTAAGCTAATAAGGGATTTAAAGTTTTAAAATGCTTTAGATTGTACACTCTTCAATCTGGAAGAGAAGAACTTTCATGCACAGCAACTGTTGTGGCTACTATTTATGTACTGAGTTACTTCAGCAAGTGCATAAACTGGCAGTTATCAGAGTGGATTATATTCTGGGTGGCCTAATAAATATACTTTGTCATCTCAATAAAACAATTTTATGTGTATGTAAGAATCTGAATTTTATTCAGCCTTTTGTGTAGTCATGCTTTAGACCTCAGTAAACAACATGCAAACTTGTATAAGAATGTTGCTCTAATATTGGAACATTTTATTACTCAATGGCAGTGCTACTTTCTACTGAAAACTGTGTTCTAATAGTGTATACCTTCAGTTACATGTTAGTAATCATAAATTCGTTTGTAAAATAATAAACTAAATACTGAGGTGAGATAATTTGCTGTTGTTGATCATGTATATAATGAAAAGTTTATGGCAACATAAAGCTAAAAGATATACTAAAATTATGAGTACTCTGCCTTTTTCCAAAATAGACTTATGGAGACTCATAAAAATACATAAGCAATAGGATAAAACTAAAAATAAGTAAGGAAATTTGGCAATGGAAAATTTAGATAGGATAAATATGAAGATAATAGAGAGACCCCCCAAAAATATGTAATTCCAGACAAACCACAAATTTGGCCCCATACCTTTTCAACAGTCAATACAAAGAAGGAAATATGAGCCCTTAATCTGATTCTTACTATTTATAACATCACTTGATATAATGATATAATAATAAGACATCCCTTGATAGAATGCAATGAAAAATTGTCTTAAAGTAGCCACCTTGCAGTAGAAAAATACCAGTTTCATAGGGCTGTTTCTTATAGCAGCCTTCAAACTAAGTCAGTGGTATAAAATCAAGGCCTAAATGACTAAATTAGATTTCTTTGGTTTTTTTTTTTTTTTTTTTTTTTTTGAGATGGAGTCTCGCTCTGTCACCCTGTCTGGAATGCAGTGGCATGGCCTTGGCTCACTGCAAACTCCGCTTTCCGGGTTCAGGTGATTTCTCCTGCCTCAGCCTCCCAAGTAGGTGGGATTACAGGCGCACACCATAACACCCAGCTAATTTTTTGTATTTTTAGTAGAGACGGGGTTTCACTATGTTGGCTAGATTTGTCTCGGACTCCTGACCTCGTGATCTGCCCGTCTCAGCCTCCCAAACTGCTGGGATACAGAGGTGTGAGCCATCGTGCCCGGCCTCCTTGGGGATCTTAAACAGTGCATTCTAACTACACAGCGTTCTGACCCATCTGTTAAGACGATCATAATCTTGGATTAAGTTCCAAGGATATAATTTAAAGAATATTGCAGATAGGATGTTTTGTCACCTTTTTAACATCTTTTATAAATATTTCTTCCTATCCTAATTGTGTGTCATGGCAGAAGTTACTTTTTATGCTTTTAAAATGATACTGTCTTAAATCATAGTGTTATTATGAGGGTTAAATGAAAACAATGAATGGAATTCACATAACATTGTGCCTTGTATATATTAATTGCTTTAAAAAGCGTAGTTATTTTACCTCCTATCTAAAGCTTAAGTTATGAGAATGATAATACATATTGAGTATATGTATTTTCTGTTGCTTCCTAAAGGGCAGAGCAGTAGCTGTGATAGTTGACTGAGTTAGGAGTAAGGTTGACATCTTTTTATAAAAGTTGAGAAATTTAACAAAATCATGCATCTCATTATAAAGAAATCCGCTAAAGAGAGTATCTGTGAAGAAGGCCAAGATTTTCATCAGGAAACACTTTTAGGGTGCTCTGTCATAGGTAAATGGCTGGTCATTGTTGCAACATTGTTTTCATGATGATACAAGGATACGTTAACCTTGTCTGGAAATTTTACACTAAAAATCCATCTAGGAGATACAACCAGATATACTTCCTGAATAGGAAAACTGAATGGTAAGAAGCCAATCATGCAAGATAAGAGGAAAGAACATTCCAGGGAGAGGGAACAGACCACTACACAGACCTTGAGGAGTGGACTTGGCATGATTCATGAACAGACAGCATGTCATTTTACTTGGAGCATAGTAGCCTACTAGGTGGGGGTAGTAGAGACATCATCAAGGTGAACAAAGGCTAGATCATGTAGGCTTCTAAGCAAGGGAAGGAGTTTGGGTTCTGTTCGGTCTGCAATGAGAAGTTTTTGCAAGGTTTAAACATGGAAATGCTACACATCTTAATTCACCCCCTGTTCCTCAATGTATTTACTCATCATTTAGCTTTAATTCCTTTTACTTCACTTAAGCTTTAACTCCAGCCTCTTTTCTTTGGTTATCTTTGTATTTCTTGACATTAAGTCCTGCTGCTTTTCTTTTACCCTAAATTCTGTCAGTCCTCTGACCTTTCTTATCTACCTGCCAATGATACGGTCTAGCCTCTTTGGATGACATCCGTGATTTATTTTTTCTTTCCAGAGATTCTCTTTTATAGACAAATCACTCAGCCCAGTGTCCTGCCAGTGATGAAAATTGGCAGATGATAGGGTGTGATGGAAATTAGAAAGCAATGCTGATTTGGTCCTTCTTCAATTCACACTGTATGACAGCTATTTTGACTTTTCTTGCTGTTCACCAATGCTTTTATTCTTATGTGTTGTCTGGACTTTCTTAAGCAATAGTTTCATCAAGTTTAAGGATCTGTGATAAGCTCTGTTCTAATTTAAGCTCAATGTTTTTGTCTTTTTTATTTATCTCTTCTCTTTTTACAGCTGTCTCTTAGGAAATGACCTTTTCTAAAGATGATCATTTTGTTTCCTCTCACTTTTCTCCTGCCATAAGAACCTTGCTCCCTTTACTTCATTTAGCTTCATTGTATGCCACTGTTGGCATTTCGTGTCTACTTTTGTGTATACTCAAATACTCATCACTTTCATTGATCACTAGTAAAGTTTGCTGAGGAGTCAGTTTGATTAGTAGTCAAGAGCCTGATCTTAGAAGCCAAATAGACCTGGATTTTACTCCTCTCCCCTCTTAAATTATCTTTAGTTATAGCCTGTCTTTTTGCTTTTTCAACTGTTTAAAGAAAAATTTCTTAGTTGATTATTGCTTTAAACTTAATGTCTCTGGCTTACAGACATGTGTGTCTAAATATTCATATTTAATTTCTATGATGACACCAAACCTATCCAGTAGTATTGATAATCTTCTTATACACGACCTCCATAAGGTTGTTTCAGTATTCCCACACATCTTCTCTCTGACTGGGAGGGTTGGAACCAACCTCATTTCTTTGTGTAGTGCTTTTAAAAATAATATTGTTTTTCACATAAGGCATATTAAGTGTTTTTGCACCAGATGTATTACATGGATGTTTTTCTTTGACTAATTTATTACCAATGATCCATAGTAATCAGATAACACAGCAAGGTTGTCAGTAAGGAATTGGTGGAGATCATCATAGTCTAAAATGTGATTTTTGTGACAATGACAGTTGTCTTGTTGCAGAGTGAACTTTGTTGTATATAACAGTGCTGTGCAGTGTAAATATAATGTGAGCAACATAAGTAATTTTTCTAGTGGGTATGTTAAAAATTTGAGGAAAAGGAAACATTTGGGAACAATTGTAGTAAATTTTATTTAATTCAGTAATCCAAAATAGTAATATTTCAAATTTTGAGATACTTTTTCCCCATTAAGATTTTGGAATCCAGTGTGCATTTTATGCTTACTGCATACCTCGATTTGAACTAATTACATTTCACTTGTTCAGAAACCACATGTCGCTAGTAGCTACCATGGCAACTTGAAGTGTCAGGGGAGCAAACTCTAGAAAGTTTCACAGAAGCATTTTAGTGTTCCTAGGAGAGTATAATAGAAAAATGAATTGATTATCTGATAATTAGTTTCCGATAATTAGTTGAGTATTCCCCCAATTTTTAAAAGTTTTACGGTGAGCAAAAAGAGATCAATTTTTCAATGTACATATTTTGAAAGACAAATACTAGTACTCTCTTAATAATGAGAAACATAACATCCCAGTTATGTCCTTTCTATCAAAA
Organism: Homo sapiens; assembly: GCF_000001405.40. NCBI lineage: Eukaryota > Metazoa > Chordata > Mammalia > Primates > Hominidae > Homo > Homo sapiens. The sequence continues at coordinate 137,977 of NW_011332699.1, forward strand.
ATGAACCAATTTATGATGCTTCCATTGTTAGATTAATGATTTATTTTAAATGCCTATCACTTAAAGAGCCATTTAAAAGTGATTTTAGCAGTAAGTCCTTCACTTAAAATATGTTCAATAAGACTTGATTCATGTTAGGCAGTTGGGGATACAAAGTTAAAAAAGTTAAGGCCCCTGTCCTTCAAGGATTCACAGAGTTGTGCTGTAAATAAATGATTATGTAACAGAAGTTTCTTGTAAGCATATGGGTAAAAGTAATATTCAACAACTAAATGGGTATTTGGGTGTGGTAATAGGTATTCAGGAAATAATGTGCAGATTTTTTTTTTTTGAGACAGGGTCTCACTCTGTCCCCCAGGCTGGAGTGCCGTGGCATAAACTCTAGTCACTGCAGCCTCCACCACCTGGGTTCAAGCGATTCTCCTGCCTCAGCCTCCTGAGTAGCTGGGACTACAGGCATGTGCCACCACACCCTGCTAATTTTGTATTTTTAGTAGAGATGGGGTTTCACCATGTTGGCCCGGCTGGTCTCGAACTCCTGACCTCAGGTGATCCATCCGCTTTGGCCTCCCAGAGTGCTGGGATTACAGGCGTGAGCCTCTGTGCCCAGCCATGAGCAGAGTTTTGAAGGCTGGGAGCACAGCAGAAAAACCAAATTTCAAGCAGAGGGAACAGAATGTGTAAAAGCACACAGACATGAATAGCATGTTATGTGAGGTGCATGGCAGACAACCCACCATGACCACGAAATAGTGAGTGGTTCTGAGATTCAGTTGGAAAGGGAGATAAGGACCTTTTTGCCTCATACTTGAAAATTCTGATTTTCTTTTGGGTGAAAAATGAGGTATTGGTGGAGTTTTAATTTATACAGAGGTTAACAATTAGATTTACATTTTTGAAAGATTGTTCTGGATGTGTAGAAAATGATTTAGAGAGGATGTCAGAACCATAAGTAGAGATGATTTGATGCAGAAGATACTGCAGTTAGCGAGACAGAGTATTAGGTAGGTGCAAAGGTAATTGCAGTCTTTGCCATTAAAAGTAATGTCAAAAACTGCAGTTACTTTTGCACCAACCTAGTATGATAGACTAAACTATAAACATATAAAGAAAGAATGATGTGTAGGAAGTTTAATACATAAGAATTGGGATCTGGCTGGATGTGTTGGGTCAAAGCTGAGTTCAGAGTCAACAATGATACTAAGGTTTCTGCCTTTATCTGTTCTTGAGAAAAATGGATGCTGTTTCGGGTTTTTAAAAAAGTTTCACTTTAGAGCAGTTGAGATTGAGTGTTTAGAACACTTGGCTATTGAGATCCAGTAAGACTTGAAGAATAAAGGTTTGGGGTTTATGAAAGAATTCTAGGGCCAATAATACAGATTTGGGAATCATGGTGGCATTTTATGGCGTGAGAGTTGATGTGATCACAAAGGGAAACTATGGGGGATTAGGAAAGAAGGAAAAGGATGAAATCCTAAGAAACTCCAGCATTTAGAAAGATTGTATAGGTACAAAAGCCAACAAAGGAGGATGAGATGAAAGTGGGGGAAAACTAAGGAGAAATTAGGAGAGAGTTGCCATGATAGAAACAAAGGAAAGGGGCGTTTTAATGTGGGAGTGGCTAGCAATGCAAATGCTACAAAGTGCAAAAAAGCCAAAGACTAAATCGGGTTTCCTATGGGCATTGGCAGCCTCACTAATGTAGCTTCAGATGAGTATTAGGTGTTAAGCCAGCCTTCGTGAAGTATGTCAGAGGTCCAGCCAGCGTCCACATTTTGAAGCCTGTTTTTGTACTGCCCTCAAGCGAGGAATTATTTTTACATTTTTAAAAGAGTGTAAATAAAAACAAAAGGTCTGACTTTTTGTCAGAGACTGCTATGGCTCACAAAGCCTTAAATATTTACTACCTGGCCCTTTTCAGGAAAAGTTTGCAGACTCCGGTACAAATAAAAGAAATATATTTTTACTCTGTTTCAAGATGCTTGACTGGAAAAGAAAGAATGTATGAGTCAGAGAGAAATTGATAGGATTGACCAAACCTTCAAAAAATGGGAAAAAGGCTGAGTGCGGTAGCTCACACCTGTAATCCCAGCACTTTGGGAGGGTGAGGCAGGAGGATTGCTTGAGCTCAGGAGTTTGAGACCAGCCTGGGCTATGTGGTGAAACATCGTCTCTACTAAAAATATAAAAATTAGGTGGGCATGGTGGCACACGCCTGTAATCCCAGCTACTGGGGAGGCTGAGGCGTGAGAATCCCTTGAACCTGGGAGGCAGAGGTTACAGTAAGCCTAGATCGCGCCATTGCTCTCTAGCCTTGGTGACAGAGTGAAACTGTCTAAAAAAAAAAAAGGAAAAATAATGGTTCATATACTTTGTGATACTTGTTAAATACAGGCATATTTATATATATTATCAAAGGTTGGTATGATAAGCTTGACTGGAAAAGAAAGAACATATGAGTCAGAATAGTAGATAGGAATGATCAAACCTTCAAAAAATGAAAAGATTCATATACTTTGTGATACTTGTTATATACAGGCATATTTTTTATACATTATCTAAGATTAGTATGATTTTAGAATACATTATTTTCCTTATTTTGCAATATGCATAAGTTTAACTGTATATTTGTCAGGGCAGTTTATCCTTATATTTTCTGTTTTATATGGTAAAAGAACTGTTAGTACATTTTCTTTTAATCCACATTTAGGGATGGATGATGTCCATAATTATGTGGATTTTAATGCTTTTACAACTAGAAATTAATATAGATGAATATAGAATTAGTATATTAAGTAATGTGTTTGTGTATGAATATGTAGCTTCTGTCTTTAATGTTCTTCCACATAAGACATTTTCCAGTAATCAAAAAAAAGCCCTTATGTGATTTGAATAGTCTGTTTATGCTTAAGAAGCATCTTAGTCTAATTGATATTAACGTTTCTTAATTTTGTCTCTTGTCTGATTTTGTAATTTCAAAATATATTTAGCATTCAAAGAAAATGTTTATGTTACACTGCAAAGCATTTCTTAGTTGGTATTTTCCTTGTTTGGTTCTTTGCAGTGAGCATATATTGAGCATTAATTAGGTATCCAGCATTATCATTGGCATTAGGAATAGAAAATTAAAGAAGACCTGCTTATGGTCTTAAGTAGATATAGCCACAAATAATTGCAAAACTATACGATTAAATTTAATGTGGTTACATTTAGATTAAATACCCTACAGTGTTTTTATTGATACCTCTTTCTGATTAGATGACAATTCAATGTGAATAACTTCAAATGTCTGAAAGGTTCATGATGCAAATCCTTTCAAATGATTTTACTGTGTAGTCAGAAAAAATTTAAATTCTTATACAACAATTTCATTGTTTTACTGTTAATTATAGCGAAGGAAGATGCAAACTGTGCAGTGTGCGACAGCCCGGGAGACCTCTTAGATCAGTTCTTTTGTACTACTTGTGGTCAGCACTATCATGGAATGTGCCTGGATATAGCGGTTACTCCATTAAAACGTGCAGGTTGGCAATGTCCTGAGTGCAAAGTGTGCCAGAACTGCAAGTAAGTTTTCATTTCAATTCAAAGCTGTGTATTGGGTTTAAGAGGGACCCTATTACTAGGCGCTAAAAGTTTGTGTAATATAATAGAGGTTGTTCATATTTTGGCTGTATTCATTCAGAGTGACTTCATCATACTTAAAAAAATTACTGGATATTAACGTTTATATTATTTTGAAAGAAGTCTAAACAAAACTGATTTTAATCATTTAAATTGCTCTGATCTTCTAAAGAGCTAATTTAAATTTACCAACAGTTTAAAAAATAAGCGATATTAACAATTTAAAACAAGCATGAGAAGAATAAAGTAGCTTGTCTTCAGGGGCACCGGGGAGGGGATGTGATAGGATTTAAACCTCTCACTACAGACGTAGAAGAATTAGAGTTGAGTCAAAACGTCAGTCATGTGTTTGAATTTCCATTCCAGGAAGGACACTTTCTACTATTATTTTAATGTACATCTGCATCTCTCTAAAAGCCACCTTGAGTAGATCCTGGTCAGCATAATTCCAAAATGAAATATGTGGCATTTACAAATTTGTAAGGGGGTTATCTTTTCCTATTGTATTTCATCTCTTGGTCATTTCTCCAGTCTTTTCTGTGATTTCCGCTTGCACCCCCATGATTCTAATGAGCATGATAATTTGGGGATGTTACCAGCATCTTCATTTACAGGCTGAGAATTTTTGTTGTAACCAGCAAGAATTATGCCCAACTGCCATGATCAGTCTGTTTTTATTATTTAGTTTTATAAGAAATAAGCGTCAATATCTTAGAGTTACATGACATAAATAGGACTATGTACCTTCATATTTTGGTAAAAATTAGATAAAATATTCAGTAAACATTTATTCGATACCTTGTATCTGCACTCAGTTTCTTGGGAAGGATTAAAAGAGCTTGAAGGAAGAGTACTTGTCCTCCAAGATCTTTGCATGTAGCTGAAGAGATAAAACATGTGACTTTTTATGGAGAGGTTGAACTGAATAATAATTGGAGGCCAACTGACCCATCTTCCTGTTGACTTCTGTTTATCCCCCAGATTTCATTCAGAGATTCCTCTCTCAGCTCTTCTTGCTTTCCCTGTTTTTTTCTCTTCCCCTCCTCTTGAATTTAAAATCATAGTATCTGAAAGTAATTATAGTCAAAAATCTCAACAGAGATAACGCTGTAGGACAGGGGCCCAATCTTTGGGGGCAGAAGAGTGTTTAAAGAAAGGTTTTAGGTTTTCAATTATAATTCTTAATAATTATGACAAGATTCGTCTTTTGAAATAATTATTCAGCATTTAATTGCTTAATAGACATTCTAAGCACTTGAACCTGCATTACATTTAATTCTCACAGTAATGTTTATTATTCCCGTTTTATACCTGAAACTCAGAGAGCTTTAGTCTAAGTTGTTTAGTGACACAGCTAGAAAACAGCAGCCTGAATACAAATAGAGATCTGATGCCAAATTTGATCCTCTTTATGTTATATGACAGTCTTTTCAATTTGCTGTGCCAAGATTTGATCTTTCCACACAGTAGCACATAGCAGTTATAGCGCCTTCCTCTCAAAAATTATATTTTAAAAGTAAAGATCAGAGGCTATTCATCTTGCCTTAACCCTTCCTCCTTTGCAGGAATCCTAAAATGGCTAGAGCAAGTTAACCATAGGTGAGCATTGAGTAAAGATCACCATTTAGGAGGGAATCCTTATGGTAGGGTTACCTCTGTTACTATCTGCAGAGACAAAACAGATACTGAGGTATTTATGAACTGTGCGGTTCCCAGGACTGATGATTTTCATGATTACTTATGTTGCAAAACATAAGTTTAAAGATAAGCCATCATTAATGCTATCTTACTTTTTAGACAATCGGGAGAAGATAGCAAGATGCTAGTGTGTGATACGTGTGACAAAGGGTATCATACTTTTTGTCTTCAACGAATTATGAAATCTGTACCAACCAACGGCTGGAAATGCAAAGTAAGTTGTTTACTTTTTTAAATCCTCTGTATGTTTTATATGGAGAACAGACAAATCGGATATCTATTCAAATCTATACATTACCATCAGCTTTTTAAAAACAGCTTTATTGACATATAACTGACATACAGTAAACTGTACACTCTTCAAGATAATGAACATAGTCATCACCGTCAAAGTTTCCTGGTGCCTCTTGGCTTGCTTTGTGGCTGTTCAAACCCAAACCCTCTGTCTTCCTAGTCTGCTTTTTCACTATAGATTAGTATTCACTTCCTAGAATTTTTAATAAAAGCTTCATATAGTATATACTCGTTTTTGGTCTGGCTTCTTTAACTCAGTGTAATTATTTTGAAATGCATCCCTATTGCTGCACAGATCAGTAGTGATTCTTTTGTATTACTGAGTGCTGGAGATACCACAATTTGTGTATTGAATCACCTGTTGGTGAACATTTGGGTCCTTTAAAATTTTGAGCTATTATAAAAAATGCCGATGAACTCATTAACTAACTTCCTACCTCACTTGGCTTCTGCCCCTTCAGGGGGAGGCGTTCAGAGCCGGGTTGGGGGCAGTGGGGTAGTGGAGATAGCCCTTGGAATCCAAGGTGCGGTTTAGCTTTTAAGCTTAGTCTTCCTGGGCTGCTGGTGTCGCGAGGTTGAGGGATGGAGATGACCCTCAGGTGCTGCATGGGCCTGGAGCGGGTTCTCCCTGGAGCTGGAGAGGGCGTGATGGCCCGTGTGCAGGAGTGGAAGGCACAGCATTGTCATTGCCCTTCTCGGAACTGCTTTTTCTAGGGAGGAGGTGGAGGGCCTGGGAAAGGAGGGTGATGTGGCCAGAACCCCAGGTCCCTGGTGTGGGCAGGAGGTGGGAGCAGATGCAGAGAGATTCTGTACCTGCACCCTGTCCTCGCCAGTGAGGTTTGGCACCTAGAACTGCAAGCAGTATTACCAGGTTCTGTTGTGGTCTTCAGCAAGTTCTACTAGGCATCTGCCTGAGTGGTGGGGGTTGAGGGGAGGGGCTTTCTCTCCTGGGGGGAAAAAGAGCTGCTGGGTAACTGTGCTCAGCTGTGGCTACCTGGGAAGTGGGACCTGAGGGCTGAAGGATTGTGATGAACTCTGGCCTGCTTCCTCAGGTAGTTCAGATTCCTTCTCTTGCTGAATGACATCATTGGAAAGGAAAAACTCTGCTGTTTGACTGATTTGTATATTTACACTCTTATCTTCACTCAGTTCCTCTACTTGCCTTTTTACTTTTAATATGAAGTTGAATTTGTAATTCATTGTCTTTCCTAAGGAAAAAGGACATTTAAGACTATAAGTTTACCTTAGGCTATAGCTTTGACTGAAGCCAAGTTTATTGTATTTGTAACTTTATGTATGTATATACCTTAGCGAATAACTTTGTTTTTTTTAAGTTGTGCTGAAGTATGTTAATTTATGCTTACATTTCATTTAATCAGAGAATTTAACTAAGGTAGGTTTCTTAAAATAAATGTTTTGATACTTGAAGTATTGACTTTTTAAAGGTGTAGCATTTGTGTTTATTAATTTCATTTAGTTAGATGAAGTCCTTTTACCTTATTTTTTGACTTGTTGATTCAACAAGTTACAATTGACCACTATTAATTGTTCCTATCAATTTATCATATTTTTAAACAAATAACTTGTGGCTGTTATTTAGCAAGTAGGTCAGGCCAGTGTTAATATATTGTGTTTTTTACCAGTATAAAATTGTTCTTTATTCTATGTAATGTGTTTTTTGTTGAGGGATCAGGAAGGGCAGGTATTTTGCTTTGCCTGACACTATGGCCACGTAGGGTGTTAGTTTAACGGTTGAATGGTTATCTTTTCACATCTTATTTTGGATTCTTTTGTGTTATAAAAATGTATCTTTTGAAAAGCTTAATAGAGGTAACTGGATTGACGGTTGTAATTGAAATGCTTGGCTGTTTTGAGGCAAAATTTTTCTATTTTTCTCTTCTTTTACTTCCTGCAATGATTTATAATTCAGAATCTCATTTTGTGAATGTAAATGATTATAAATATTAAAGATATAAATTTTCTCCCATTCCCCACTGAAAATAAAGTTTTTATTCCCCTTTTCTCTGTTTGATTCGATTAACCTAGATTGTAAACCCTGTCACAATTTTCTTGCAAAAATATATTTCCTCTGTTAACTCCAACTTTACCCTCAACCTTTCAGAGTCTTGGTTGTGATCCTTTAAAAATAATTATAAAGTTTTTGAAACCCTACATGTTGGAAAGAGACTGTTCCTTTTAGGCTGGCTATAAGAACTTGGCACAGTATAATGTTTCATATTACAAATTTTTCTTTTTTATACTCTGAAAACATTTTCTTCAGTTTTTTCAGTTTATGCTGTCACGAGAAAAATCTTAACTTGAAAAAATTTAATCATAATCCTTTTTTTCTTCCTGAAAGCTTTGGGAGATGTGTGAATCCCCATCCCCGCCTCCACCCCCCGCCCCAGCACCTTTTTAAAAAAATATATTTACTTTAAAAATTACCTTCTTTACACTCTCTAATAATATCTAGTAACTACTGGATAATTTTTGTCTCTTGCTCTTAATCTTCTTTATTATGGTTTTCATTGTCTTGAGAACTGGTAGAGAATTCTGGGTGTCTTTCTCAGCTTGTTCTGTCTCCCCTTTGGTGTGCTTCTTTTCGATTTGCTCTTTGTAATCTGCTATTCTCTTTTGAGAGTGACAGGATTACATAATTTCTGGGAATACTATTGGATACTTAATCTTTTTATTCTGTTCTATGAAGGCACTATAGTGTGGTGGTTAAAAGCTTATGCTGTGGAGTCAAACTGCAGTTTTTTCAGTTACTAAATTGATGATCTTTGGCTACCTGTTTAACTTCCCTAAGTCAGTGTATAGAAGGTTAACGGTACTTACCTCACAGGGATGTTGGATTTAATGAAGTGGTATCTATAAAGTGCCCAGCACAATGCCTAACACAAAGTAAGTACAGAAACAGTTACCATAGAGTTTTTCATGGATTGAAAGGTTTGTCCTTTGAACCATTTGAAGAATGATCATCTTTCTCTGCTGTTGAATTCTTCTGTAGTTCTCTCTGTAGTCTTGAGTCATAATTTGCTCATTTGTTTGCATTTAACATTTGAGTGTTTACTGTGTGCGAACATCACTGTAGTGAAGGCTGGAGATGTTGGGGCAAATCAGTGTGCCCCCGCGGGGCTGTCAGTCTAGTTTGGGGCTGCTCCCTGGTGAGCTGGAGTGGGGTTGATCTTTTCAGGATCTTTATTGTAAACCAGTCATTGTCAGATAGGTTTCTTTTTCCTACTTTTATCTCAAGAATGTCTGTTCTTTGGTATGTTATGCGTTTTTAGAAAGTTTTTACTTGAAAATAAGTTCAAACTCTAAAAGTTGGAAAAAATAAAAATAATACCCATATCCCATTTACTTAGATATATCTGTTGTTAGCATTTCATTATCATTGGGCATGCCCTCTCTCACTTTCTCTGTGTGTGTGTGTGTATGTGTGTGTGTCTGTGTGTGTGTCTCTATTCCCCCAACCCCCTACTATTTGAGGGTTAATTACATACATTGTGCCTTTTTACCACCATTTCAGTATGTATTTCTTAATAGTAGGAATATTCTTAAAAAATCACAATCCTGCTATCAACTTCCTAAACTTACATCAATGCCATATGTTTATCTAATGTACCAGCCATATTACAGTTATGTCATTTGATCTGATGTCCTTCATAACCTACCCCTTCCTCCAAGTAGGTTCTAGGATTTAGTTTTTGTCATTGGTATTTTTGAAGAATAGAGTTCTTCTCGATATACTTGTGTTTTTCTTTTTTCAAACAGAAATTTCCCCATTTTGTTTTTGATAACCCCTTATAATTAGATGAGAGGCATGCATTATTGGCCAGAATACTGCAAAATGCTGATCCATCCTCAGGGTATCACAACTGGAAGCACACATTATTCCACTTTCCCTCATGAGAATCACCTGGTCAGGCTGTTGCCCAATTTCTATTCCCCCCTCCCTTGTATCTAATAAAGCAGTATGTGAGGATACTTTAAGACCATGCAAATATCTTGCTTTTCCTCAGAATTTCCTTCTAGATTTGAAAAACTTACTCCCTAGGCCGGGTGTGGTGGCTCACACCTGTAATCCCAGCACTTTGGGAGGCTGAAGTGGGTGGATCAGTTGAGGTCAGGAGTTCGAGATCAGCCTGGCCAACATGGTGAAACCCTGTCTGTACTAAAAATACAAAAATTAGCCAGGCATGGTAGCGGGTGCCATGTAATCCCAGCTACTCAGGATGCTGAGACCGGAGAATCGCTTGAACCCAGGAGGCGAGGTTGCAGTGAGTTGGACTCATGCTACTACACTCCAGCCTGGGTGACAGAGATAGACTCTGTCTCAAAAAACAGCAACAACAACAACAACAACAACAACAGCAACAACAACAACAAACTTACTGCCTGATGATGCCATTTTAACATACTTTCTTTTGGTTGCAAATGATGCATTTCCAGGTCTAGCACTCCCACCACATTTACCAGTTAGCCCTCTGCTTTCTTTTGTAAGCAAGAACACTTCTTTCACATGTTAAGCTTACTTACTATTAATATTGACTCATGAACTCCTATTATCTTCAATCATTTACAACTCATTACCTAATTATTTTTTGGCTCAAATAGTCGCATACTTGCTGTCAGTTGCTCCTTCAAGCTGGCACTGGTGTTCTGCCCTCACCGCTTTTTTGAACATTTCATACTTTTTGGTGTAACAAGATGTTACAAGCTCATCTTATACCTCCCATGCCCGAGTCCTGGAATAAGTCCATTGTTAAATAAGTAACCCAGATTCCTTTAGTGGGGAATGGGTGCTGGGTGCGCTCATTGCTACTGGAGGGTGTTTGCTTCTTCACCCTTTCAGCAGGTGGTGTCAGGAAATACATGCATGTGTATACACTTACAGATGTTTGTCCAACCCATGGCCCGCAGGCTACATGTGGTCCAGGATGGCTTTGAATGTGGCCCAACAGAAATTTGTAAAATTTCTTAAAACATTATGAGGTGTTTTTTTTTTTTTCGGTGTGGGTGTGTGTGTGTGTGTGTGTGTAGCTCATCAGCTGTCATTAGTGTTAGTGTATCTTGTGAGTGGCCCAAGACGATTCTTCTTTCAATGTGGTCCAGGAAAGCCAAAAGATTGAACACCCCTACACGTTATGTATATACACATAAATATTCATATACATATACATAACTTAGAAATAATGAATTTATACCAGCACCTCCAGTTCTTATCCTTCTCCACTGAGTTCTTTGCCTTTTCATTCTTGCATGTCTGTTCTCCTACAACAAAAATTCTGGGTTGTAGAACAGCACATTTATTCAGTTGCTCAATCTAAAAAGCAAGTCTGCTTCAGTTTGCTCTCAGTAATAGATTTTATTCCCCTTTTTCTTAGTGATTTAATTTTTTAAATATAGAAGGTATTAGTACACTTTCAAAACTCAAAACTATATGAAATTTTGCTCAGAATTGTCACTGTCTCTTGTTTATTACTTATACCGCATTTCCCCCAGCCTCTTGGAAGTAACTAACTTCATTGTTTTCTGTTTTAAACCTCCTGTTATTTTTCATCTAAGAATAAGAGGATATATTGCTCTTTCAGTGAAGGTAGCATGTTGTATATGTTCTTTTGCATGTTGCTTTTTTCATGTAATAAAATCTGGAAATCACTTCCAGGCAAGTTAGGCAAGTTCAAGGGATCTCATTCTCCTTTTAAACAGCTGCATAGCACTCCATTGTGTATCTGTGCTATGGGTTACTCAACCAGTGGCCTGTGCTTTGGTATTTCAGTAGTTTATGATATTTTGCATTATAAATGATTTTACACTCCCTGGCTTTGTGCATGTGTGTTTTTGAATTCTCAGGGACAAATCTGTAGGGTAAATTCCTAGGATTATTGCCTCAGGAGTGTACACATATGTAGCTTTGTTAGATACTGTAAAATTCCCTTTTTGGGGGCTTATGGCACTTTGCATTGCCACCAGAGATGTGTGAGAGAACTTTTCCTACGTCTTTGCTAACAGGATGACTTGTTTAGCTTTTGAATGTTTGTCTGTCTTCTGGGTGAAAAGTAGTGTATCAATGTAGTTTTAATTTTTGTTTATCCTAAGAGTGAAGTTGATCATTTTTTCATGTGTTTAAGGGTCAGTTTTTATTTCTTCTCATGAATTGTCTGTTCATGTGTTTTGCCTGTTATTGAAGATTTTGGCATTTTTCCCTAAATTTAAGAGTTCTTTATAAGTTAGGGATGTAAGCCTTTATATGTGTTACATGATGCAGATACTTTCTGCTAGCTTATTTGTTCTTTTTTTTTTTTTTTTTTTTTTTGCTTATTTGTGTGAGACAGTGTCTCACCCTGTCACCCCAGCCATAGTACATTGGTATGGTCATAGTTCACTGTAGCCTTGACCTAGGCTCAAGCAATCTTCCTGCCTCAGCCTCCCGAGTTAGCTAGGAGTTATGTGTACCACGAAGCCCAGCTAATTTTTTACTTTTGTAGAGACAGGGTCTCACCATGTTATCCAGGCTGTATTATGTGTCTTTTGACTTTGTTTTTATTATTTTTTTTTTTTGCCATGCAAAAGTTTCTTTTTGTGGAGTTAGATTTATTAATCTTCTTTTGCTTCTGGATTTTTGAGTCATATTCAGAAAGCCTTTCCCTACACTGAGGGTATAGAGGACACAGATAGTCTTCTCATTGCTGGTAAGCAGTATGTTCATATTGTCTAATTTGATTGAGTTATAAGATAGTGTCTTTATCCCAAAGGCATTTTTGCAATTGCTGTATGTATCTACATTACAGTAACTAAATCTTTTAGTTGAGAGATTCTGGAAAAGAATTGACAATGGATCTAAAGTAGGTTAGTTTCTCTTGAAAGGCTTTTTTTTTTTTGGAGGGGGGAGGTCATGATTAAAAATATTTTGTACTACCAGATCTGTTATTTGGTAGTTTTCTTTTATCCTTACCTGTAGTCTTTCAATAAAGTGGGAAAGAAGATGAGATTTCAGTTTGGTATCAGTTTGGTATCAGAACATGTATAGGCCTGGGCAATATAGTGAGACCCTATCTCTACAAAAATAAAAAAAGTATCTGGGCATGGTGACACATGCCTGCAGTCCCAGCAGCTTGGGAGGCTGAGGTGGGAGGACCACTTGAGCCCAGGAGGTTGAGGCTGCAGTGAGCCATGTTTGTGCTACTGCACTCCAGCTTGGGTCACAGACTGAGATCCTGTATCAAAAAAAAAAAAAGAACATAGATAAATAGATAAATTTTAGTCACTTATTGGTAAATGAGGCTAGCAGTGTCTTTTTACTATAACTTAAAAATTACCTTGATGAGATTGAGTTAAAGGTTTAACATACTGGTATCCTGATTTAAAATTTACCGGTGACTATGTTTCTGATATCTAAGTTTATAGATTTCCTGAGATTAGTCTTTTAATTTACAGACAATGATGAAGAACGATTATATGCAAAGAATATTTTGGCTAGGTTGGCAGGTATGGTTAAGCAAAATAAATATTGGTGGTTAGCAAATCTTTTCTGTCTGTGCTTTTGAGTCTATAGTAACTTTGTCGCATCTGGGTATCTACTATTAGAAAATGCCTACACATTCTAGATCAGTCTTTACTTTTTAACTTAGGTACCTCACATAACATGATTGATCCTCGATTTCTTAAGTAAAAAATGAGTATGAGGACTTTTCCTGTGTAATTTTCAATCCATTTGGAAGTACTTGTGCTGTAAAACATGTTTTCATTAGGTTTTCTGGTGTGTGGCTGATTCTAATCCAAAAATCCTTGTGTACTTTGGCTTTCACTCACTTAATAATTGTCTGCTTTGATGAATACCTTCTGATTTAAGTTCTAGTGTAGCCAAATGTTTTATATATCTATAGTTAGAAAATTTAAAATTGGTTTGTACATTACCATAACAAATGTTCTGAATTTTGTAATATCATCCCAACATACAGTGAATACCGAATTGGAAAAACAGATTTCTAATGAGGCTGATAGTGAAGAAATGAAAATGTCTTCTGAAGTGAAGCATATTTGTGGCGAAGATCAAATTGAAGATAAAATGGAAGTGACAGAAAACATTGAAGTCGTTACACACCAGATCACTGTGCAGCAAGAGCAACTGCAGTTGTTAGAGGAACCTAAAACAGTGGTATCCAAAGAAGAATCAAGGCCTCCAAAATTTGTCATTGAATCTGTCACTCTTCCACTAGAAACCTTAGTGTCCCCACAGGAGGAAAGCTCTTCATTATGTCCTGAGGAACAGTTGGTTATAGAAAGGCTACAAGGAGAAAAGGAACAGAAAGAAGATTCTGAACTTTCTACTGGATTGATGGACTCTGAAATGACTCCTACAATTGAGGGTTGTGTGAAAGATGTTTCATACCAAGGAGGCAAATCTATAAAGTTATCATTTGAGACAGAGTCGTCATTTTCATTATCAGCAGACATAAGCAAGGCAGATGTGTCTTCCTCCCCAACACCTTCTTCAGACTTGCCTTCGCATGACATGCTGCATAATTACCCTTCAGCTCTTAGTTCCTCTGCTGGAAACATCATGCCAACAACTTAACATCTCAGTCACTCCAAAAATTGGCATGGGTAAACCAGCTATTACTAAGAGAAAATTTTCTCCTGGTAGACCTCGGTCCAAACAGGTAGGGTGATTTTAATGATATTGACAGAAAAGATATTGGAACAATTCTATAAAATCAGAAGGTATATGTGTAGCTTTGGTGTGGATGGCAACTTTTTCTGTCTTCAGATAGAACTTCAGTGTAATGTTGATTATGTGTTTCAGCCATTATTTTTTAAATGCTGTTAATGAAGAATGCCATTTATTAAATTTGAAGGGATCTTATTTGGAATTTCAACTCAGCTGGGCCATAAAGATGCAACCTATTGATAATAGTTTCTAATAGAAAGAACTTTAAAAATTCTTTTAGTTCTGTGCTGCAGTAAATATAGAGCCTAAAATACAGTATAGTTTTGGGTATACAGTAACTAACATCTATTATTTCCTTCTAATATATTTATTTATTGATATTATTCATTGTATATATTTTTAACTGGATAAACATCAACATGTATGACAGGAATTTTCCATGCTGGGGAATTTCTCATTTTGGTGTTTTTATTAATTGCTAACTCTTGTGGGATTTCTTTTTTCAAGTAGGACTTATTTCAGTAGTTTCATGGAAAAAATCTTAGAATTGTACTATTGATTCTCAGTAAGTAAAGATAAATCTTCCTGTGTCTGCTTTACATCATGTACATTCTACCCTTTAAGAATGAGTTCCATTTCTAAGTGAGATTTAAGTAAAACTGCATGGCAAAATGAGGATACAATAGGTACGAATTATTTATTGTTTTACAAATTTGCTACTTTCTGAAGTGTTTTTTAAAATTGCAAGATAAATAGTGGAGAAGTGTTAATTCACAATAGTAATTTGGAGTTTTAAGTTTCATGATTGAAATTGCTTCAAGTGAAGTTTTAAGTTTCATGATTTAAATGGATTAAAGTTTGGCTTTTTATAGGAATAATATCTTGATTTTAATCGTATAATTTTTAAACTGTAAGGCCAGGCTTTTAAGAAAATCATTTTTAATGTGAAAATTAGTCTCCTCTATATCAAACCCAGATATATTTTATTCTCTAAAGACAAGGTACACGAAAGGGAAAGTAGTTGTCAGATGGGATTTAGCTGTTTCTGCATGGCAAAGACGTGTGCAGTAAAACTAGGCCACTCTTTATATATGACTTTTTCTAAGTATTTTCTCCTTGACAGTTATTTCTGCTCTACCATGAAAAGTTTTTCTTCTCAAACCAGTTGTTCTTTTTTCCAGTAAGTTTTTTTTGTTTTGTTTTGAGTAGTTATATAATAATTATGTCATTCTGACTGAAAAGACTTTAACAATGGAAATTTGAATCTGAAGTTTACTTTTGGTTGATATATTTACATTCTTTACAGATACTGCTTCATATGTATTCCTGTTAAATTTTGCGTATCTTTCCTTCCTTGAAGACTTTTGTTTCAATTGAGAAACCAGGTTCAATACATTAGGACTCTCTTTCTGTAGACTTTATGTTCTGAAATATTGGGGAGGGGGGTGTATTTCCAGGCTTATTCCATCTTATATGAGCCATGTCCTAGTATTTTGCTAAGCTGCCTTTGAATTCCCAAATCCGATGATAATCTTTCTATTTTTCTGCCCCTCTTGTTACTACTTCATCATTTGCTGCTAATCTTGTAAGCATTTTGTAGGCTGTGTTTTCCCTCCCTCCAGCTTTTTAGTTTTCCAATCTTGGTTTTAGTTATCTAGCAAACAGCCTTCACTTGATGATGAACCTGCTAATATAGTGCTGTTATTAGGGAGAGTATGAATTGAATAGTACAAGATAGATCTTCCATTGGTGAGGCACTGGGACCATAACTTGCAGGAAATATTCTACAGTTAGCAGGAATGTGTATATACGTATATTAGAAATACTGAAGTTCAGTATTCTGTTACATGAATTTCTTTGATATTAGGCATTTCTGTATTATACTTCTGTTTTTATTTACTGTTGTTTCTACATATTCTTCACATCGGGGACTGGCTGTAAAATAAGCTGCATTTTCCTAGCTGTGATTGTGATGTAAGCAAGATTCTTTGGTTTCCAGCTATTTTTTTTTGTTAAAGTCACTGACATTTTCATATTTTGTTGAACATTACCAATTCTTTGGTCTTTACCAGTACAGTAAATACTAACCAAAGAAATGTAGATTTACCTTAAGTTCTGTTTCATGGTGGGCAAATTATTAAGTTGATTTTAATGATTTTCTATAATAGTATTATATGAGCTTTTCTAGGAATTCACTTCAAAATTAAACAAACATTTTAATAGGAAACATCTGAAAGATCTAGTTTGTGGTAGCTAGTGATTGGATTATCAGATGTTATCTGGAGGTACAAGCTAGCCAACCAGTAGAACGGTGAGCCAGTGCTGTCTAATAGAAATATGATGCAGACCATATGTGTAATTTTAAATTTTCTAGTAGTTACACTTAAAAAAAGGTGAAATAAATTTTAATGTATTTTATTTAACCTGGTATATTCAAAACAATATTTCAGCATTTAGTATAAAAATGAACAAGATGCTTTATACTTAAAACATCAGTTCTGGCTAGCTGCATTAGAAGTGCTCGGTGGTCACATATGATGGTGGCTGCCTTATTGCACGATGCAAGACAAAACATTTTGAGAAATACAAAAACAGCAGTTCCAGAATTATTGGTGAAATTAAAATACCAAAAGAATTCAAGATCGACAAACTAAGACTGTGGCTGTGCTTTCACAATTTTTAAGGACTGAAGTAGAAATATTCTTTTTCTGTTGTTCATGGAACACATTTTAATACAGATAATTGCTAAACCATTTGTTGCGGCAACAAATCATTCACATCTTCAAGTATATTCAGTTTTAAATATATAATCCAAATAACCCAATATTGGAGATTTTCTGAAGGTGAGATGTTAGGACACAGAAAATGGAATTTATATCTCAGGTATTGGACATCCATTATGAAATATCAAATCATATAGAATTATTTTCCTTTAAGGAGGTTAGTAATTAAAAGTTTAGTTTTTTGTATTTTTCCTTTCATATGGAATATTTCAGGTGCTATTTAGTTAGAAATATGATGCTTATTTTCTTTATGACATGTTTGAGATATATCTCAAATGTATGATTTAGAACCTAACTGACTACAGGAATAGTAACACATTTTTCTGATGGCTGTGAATAGAATAAGATTCCTTTTGTTTTTTGTTTTTTTTGCCTATTACAATAGATGCAGGATTTCACAAAGATGAGGAAAAATTAGACATGATAAGGTAGAAGTAACAGACAGCAAATTGGATATTGTTTCATACAAATTGTCCTAATGACCTAGTTGTATTTTCTCATCTTTTATTGAAGTTATATATTCATAAATAATTTAGTATTTCATTTTTTAGCATTTAAAATATTTTTTTTTTTATAGAGATGGGGGTCTTGCTGTGTAGACCAGGCTGGTTACAAAGTCCTGGCCTCAAGTGATCCTCCCATCTCGGGTCTCCCAGAGTGCTGGGATTACAGGTGTGAGCCCCACAGCGCCTGGCCCATTTTCAACATTTCTATAGGTATATGTGCTTTGCGACCTGGGTTTAAGAAAGTGGTTATTGACACTGACACATATTGTAATCAACTCAGTAGATTTTAGAACATCAAGCTAATGACCCTACCCTAGACCAATTAAAATGCACTTCTAGGATCATCTTTAACTGTAACCCTGAAAGTGGAGTCCTGAACTAGAGAAATGTGCTACTTGTCTTACTGATTTTTAAAAATGCATTAAAATTAATACTATAAGGAATGCTCTTTAAAAATGGTGGAAAATAAAGTGGAAATTTTAAATTTGTCATATTAAATTATAACATTTGTTTTTATTTCTGTCTTCAGTCCATTTCTCTCATTGCACAATTGTATTCCCATTCTAATTAGGAAATTCTGAGATAATAATCTTAGGTCTTCTTGTATGATTTACCCTGTATGTATCATCACATCTTATAGAAAGATATTGAATGTAATCACACTACTATGATCTACTTCAGACACCCTCATGTTCTAATTGCTTTCATGGTGGTATTGAAAGTTTTTATTAAGCATTTTATGAAACGTATTATTTGCAGTAGATATTTCTTTTATTTTATTTTTATTTATTTCTTTGAGATTGAGTCTTGCTCTGTCACCTAGGCTGGAGTTGTGGCACGACCTCGCTCACTGCAGCCTCTGCCTGCCTGGCTCAAGCAGTTCTCCTGTCTCAGCTTCCTGAGTAGTGGGGACTACAGGCGCACGTCAACACACCTGGCTATTTTTTTTTATATTTTTAGTAGAGATAGTGTTTCGCCATATTGGTTAGGCTGGTCTCGAAATCCTGACCTCAGGTGATCCACCCACCTTGTCCTCCCTAAGTGCTGGGATTACAGGGGTGAGCCACCACGCCCAGCCTGCAGTAAATATTTCAAGAAAATTTCATAAATGAAAACATAGGTACTGTATTTTGATATCTCTTGGACAAATTATTAGAAGTTTATATTATAAGAAGAGTACTTTCAGTTTTAAAAGTAGCCAGAGAACCATAGTGTTAAACCTAAAAAATACCTACCCCTTTGGAACACCAAGCTAACAACACAGCAGATTAGAAGTACCAGACTTTGCTTTTAGTTCACTTGTGCTTGTTGTGGTATTTTTGGAGACATTACTGTTGCTAGCACCACCTAATTTGTATTGTGAAATTATTGAAGGCTAAAGCTGATAATAGCTGTTTCTGTAGTTATCAAAACAGGATTGGGTCTAATTTCTTGTTCTACTTGATATTGAACTCAATTTTATATATGAGACTTCTTTTAAGAATTCCCTAAAGAGTGAAGTGTTTGCTGCTGTAGCTCCAGTGTATACAAGTGATTATATTTACCAAAAAGACAAACTGTAAACTCTTTTGTTTCTTTTACCAGTTATCTTCCTTTCTGCCCTCTGTCTTCATTGCTTTCACTTTTCCTAAATTAGACTTACTGTTTATAAGCAACCTTGGTTTTACATAGTATGTTGGAAGAGTGTGGGGCCGGGGTTGATTTAAGATTTGGAGGTGTAAAGTTTGCCTTTGAGACACCAAACCTTCTACGGCTGCTTTTAAAACTGATAGTACTCTTGGGCTGTAAGAATGACTTTGATCATATTTAACA
Organism: Homo sapiens; assembly: GCF_000001405.40. NCBI lineage: Eukaryota > Metazoa > Chordata > Mammalia > Primates > Hominidae > Homo > Homo sapiens. The sequence goes on from NW_011332699.1 coordinate 157,368, forward strand.
ATCAGCAATAGAATTTGACTTTTAATAGAAAGTTGCTTCTAAATAGCCTATCCTCCACTTGTCATTATTGTTCTCATTTCCCCATCCCACAGTCCTTGTATAACTTACTAGCTTGGACAGTTTACCTGAGAAATTGGCCTCAAAGCAGAAAGAAACTTAATGCTAATATTAAACTATGTTTGGGTTAAATTATTTTTCTTGGGTTCAAATTCAGTCCCTGCCAGGTAGTGTTTTTTTAGTTTCTGTAGTATTTGATAGCAAGTTGATTCTATTTACAACTTAATAATGATTACATTAGGAAGTATTTTGCTTTTAATTCAGTTTGTAGATTAAGGAGGCATTATATAGATTTTTTAGTAATTTTTAGTAACTTTTTTTTAAGTGAAGAAATTCAAGATTCTAGGTTATTACTGGTGGAGGCATTAGTGTGTTTCATATCATAGCTCATTGTTTATTGATGAATTCATACACACATGCAAAAAAAGATAATAGATGCTCAGCAGAAAAAAAGTTCAGTAAGTGCTGAACAGGGTGCTTAACGTAGCAGTGGACAGAAAGGGGCATGATCTTTAATTACAGTGTAAAAAGTGCTGCAACTGGATTGTAGGAGAAGAGCCCATACATTACAGGGGCAGGTAACCTTTTCTGAATGGTTTGTGTAAATTCTTGATCAAAGCTAAGATCTGAAGGATAATTTAAACTTTGATAATTATAGCTATATTTTAGTTTTAAGGTCTAAGGAATATACTAGATAATTTGTCAGAATATCTAAGTATAATGATAATTTTTCTTCAGAACTATAAAATTACACAAAGTCTGTCTTTTCGAAGTGAGATAAAATTTTGGCATCAAAGCTAACTTTTAAATTATGATGAATAATACATAATTGCCAGAAAATTCTTATTTCTGAAATAAAATTATTCAACATTATTTTTATCTTAGAGTATGACTTTCTGTCTCATATTTTTTAGAACTGTCTACTGCCAACATAATATTAAACTATTGACTAAAAGGAATTTAAGATGTATGTTAGCCAAATCTCAGAGAAAAACCAATGGAAATATTGAGAGAAGTAATTTAGGTATCTCTTGCCCCACTGCCTACCACTAAATAAAATTACAAACAATAAAACGTCCTAGGTGGTGATGCAATGAGAGGCACTAATGGTGTGGTAAGAGAGATGATGGTTCACTGGGAGCACTAAGGAAAGGTCTCCTGATGAGAAAATATGTAAGGCCATACCTGAAGGGTTAGAAAACGCCAGACATGGCTGGCCGTGGTGGCTCACGTCTGTAATCCCAGCACTTTGGGATGCCAAGGCTGGTGGATCACAAGGTCAGGTGTTTGAGACCAGCCTGACCAACATGGTATTGCTCCTAAAATACAAAAATTAGCCGGGCCTGGTGGCACATGCCTGTAATCCCAGCTACTCAGGAGGCTTGAGGCAGGAGAATTGCTTGAACCTGGGAGGTAGAGGTTGCAGTGAGCCGAGATCACACCACCACACTCTAGCCTGGGTGACAGAGTGAGACTCCATCTCAAAAAAAGAAAGAAAGAAAGAAAATGCCAGACATTTATTGAAGGGCCGGAATGGTATAGTGAAGTGTTCTGAGTCAGCTGGGCTCTGATTGATACAGAGCTTGGCATGTTTGAAGGACAGCAAGGAAGCCAGAATAGCTGGAGCATAGCAGCAGGGAGACAAGTGCCACAAGATGAGTTGGAGAAAGGCACTGGGAAAGGTTTGTATTTTAAGTGCTCTGAGAAGCAATTGAAGGTTTGAAATAGAATAGTGACTTGCTTGATCACATTTGTACTTTTGAAAAGTTCCTCTGGCTGCTGTGGGGAAAGGCTTGAGTAGATGCAGGGTGGGAGAAGCATAACCAGCAGTAGACTCTTGTAGCAGGTTAGGTGAGAGATGGTGGTGGCCACGAGTGTGCTGCTAGTGGTGGAAGTGACAAGAAGTAGAAGGATCGGAGACAAAACTTGAAGATAAAAAGTCTTGAATTTGCTGATGATTTGCATTGACGAAGTGTTGGGGGAGAGGACTGAAGGAGCAGAGGAGAGTGACAAGGGACTGGATGCCATTTATAAGGATGGGGAAGACTGGGATGAAACCGGTTAAGGGAGAAATTTTAAACATGGCAAACTTAAGAGGGGTTTTGTGTGAGAAAATGGAAATGCTAAGAAGGAAGTTGAAAATCCTGCTAATTTGGAGATCTTTGATTAAAACCAGAAATAAGAATGTGGGAAGCATCAACTTCCAAGATGCCCTCATTGTAGATAACACCATTTAGGATCTAGGCTCAAGCCCTGGGAAACTCCAGGGCTTTGGAAGTCAAATAGAGGAAGAACACGTACAGGAGATGAAGAAAGATTAGCGAGGAAGGCAGTGAAATATCCACAGGTGGACTGCTGCCAAATCCAGCAGAACCGTATGCCAGATGTCAGGAGCATGAGTAAAATGAGAAAAGAGAAATGGCTTTTGACAACACATCCCTACTAATAGTAGGGAAGAAGACATAGGTACAGATTCAAGTTGATTGGAAATTATGAAAGTGAGGTAATTGACCTGCAGTGGTTGCTGCTCAGTGAAATCAGCATAGTGATTACCTGAGCTAGGTTAGAGATTTGATGGGTAAGAAAGAACACCTGAGGGTAATCCTGGAAGGGAAAAAAATAAAGTGTTTGCTGGAGAGAATGAGTTGGATTGCTGGACTTCAATGAGTGTGGGTTGAGTTTGTGACTTAAAAATGAAACCAGGCTATTGCTTGTGTGGCTTTTCTCAAAATACTGTTATTCCATTACCTATCTCTTACCCCAAGAGTAGTCACATTCTTATTTCTGGTTATTTTAATTCCTGGTGGTATTTTTATGTGATTAATGAGATAGTACTTGTTAATTTGATGATATTCTAGAAACCTGGTAAGTACTATGTACCTTAAGTTTTGGTTCCTTGATTGGTAAAATTATGCATGCACCATTGAATTACCTAATTCAAAATATATTCTTTTATTGTTTGACATTTGTCTTGTTTTTCTTTAAAATGTTATCTTTGTGGAGTAAACATTTTTCTTTATGCTGTTTAACATCTTCAGATTAGTTCAGGGTATTGCTGAATGTGGTTGTTCAGAAGTAAAATGCTTTAGTTTCAGTTATATAGATTTTAATAAGATACTACTTTCTATATAATTTATCAGGCACTTTAGGCATTTTAATTTGCAAATTTAGGACAATTTGCTTTAACGTTTCTTCACTTTTGTCCATTGGATGTAATTTCCATAGAGTATTCATTTCCCTAAGTAAAAACCGAAACCAAACCGACAACTAATGGTCACTGAAGAAAGAGTGATTAAATGCTAAGATTATAATGGTATTTGCATTTTAATGTTACCAGCTCTCTACAGTTTAAAGTTTATGCATTTATCGATTGCTTATGTTTCTCATTGCATTCTTTGGCCTACTGGTTTTGGTTGTTTATAGCTATAGAATATAGAATTCCTTATGGTTATCCATTTCTCCTTTTAAGTAGAGTGATAGTTGTTAGAAGAAAAATAACCCCCCAATACTTTCTTCTAGTGTTAATTCTTAAAGTGTGATTGACTTTTATTTACTTTTTGGTGCAGTAATTGCAGTTCATGAGTCAATGTTGATGTCATATAAACCTTAATTTTTAATGTTTCATTGTAGTGATGTCTCTGTAGCAGCAAACATTTAAGTTATTTGTTATAGTTAAATGTTTAAATCACTGTTAGTGATTAGCTTATTTTGCCTTCCTTGAAGCAATTTGTCCTAAATTTCCATACGTTTGCATTTGTTTTTGCTGTCCTAAAATTCCTTAGTTGCTGGCTTTGACCTTTTATGTTGCTGAGTTTTACACATCTATTTTCTCAACTGCCATATCTTAGGAGGCTTGGAGTACCCATAATACAGTGAGCCCACCCTCGTGGTCCCCAGACATTTCAGGAGGTCGGGAAATTTTTAAACCCAGGCAGCTTCCTGGCAGTGCCATTTGGAGCATCAAAGTGTACATAAAATTACATTTACATTCATATATCACTTCTGTCTGATTTGTTTTGCCCTACTGGATGTTAACAATTAAATCTTTCTTTTCTAGATTGAGCTTCTAGAAACACTTTTTAAATCTAAAAATTTTAATGTAAAGAAATAATATGCTTGCATTTAAAAATCAAGTATACATTTTTAATACCTCTTTTTATGGTTAATTCCTTTTGTTGTGATTACTACTGGTTTTATGAGGGAGAAGTCCTTGACATGTAGACCAAAATGTAATTAAGGATCTTTTCATTCATGATACATAAAACTTTGTTGCTTAGAAAAAAGCAAAAGAAAAAACTCCATTAATTTATTATGTTCTCATGGAGAAGAAATACCAAAATTGTGGCAGATTTCATTGTCTGTTTAATACCTTAAAATGACAAGGCTTTTTCCCTCATGACATTGGTTGATGGCTCTGCCAGTCCTTGAAGTGAGTTAAGTAGTGTGATGCATTTTGAAGAGAAAAAAAATTACTTTGAAAAAGTATTAACTCAAAAGTTAAAATACTTCATTGACCGGAGATGACAGTTCTTCTTCATATTCTATATTTAATATTCTGGAATATGGCTGTTTAATTTAGACTCATGAACGATTTTAAGGAATTCTAGATTATACTTTATTTTCTTTCATGACTGGAAGAACTATTTTTTTAACCTCCCTACCTCCCCCTGATATCATCCAAGATATTGAAGTATAAATATGCCTCATTTGACAGTTTGATAATATAGACCACCAGTTTTTACTTAATTTTTTTCTGGGTCAGCATTTCATGTTGGAGAAGATAAATTGAGAGACTACTGTAGTCTTGATTTTTAATCACTGACTTAATTTTTCAAAAATCTTTTATACCAATTTAATAACAAAACAAACTCGGCTGGGCGCAGTGGCTCATGCCTGTAATCCCAGCACTTTGGGAGGCTGAGGGGGCAGATCACTTGAGGTCAGGAGTTCGAGGCCAACCTGGCCAACATGGTGAAACCCCATCTCTACTAAAAATACAAAGAAATTTAGCCGCACGTGGTGTCATGTGCCTGTAATCCCAGCTGCTAGGGAAGCTGAGGCAGGAGAATTGTTTGAACCCAGGAGACGGAGGTTGCAGTGAGCCAAGATCGCACCATCGCACTCCAGCCTGCGCAAAGAAGCGAGACTCTGTCTCAAAAACAAACAAAAAACCCAAAAAACTAACCTGACCCCATCCGTCCATTGTGCAAAGAACCTGATGCACTTCTCTAAAGGGATCTCAAGGAGAGCAGGGTAAGAGAAGACAGGAGTGGCAGTTTGAAACTGGGAGCTGGCTGTATTTATTACATCCAAAGGGAGAAAAGCCATTCCTCCCGTTCCTTTTGTTCATGTGTATCTATTTTATGTTTACAGTATCACCATAAATTTTTGACTTGGAAACCATTCTGCTAAATAGGGAATAAGTTCATTTCAAACTATGATAAGGGACATCAGTTGAAGATATGACATATTATTTAACTTATGGTGAGGGAAACACCTAAGTATTTTCCTGAGCATCTGGATAATTTTAAATATACATAATTCATCTACTTAGGTAGGTGCCAGGTTTTTTCAAGGAGTAATTAATTAGTACAAACAAGGGTGAGGGGGCAGGGAACACCATACTCTGGTACTTAATGTCTGAAATTATCAGGGAATTTAACACATTTTCCCATAGGTTTATTTCTTGTGTAAGAAGTCAGATAAATTATTTCCATTTCAAGTATTTATTATTCAGATTATTTAAAGCAAAGCTTTCACAAAGCCTTTTGTCAGCTTTCCTGTAATCCTCAAATAATTTTTCCTGGCTGGATGCTTTGGCTTACTCCCATAATCCTGGCACTTTGGGAGGCAGAAGCAGGAGGATCACTTGAGCCCAAGAGTTCTAGGCTGCAGTGAGCTGTGATCACACCACTGCAGTCCAACCTGAGAGACAGATCAAGTTCTTGTCTCAAAAATAAAAGTAATAACAATAATAATAAATTTTCCTCTAAATACAACGGTGAATGAGGTAGAAATGTTGAGTTCATAAGAGAACTGTTGAATAGTGAAGGAAACTGACTTAATTCTAATGACAGGAAGAATACTGTCACACACTAGCAAAAATGAACTTTCATGCTGATGTAGCAGTACAGAATATGCTTCCAACCCAGGGACGCTGGAGCCAGGCTTGCTAGCTAAGTGACCTTGGACAAGTTACTTAACCATTTTATTCCTCAGCACACTCATCTCAAATGAGGATAATAAAACCTACTATATGGGATGGATGAGAGTAAAAAATACTTAGATTAGTACATAGTAAGTACTCAATAGATGTTAGCTATTACTGTAATCACCGTGAGACCAGTTAATGAGAGAGTTTTTCCTTATCCTTACTGTATATTGAATACAATTTGTTGCACTTCGAAATATCTGGATCAGGCTACAGTTGTTGTCGTCACCGAGAATGTAGGAGTGGAAAAGAGAAAAATCATGCAAAGTCTTGCTGATAGCGTTCACAGTGACAGGCCTAAAGTATGATTCTAAGGTTGTAAGCATTTTATATTTAGATTTTTAAGTTGTGGAGTATACTTTTAAAGATAAAAATAATAAGCCAGGTCTTTTAATACTTATCTAAAGAAGTGTTTGTATAACATTTAATAAAATGTTTTATCTCAGTGGCATTTGGATTTAAAAATTATTTTGGGCTGTCACAGAATGTTGACTTTTCCTAATCTGTTACATAGGGCCGTGGGTCTGGATTTCCAAGAAAGCGGAGACCTCGAGGTGCAGGACTGTCGGGGTGAGGTGGCCGAGGCAGGTCAAAGCTGAAAAGTGGAATTGGAGCTGTTGTATTGCCTGGGGTGAGGCTTGCTTCATGTATATTTTCTCTAATCTAAATGTCAGTTAATGATGAAAATCTCATAGCAAGTTATTTTGATCTTATGAGTCATATAAATAGGTCAAAATGTTTATTTTACTGTCCTACTTTTTTTTGAGCCTCTGGTTACATTTTCTTGTATATTTACTTTCTCATTCTTTCTCTTTTCTTACCTTCCTCTTTGACTCCTTATCTTTCTATGCCAACCCTCTCTAAAAAGTCATTATGTAATATAGTTGCTCTTTTATTTAAAAAATTTTAAGATTGATAGATATTTGCTATCATGTTATGAAGCTTTATTTGTATGTGTATTACAAATACATTTGCTAACTACTAGCAAATATTTTATGTAATAACTTCGCTATTTTATTAAAATCCTGTTTTTAAAATTCTGAAATGTCATTTTAAGTATAGGAGACAGGTGAAATTGTTCAAGTTTACCACTAAACCAGGAATAAGGAAACTTAGATTCTCGTCCTTTTTTCAAAAAGAAAAATTTTAAAACCAGGCTTATTGAGGTATAGTTGATATAAGCTATATTTGACTTGACATGTACAATTCCATCAGCTTTGATATATATATATATACACCCTTGAAAATGATACCACAATCATGACAGTGAATATATTCATCTCCCAACGTTTCTTCATGTCCCTCTGTAATTTTCTGCATTCCCCCTGCCATCCGTCCTTGTCCCCAAGATTAGTTTGCATTTTCTAGAGTTGTATATAAGTGGAATCATACAGAACTGTATGCTTTTTGGACTGATTTATTTCAGCACAATTATTTGGAGATTCATCTATGCTGTTGTATTTGTTAACCGTGTACTCCCTTTTCTTGCTGTGTATTAATAAAACTGTGGATGCACCACGGCTGTAGGCCTGTGCACTTTTTTTTCTTCTTTTTTTTTTTTTCTGAGACAGGTTCTCGTTCTAATTCCTGGCTGGAGTGCAGTGGTGCGATCATAGCTAACTCCAGCTTTGACCTCCCACCTCCGTCTCCCAAGTAGCTGGGACCATAAGTGTGTGCCACCACACCCAACTACTTTTTTAAAATTTTTAATAGAGACAGCGTCTCACTATGTTGTCCAGGCTGGTCTCGAACTTCTGAGCTCAAGCAATTTTCCCACCTTGGCTTCCCAAAATGCTGGGATTACAGGCATCAGTCACCATGCCCCAGCCTGTAGTCTTACATTCTTGTAATGTCTTCGTCTGGTTTTGGTATCAGCATAACTCCAGCTTCATAGAATGAATCAGAAAGTATATTCTCCTCTTCAGTTTTCTGGAAAAGTTGTGTAGTAGTGGAAATGTATCTTCTTATACATGAATTTATTAGTGAAACCATCTTGGCCTGAAATTTTCTTTGTGGGGGGGTTTTTGTTGTGTTTTCTTTTTTTTTTCTTTCTTTCTTTTGAGATGGAGTTTCGCTCTTGTTGCCTAGGCTGGAGTGCAATGGCACAATCTCAGCTCATGCAACCACTGCCTCCCAGGCTCAAGTGATTCCCCTGCCTCAGCCCCCTGGGTAGCTGGGATTACAGGTTCCTGCCACCATGCCTAGATAATTTCTTTTTTTGTATTTTTAGTAGAGACAGTTTTTCACCATGTTGGCCAGGCTGGTCTCGAACTCCTGACCTCAGGTGATCCACCTGCCTTGGCCTCCTAAAGTGTTGGGATTACAGGCATGAGCCACCATGCCCAGGCTGGAGTGCAGTGGCGTGATCTCTGCTCACTACAGCCTCCACCTCCCAGGTTCAAGCAATTCTCCTGCCTCAGCCTTCTGAGTAGCTGGGATTACTGGCATGCACCAACATGCCTAGCTAATTTTTGTGTTTTGGGTAGAGATGGGGTTTTGCCATGTTGGCCAGGCTGGTCTTGAACTCCTGACTTCAGGTGATCCGTCTCCCAAAGTGCTGGGATTACTGGATGAGCCACCAGTGCCCAGCCTGTGGGACAGTTTTTAACAACAAATTTTATTTCTTTAATAGGTACCTATTTAGGTTATCTGTCTCTCCTTGCATAAATTTGCATCTTTCAAGAAATTTGTTCATTTTGTCTATCTTGACAAATTAAAGGAATGGAGTTGATCATAATGTTTCTTATTATTTTAATACCTGTAGAATCTGTAGTGATTTCACCTTCCTCATTCTTGATACTAATAATTTGTATCTTCTCTTATTTTTTTCCTGATCAGTCTGGCTAGAGATTTACCAATCTTATTGATCTTCTTGAGTCAGCCTTTGTTTTCATGGACTTTTCTCTATTTTCTTTCCCCTTTCTGTTTTATTGATTTATATTATCATCTTTATTTTTTCCTATCTTCTCACTTTGAGTTTAATTTGATCTTCTTTTTTTTGTTTACTCTTACGTGTCCCTGCTTGGAAGGGACACTTGTGAAGTTTAGGTCAGAGCTTTCTGTTCTCCTTGGCTTATATCTGTGGTCTAGGAAAATGATATTTCTATCACCTTCTGGATAAATCACACTATTATCTATGCAGGCAACAATAGCACATATTTTCTCAAAGACTACCTTTGCCCTCAAGTTAGGTTTTATTTTTCTAGCAGTCTAAAGGTCATGAAATAAATTATAAAATAAAAACAGTGGGTCTTCAAGCTAGATGATACTGTTTTCTTTCTTGCATGGACAATTATTTTAAAATATTTTGGTTTTTCTGCACTTATTATTTAAATATGACTCCCCACCCCCACTTGAATCTAGGGACATTGTAGTTTTCTACTGCAGACTTTATTTCTGGTTTATACTGGGAATATATTGTTTATCGTTTTCAGTGAAAGCATTCACTGGTTAAATTTCCTTTTAAAAATAATAATGGATCTTTACAATTTCTTTGAGCTGCTCAGTGTGTATAATGTGTTGAATTTTCTGTAAGTGGTTGGGAGGTAGAAATAGATACTTTATCTCTATTTTAGCCATTTCCATAATTATATATCTCAATAGTCTTGTCAATGCATCATTAGTCCTATGACTGAATTAATGATTACTTTTAGTAGTCACTTAATTTCTTACTGATGATGATGATTCTACTTCTGTGAATCATCTTGGATGATTCTCTAAAATCTTAGAAAGCTAATTTTGTTAATGCTATGCATATAACACATCAATACATTTTCTCTATTAAAAGAATTAAAGCGTTATAGGTAGATCAGAATTTACCATTACTAACTCCTCAGTCCTCCTTATTTCCCTGTTACCAGTTTGGTATATTTATATATTAGGTTGATCCATATGAAATTGCCAATATTATTTCTGAACTGATGAAAAGCAGCAATTTCTTATGAGTCAACCTATTATATGTGCCCATAGACTACATATAATGACGTTGCATGTTTTTATATTATAGTGCTATACCTCAAATACTGTTCTGCAATTTATTTTTTCACTCAACAGTGTCTTTTTGATAATTTCTTTCATGGCAGTCTATACAAGTTTCTACCTCCCTACTTTTAAAATGTTTCGTACTTTCCTAGTGTTTGGATTTGTCATTGCTTTACTTACTCCCTAATGATTAATATTGGCATTATTAACACTTGTAGTCATTAGGGTTCATATGACTATAAATTGCTCTTATAAAGCATTAGTACTATCCATTAAAACTGCTTTTAGGCTGGGCACAGTGACTCATGCCTGTAATCCCAGCACTTTGGGAGGCCGAGGTGGGCGGATCATGAGGTCAGGAGATCGAGACCATCCTGGCATCCTGGCCAACATGGTGAAACCCCATCTCTACTAAAAATACAAAAAATTAGCCAGGCATGGTGGCAGGCGCCTGTAGTCCCAGCTACTCGGGAGGCTGAGGCAGGAGAATGCCGTGAACCTGGGAGACAGAGCTTGCAGTGAGCCAAGATTGCACCATTGCACTCCAGCCTGGGTGACATAGCGAGAGACTGTCTCAAAAACAAACAAAAAAAAACAAAAAAACTGCTTTTAAATGTATTTGTATTGAAAAATACCGAGATGTAGTCCTTCTATTTAGTTAACCAACCAAACTTCCTTCCTTTTTTTTTTTTTTTTTTTGGAGACAGGGTCTCACTCTGTCACCCAGCCTGTAGTGGAGTGGCATAATCTTGGCTCACTGTAACCTCTGCCTCCTGGGTTCAAGTGATTCTCCTGCCTCAGCCTCCTGAGTAGCTGAGACTACAGGCGTGTGCCACCATGCTGGGCTGTTTTTTGTATTTTTGGTAGAGACAGGATTTCACCATGTTGCCCAGGCTGGTCTCGAACTCCTGAGCTCAAGCAATCCACCCACTTTAGCCTCCCAAAGTGCTAAGATTATAGGCATGAGCCACCACACCCAGCTGGTTAGTCTTCTTTCAGTTGTTCCTCAAGAAAAGTAATTCAGTTGTGTTATGTTTTGACCTTGAACATAACCTGTTGTGTTTCAACTGTCTTTCCAGGCTTCGATTGTAAGCTTTTTAAAGAAAGAGGATTGTATTTTATGATTTTGGCAGTGCCCTCCTTGTCTTCTTCTACAACTTCTAGTTCAGAGCTTTATTTTGTTTCATAATCACTCTAGAAATTATTAACAAACCAGTGGGTACTTAGTTGATTTAATCAAATAGAACTAAGTCCAGACTGAACAATATTGGTTGATAATCATTTGGCTAATACTGAAATTTGGATGTTATTCAAAATAATATTCCAAAGCAGTGCTAATAGAAATATAATGAGAACCACATATGCAACTTAAAACTTCCTAGTAGCCACATTAATAAGTTACAATGAGCTGGGTGCAGTGGATCATTTGAGGTCAGGAGTTAAGAGACCAGCCTGACCAATATGGTGAAACCCCATCTCTACTAAAAATACAGAAATTAGCTGGGCATGGTGGTGGACAACTGTAATCCCAGCTACTTGGGAGGCTGAGGCAGGGAGAACAGCTTGAACCAGGAGGCAGAGGTTGCAATGAGCTGAGATCACGCTATTGCACTCCAGCCTGGGCAACAAGAGTGAAACTCCTCTCGAAACAAAGGTTATAGTGAACAGGCAAAATTAATTTTAATGCCTTCCATTTTGACCGATATATCTAAAATATTACCATTTCAACATGTAATATGTAATTATGTGCTGTATTTTATGTTTGCAGGACATCTCAGTTCAGACTAACTACATTGCAGATCCCAAGTGTGTGTCATTAAAATAGTGATAGATTTGTGTGTGTACATACATATAATATTATCATTTATAGTTTCTTGATTAGAATTCTGCATAATCAAGTCTTACTAAGACAGGTTTATTATATTTTCTCATTACTTATTGGTCTATAGGAATTCTACCTCTAAAGAGAGAATTAGGTGAATAATAAAATGTCATGACTCCATTTTACTGTAGTATCTTAGCATTAATATTTGGAATTGTTATTCTAGACCTTAGCAAAAATATATGTTTTGATTATGAATTTTCTGAAGCTTTCCAGTTAAGTGTAAAACAAGTGAAAAATATAACTTCGTATTTTGTGTATTTTGCTTTTTATAGGTGTCTACTGCAGATATTTCATCAAATAAGGATGATGAAGAAAACTCTATGCACACTACGGTTGTGTTGTTTTCTAGCAGTGACAAATTCACTTTGAATCAGGTTTGAACTTGACAATTTACTGTCTTCCTCATTGAATTCCTCCTTGCACATTTCTGCTTTATCTCATCTACACAGAAGTGATCCAATATTTAGCTATAGAGCTATATTAGTTAAGAAGGTATTTTTAAAGTAAAATTTGTAGGTTTTTAGCTTAGTCTCCATTTAAAATATGTTCTGTTTTCTTAACTTCAGGATATGTGTGTAGTTTGTGGCAGTTTTGGCCAAGGAGCAGAAGGAGGATTACTTGCCTGTTCTCAGTGTGGTCAGTGTTACCATCCATAGTTTGTCAGTATTAAGGTAAACATCCTTAAATTGAGTTAACAAATATGTATTGAATTTTTATTTGGTTTTAGTAGTAACATGAGCTCCTAGTTCTCACAATTAAGTATTATGATTATTAAACATATGTGACAGTATTTAAGCACTTTAAATACTGCTTTTAAGGGTTTCCTATCTCAAGAAATTTGCTCCTCTATAAATCTTATATTGTACTAATATCCCGCTTTTGTCTTGAAAAAGTAAAACATAAAAATATATGCATTTAATTTAAAAGACAATTTATACTATTCACAAAGATTTTAGGTTTAGGTGATTCATTTTGTCTGTTGATTTAAAAAGCTGAGAACTGGAGTATTTAGTAAAAAATTATTGGCCCATTCTGTTCTTTCCCGCATTCTCTCTCCTCTGTGCTCACTCGTATACAAAATGACATTTTCTCCTTATAGCCAAAAGAAACAAAACAAGTGTCATATTTAATGCAATTGGTGATAATCGAGAGTCAGCACTGCTCACTTTCAAGCATTTCAGGATAGAGGCTTTCTGGGGAACCTTTTAAGTGGTATCGTGTGCTTGGTTTTAAATATGGACAGGTCTCAATACTTCACTAGTTGTATCTAAGGTTCTTGGTTTTTTCTTTTTAAGAACTCAGTCTTAATAAAACTTACATATTTGAATAAAGTGTCATGGCCACTGAAAGCAAGCATGGAGGTATAGCTGTACAGCAGAGGTCTTAAACTGTATACTCCATGGACCTGACTGTGGCCTGGGGGTTGGGGACCCCTGCTATAGAGGATTCAGATTTAAATTCAGAAGTTAGAATGAAAAAGAATTATATTCTTTATCTAAATGATTTCACAGTTAACTGAGAGAAAGTCAGTATAAGTTGAAAAGTTTATAAGTGTTAATAAGAATGAAAAATATGTACAATATGCAATTACTATTAAATATAATTTGCCCATAGTTGCACACTGATTTCATTATCATGGCAGTTAAGTATCAGAGCTTCTGGTTTCTCACTCTTCATTCATGTATTCAGCAACCATGTGCTAAGGTACTAGGACAAGCACTGGATTAACAAGAAAAAGATGATACGGTCCACCCCTCAACAACTGTATGCTATAATCCGAAAAAACAAGCAGGCAATTCCCATACAGAGTCATACATACAATGACAGGCATAAGACACCACTTACTGGAAGACATAGAAGGGATACTAGCCCAGGTTTGTGTTAATATTGTAGGCTTTTTGGTAGAGGCAATTCATAGGTTGATATCTGAAGGGGAAGGAAAACACATGTAGGATAGAGGGAAGAAGTAAATGCGAAGAGCTGGAGGTGAGGACGATCACTGTGGAGCTCTGTGTAGTCTAGTTTGGCTGGATGCTAGAACAAAGGTGCAGAGTATGGTAAGTGGAGAAAGATAAGGCTGAATAACCTGACAAGAACCACACTGATGTGAGAGTTTTGATTCCATGCTAAGGAATTTTCAACTTTTCCCAGGTGCAAAAGGAAACCAATGACAAAGTCAATGACTAGAGATTTAAAATGTCACTGGTCAGGTGACTGCTTGTGACCTGTAATTGCTTAACTAATTATTATCACATGAGTGTGGGGTCTGTTAGCCTTAAATCACTACCTTAACCTTGAGAAGTTGATGATGCCTTTGTTTTCTGAGAACAGTTTCAGTGTGCAGGCTGACAGTTCTATAGGGGTGGCAGAAGAAAAGTGTAGGGCCAGAAAAAAAGAGATACACAGACTTCTTGTGATTTTTTTAAAGCTATGGAACATGATGAAGTAACAAAGCATAAGTATACCCTTCACTATGAATGATTATGTTTTCACATCTTTCACTAGATGTGTGTAAGAAAAAATATTTAATGTAGCATGTATTAACCAAGCAATTGAGAGGAATACCGTTCACTACTTACAGTTTATTTCAGAAATCAGTGATTTGAATTTAATTCATAAATTTTGGCAACATACCTTCATCTAGCTCTTGAACACCTGGCAGCATCTGAAATAAATCAAATATTACTTATAATGTTTCAGTCAAACAAGAGACATTATCATGTAAACCCACTGCAAGTCAAGGAGCATCTGTACTGTAGATTGATCATCCCTAATCTAAAAATCTGAAATCCAAAATGCTCTACAACCTGAAACTTTTTGAGCACGGACATGACACCACAACTGCAACACAACGTTCCACACCTGACCTCATGTGACAGGCTCTGGGGAAAACAGTAAAAACTTTGTTACCTGCAAAAAATTACTGTAAAACATTGTAGAGAATTAGCTTCAGGCTATGTGCATAAGGTATATATGAAACATAAATGAATTTCATGTTTAGACTCAGGTACCATCCCCAAGATATTTCATTAGGTATATACAAATATTCCAAAATCTGAAAAAAATCTACTTTTGGTCCCAAGCATTTTGGACAAGGGACATTTAACCCGTCCTACTGGAAAAATAAAATTCCTTTTCAGTATGACAGAAATTAAGAGATCAGCTTACCAAACTTGAACGCTGCAGGATTTTCTCAAGCCGCTCAATTTGGTCATCCTGTTTTTTAATCGTTTTTCTCATCATGGCATTTTCTACTTCAAGCCTAAAATGTGCATTTTAAAATAATTACTCTCACATATAATTGTTTTTAAAACATGTAAATTCTAAACAAACTTCTGAAGGTATAATTACACAAATTCTTAGCAATCGCAAAAGTAGATGACTGGGCTACTGTGTCATTTTTCTACCTGTGTTTTGTTGATAATATGCAAAATTTAGGAATAATGAAGAAAAATGATGTATGTCAATATAGCTTACAGATGAAACTTTTTTGGCTTCACAAAGACATACTTATTATCATAACTGATACAATTTTCATACTACAGTGCTCTCTTGCTTTATAAATACTCAAGTTATTTTGTGTGCTGCTTCAAATTTTACTTTTGTGCGTCACCTTCCATCTCCTTAGTACATCTTATAGTAGCTGTAAGTTGATCCTGTATTTCTTGAAACTAAAACAAAGAATTAAAAAAAATTACATTTGGAAATGACCTAAATGTCCATCAGTAGATGAATGAATCAACAAAATATATATAAAATATTTTAGACTATCACAATCTTTTTTATTTAAAAAAGGTCAGAATCTAGGATAAATCATCCCATTACCTGTTTTTTGTAATTAATTTTAGTGGGACACTGCCACATCCCTTCAATCTGCATATTGTTCGTGGCTACTTTTGTGCTATAACTGCAGGGCTTGAGTTATTGCAACAATGATATTATGGCTCACAAAGTCTTAAGTAATACTATCTGGCCCTTTACAGAAAAGTTCACAGACCCCTGCTCTAGAACTAAAACACAACATTCTTCTTGCTTTTGAATTACATTTTATCAGTTAAATACTCAAACTTGCAAACTGGTAAAATGTGGAAAGATAAAGGATTACCTCATGCTAAGCATTTATATTTTGAATTCCAAACACTACCACATCAACTATAATTTTATTTTTTGTATGTATGCATTTAGTTTTATTATAGCAAAGCAACTTGCACATTTTTAAATATTTAAAACTAAGCGTCATCTTTCCTTTCTAGAGAAACAACAAGAAAATTTAAAAACAAGCAGGAACAAAATTAAAATCGACAAAGTCAGTTCCAAATAAGATCCTACAGGATCTTATTGACTCTCCCATTGAATAGCAGGACTCAAGTCATCATTAGGAGAGAAGTAATTTAAAAGCGTCATCTTAAACTGCAAAGATGTCCATTAAACATGTCAAAGGAGAAACCTTGTTGTCTAAATGCCCACTTAACCAACCCGAACATCTCAAACTCATCCTTTGCTGACCTTCTATAACCCCTTTTTTAGTTTAGCTTTTTCTATAAATAAGAGAAAATAGATACATGTTGGCAAATGCTAACTGTCCATATTCATATAGAGACAAAATGTGCTCTCTGAGCCCAATAGAGAGTAAGGATTTTCATCAAAATAAAAATTTATTCAGTAAAATGGCCTTTCTGAACAAGTTAACCTGAAATCTATGAAATAAGTACACACAGGTTCTTTATACATTCAGAAAAGTAGAAACTAAAAATAAGATAATTTTCTGAAACATTCCATTAGACATTGTCCTCTGAATTAATCTGGCTTGCCTCACCATGCCAACAGAGAAATCATTAAAAATAGACTGTTTAACAGGAAAAAAAACTCTCTCAACTTCTGTGAGAAATGATGCATAATTCTCAACTTTCCTAAGGTTAAATATTTAAGAAAAAATATGCATAAAAAAATGGCAGAATAAAAGAGATTAAGATATAGGTGCGTTATAATAAAATTTTAATAAAATTAATAATAAGGAAAATACAAAAGAAAGCCATCCACTATAAAATTTTAATAAAATTAATTATAATAAAAATACAAAAGAAAGCCATCCACTAAAATTAGTACCCCAAAACACTTTATATTAGTTAGCTAGCTACAGATGAACAGTTGTTGGCATGCAAAGTTTCATACATACTTGACTTCTCATCTGGTCTAATTTCTTCCTTGAATCCTGCATCTCATTTTCTAAATAGATGCAGTGACGCGATGAAGCATCCAGCAAAGCTTTTGTTGCTGATTGTTTGTTTAAGACATCATCTCGTTTTCATTGAAGCTGTCTCACAGCTACCTGATGTTATTTTTGTTACTGATTTTACAAATCACCTTATTATTAAACCATTAATAATATTTAACTCTAAAGCATATACTTTAAAAAATATCACCACACAGATCGATTCACCTTCTTTTCCTCATGTGTACACATTCCTGTGTATTACTGAATCCAGTTAAGGATACAGAAGGTGTTATCTTCCTGCCAAACTGGTATTGTTATTCACACAACATATTCAGCCCACTAGTCATTCCTCCCCTGATGAATCTGCAATGCTTAAAAACCTGAAGTCTCAAAAATAAATGAGTATGTGGGTGAGACCGATGGTAGTAAATTATACATTGTGGAATGATTTCCCTCTTTCTTTTTATTAGAAACTCAAATCAACCTCAGAGTTCCTCACGTTAAATCATCTGCTTAAATCCTTCCAATAGATGTCTATCTCAGAAGAAAAGTAAAATTACAGTGGCCTTAGATGCTCTAAGTAACCTGCCCTCCACCTCCCACCCTGACTCAGCTGCTATATCTCTCCTCCCTACTCACTCCATTCCTACTCTATGTGAGTCCTGCCACTCGTTAGTCTGAAATCCTCCTTAGTCTGAAAATGGGGATCCAGTGTCAAACTAATAAATCACAGATAGCTATGCCTCTTTTTGTCCTGGACAAAGTTATATCCAAATGATAGTAATTGAGCCTTGAAATAAAAATTAGGAGCAAATTTTTTATTTAAAAATGAAAGTAAATTATAAATGCCAGTGGGAAGATTAAATCAAATATGATTTGGCTAAAATTTACTGCATTTTCCCCATATTATAAGTAAAATTAAATGCCTTTGAAAATAGAATGATCATATCTATACATAACTTGAGATTGAAATAGTTTCAGATTTAAGTCAAACTGACATGAAGAAAAACAAAATTTTACCAACTAAGACATATTTAAAGCTACTGAAGAAAAGTAATTATGAAATAGGGAATACACTTCAGCTCATCTAGGAAATCTGAAATTAACTGTCAAAGTACCCCACTTTATTGAATCAACTTCAAAATACCATTTTAGGTATGAGCATTTCCATATATCTGATTTATCATGGTCTTAAAATGTTGCAACATAAATACATTAAAATTATTATTTCAGTAGTATGACTATATTATTACTATTAGTCTATATTAACATTTTATAACTTAAAATTTTATAAGTGACACATTGACTTTAATCAGAGGAAAACATCTCTCAGATCTAACTTTGACTTGTTGGAAACAAGGAATGTTTCTAAGCAGATATATTTATCATATGTATCCTTTTTTATATTCAACTAGATCCAATATTCAGCTGTAACCAAATATTACTTTAAATTTTGCTTCAGGAAGTTTGAAAAATACTTATTTTTCTTGATACTTACTTCTCTTTCTGCTTTCTCTTTTTCATATTGGGGTTCTTTTTCTTTCAAATGATTCAATCCATTGACCATCCTTTTACTGTCTTCTTCTAGTAAAAGACGGTGCTTTCTGCACTCAGCTTGAAGGCTTTCTACTCTAGCATCACATCTGGCTTGAATATTAAGTATTGCTTTTTCTTGATTGTCAGCTTTGTTGCGAGCATCATCCAGTTGCTGTTGAAGCAACATATTTTGTTTAGTTGACAAAATCTTTCCTGCTTTTCTATGCATTTTTCCATTGTACTGTATCCACTTTTGTACATTTTTTCAGTGTCCTTCATTCAACTCTGTTTTTGCTTTAGCTCACTTTGCACGTGTTCAAAAACCAAAGCCTTTTCTTTCAGAGCCTCTCTTGTGTAATGGAGCTCAGTTTCGAGGACTCTGGACTTACTCTCAGCTTTGGAAAGTTGCAGAGAAAGAATCAGAATACAAAAATTCAAATTTTCCTGTAAATGACACCATTTATCTACTGTGCCCTGGAAAGCAAGCTCTTGATCTTTTTCTGATGAGTGACTTTGATCATGATCACATAGAGCAGCATTCAGTCTACAACCACATGATTGCATTTCTGTTTCCAGTCTTTGCCTACTCTCTCTTTGCTTCTCCAGTTTGGAATGCAGCGTTGTGTTTTCATCTGTCAGAGCAGCAAGCTGTCCACTGTAACAGGCTATCGTTTTTGCTAATGTTTCCCCATTCCGTTTTAGAGCCTTTTGAAGGTCTTCACGCTTTCTTTTCACAATTTCAAATTCTTTTAAGTATTTATTTTCCAGGTTTTGGTTTCTTATTGTGTCTTTTTCCAGCCTGAGCCAGGCAATTTCATCTTGCATCAAGCAGTTTTCATGCAGCAGGTCTTCTTTTTCATCAGTTTCAGAAATCTAAATAAAACAAAGAAAACTTGTAACTAGTATCCAATAGGATAACATATTGTGATTGTTTCTGAAATTAAATAATAACCCGTACATTTATACAATGAGAGGTTGCCATAACTGTATATCTAAATGGGAAAAAAGTTGAGTCAAAACCTCAAACCTCATATGGCATAAATTCCCCAAAGTTCAAAAGTTTATTTGAAGACAGTGAATCCATGAAAGCAAAAAAGAAACCACTAGATAATTTTTTTAAATTTCAGGATGAAAAAAGGCTTTTACTGAATTACAACAAATTGCAAGGCATAAAGAATTAATAACTATGACCACATTAAAAAATTGGGTTTACACTCTAACATCTAAACTATACCTCTCCCTGTAGTGAGAGCCTTAGCTTGGCAGACATTTGGACAGATGAATGACATTTTCCAAATTCTTTAAGCTCCCTTTTTCTAAAATATTGTCTAGATATTCTACTTTTCTAATATTTTTATGGTCAGTTTTAAGAATGATATTTATTGATAAATGATAAGTCTAGGCATTGTACTAAGCACTTTTACACACACAAATCAATGAACTCATTTAGTTATAATTCTATAGCAAAAGGTTAAAAATATAAGGAAGCTGCAGGATTTTTCCCAGCTTTTCTGACTCTACTCCTAGTGCTCTTCCACCAAATCAATAACTTCTGTGAGGTAGATACATACATACAAAAATAATCTTCTATTTCAAGACACCAAAAGTCAAGAAAATTAAATTTATAAAGCTCTTTTTAGAAAATCTTGAGATTATTTACTATTGGGATAACTTTTATTTCTTTTCCATAACATTTGAAACGTAATTAACATGAAATAGGGGAAAATATGCTGAACTATGTCACTAGGAACAAAATACTTACAATATCATTAAGTATATATTATAGAATAACATTGTTTTCATAAGGCCTTTGAACTAAAATAAAATATTTCAAGATTTATTATAAATAATTGTAGCTATAAATGCGATGATTTATTTTTTATTTTTTATTTTTATTTTTTTTTTTGAGACAGAGTCTCACTCTGTCGCCCAGGATCAGGGGACAGCATAATTTTGCTTTAATTCTACAGCACGTTTTCACCAAGGGTGGAAGGAGAATGAGTTGAAGTATAGATTTTACAGACGTCACATCGTATTGCTAAAAACAGACGGAAAAGTTATTGTAATAACCAGTAAAATTGTGGAACGAGAACCAATGAGATCACTGATGTAGCAATTATTTTCCTCAAGCAAGAGGGATTTTGAGGCAGGAAGGAGGGAAAAGAAGAAGTTATTTATGTAATTTTGGGGTTTCTGCTGAGGAAACCTGAGTCAACTCACTTCAGATGCATTTAGCATGTTTACACAAAAAGGATTTGATTTTGGCAGCTCCAGGAACTACTGGATGAAGCAAAGAAAGCTAGAATTGGGATAAACCACATTGACTAATTACTTCTCTTTGTTACTATTAGGCATAAGACATATCTTTTGTTGATTTTTGTTATAAAAACTAGATAAACTTGAATATCAATACATTGGCTTCATTCATCCAAGTGCTATCTCATGGATGAAATAGCTATTTAATGAATATGCAAATAGAAGAAAGCTTTAGGCCGGGCGCGGTGGCTCACGCCTGTAAT
Organism: Homo sapiens; assembly: GCF_000001405.40. Lineage (NCBI taxonomy): Eukaryota > Metazoa > Chordata > Mammalia > Primates > Hominidae > Homo > Homo sapiens. Next base: position 178,772 of record NW_011332699.1, read on the forward strand.
CCCAGCACTTTGGGAGGCCGAGGCAGGTGGATCACGAGGTCAGGAGATCGAGACCATCCTGGCTAACACGGTGAAACCCCGTCTCTACTGAAAAATACAAAAAAAAATTAGCCAGGCGTGGTGGCCTGTAGTCCCAGCCACTTGGGAGGCTGAGGCAGGAGAATGGCGTGAACCTGGGAGGTGGAGCTTGCAGTGAGCTGAGATCGCACCACTGCACTCCAGCCTGGGCAACAGAGTGAGACTCCGTCTCCAAAAAAAAAAAAAGAAGGAAAGAAAGCTTTACATCTAAAGTTATTCTGAAAATTCAGTGGCTCAAACATGTCTGGAGACAAAAACTCCATTGCAGTGAAGAGCATTACTAGGTGGACAAAGGTCAAATGACAGGTGACCAGATCATGGGTCTTAGGCCTGTGATCCTGAAAGAATGTAAAAATGTGGAAGAGAAGATGGAAGATGTTGGCTGAGATTCTAATGCTAGCTTGACGACTAAAGGCATTTTTAAAAGATAACATAAGTGAAAACTGTGTTCATCCTAATGGCATAGAAGAAACATATTTTGTAGATCTGAAAAAAAATGACTTCATATCATCAATGTTCTTTCTTCAGTGTTTGAAATTATTACCATCATTATTATTTTTATTTTACTCACTTATTCTTGATTAACCTTGACGCTAAATTATTGATAATGTACCCCCTGCACTCTTTTCTAAGCCAAATAATTTTATATATATATAATTATTACTTTCTATATATAATGAATACATTTACAATCATGCCTGTATAGGGTGCACACTATCTATATTCCTAATGCCCTTTGCCCTCCATCTTTAGAAATCAATTTTTGTTATTTTTTGTTCTCTCATTTTATTTTTAGCACCCAATTCAGTGACAGGCATATAAAATGAATCACATTTGCACAGTTGAATTGAATAAAATATATGCTAAAGTGGAAAGACTCACTAAAGCAAACAATTAAAAATATATCCAATTGAGTCTTTCTCATGATCTATCACTTTGATATGGTTTATTCTTCACTCTTCCATGGTTTTTGATGCTTATGATTCTACTGGGCCCACCATGATAATTCATAATAGTCTTCTTATTTTTCATCAGCATATCGGCAATTTTGATCCCATTTGCAACCTTATATTCTCTTTGCCATAAATTGTAATGTATTTCCAGTATCTAAGAACTTGGATGTAAATATCTTTTTTAGGGAGTGGGGAACATTATTCTGTTTATCCAAACCCAAATTAACTGTATGTCTTAGAAATGGTCCTGGTGCTTTCCCAGTTTAGTTCACATCCCAGAGACTTATCATGTGAACTCTCTTCATCTCAGAGCAAAATTTTTAATATTTGCCTCTCAGTTATCAACAAGATAAACACTACTTTTAATCATTTTATTTCAACCAAGAGGTTGCATTAAAATAGTCACACCTGGTTCTTTTTCCTGAGACTTTACTTGATACAGGAATGTCAGTCTCCAATGAGAAATATAATGCCTCTCAAGTTTTCTTGGGATATCCTCAATACCATAATACCTTGTAAAATTTTGCAGAACAATTTTGCAGTTGCCATTTCATGTTATTTGGCAAGGATTCAGGTATCATTGTATCATTTTGCTTTAATCCATGGGTAAAAACAATTTAGCTTCATGCATGAAATATAAAAAACAGTAAATTAGCACAGATTTGGGGGGGGATGAAGGTGTGTCTGGTTATATATTCAAAGTCATTTATCATTACACTGTCCCCTAAATAAAAATATGAAAGGCAATGCAAACATCTTGACACTTAGTATTCTTGTCTAATAAACACAAGTGACTGAGGTAAAAAATATTGCTCTAAAACCACCAGGTATGTTTGATTTTATAAAGGAAATATGATCTAGGTTATTACATGGTTATTACTCTCTCTACAAAACTTTAGTAAGTGAATCCATTTATCATAAATGTCAGAATCAAACAATGAAAAGTTCCCACCAACATGTGTCTGCACCATCAGCATGGTTGAGTTCTGCTGTCAAGTTGAAATCAGAAAAAAAAAAAAAAAAAAAACATGGGGAGGCACCAAGATGGCCAAATAGGAACAGCTCTGGTCTACAGCTTCCAGCACTATCAACACAGAAGACAGATGATTTCTGCATTTCCAACTGAAGTACCTGGAACTGGTTGGACAGTGGATGTAGCCCACGGAGAGGGTGAGCTGAAGCAGGGTGGGGCATCACCTCATCCAGGAAGTACAAGGGGTTGGGGGATTTCCCTTTCCTAGCCAGGGGAAGCCATGACAGATGGTACCTGGAAAATTGGGACACTTCCACCCTAATACTGTGCTTTTCCAACAGTCTTGGCAAATGGCACACCAGGAGATTATATCCCGCACCTGGCTCGGAGGATCACACGCCCATGGAGCCTTGCTCACTGCTAGCTCAGTGGTCTGAGATCGAACTGGGAGGCAGCAGACAGGCTGGGGGAGGGGCATCCGCCATTGCTGAGGCTTGACTAGGTAAACAAAGCCACTGGGAAGCTTGAACTGGGTGGAGCCCACCACAACTCAACGAGGACTACCTGCCTCTGTAGACTCCACCTCTAGGGGCAGGGCATAGCTGAACAAAAGGCAGCAGAAACCTTCTACAGCAGAAGTTTCTACAGCCTTAAACTTCCCTGTCTGACAGCTCTGAAGAGAGCAGTGGTTCCCACAGAATGGAGTTTAAGCTCTGAGAATGGACAGACTGCCTCCTCAAGTGTGTCCCTGACCCCCAAGTAGCCTAACTGAGAGACACCTCCCAGTAGGGGTCAACTGACACCTCATACAGCCAGGTGCCCCTCTGAGACAGAGCTTCCAGAGGAAGGATCAGGCAGCAACATTTGCTGTTCTGCAATATTTGCTGTTCTGAAGCCTCTGCCAGTGATACCCAGGCAAACAGCGTCTGGAGTGGACCTCCAGCAAACTCCAACGGACCTGCAGCTGAGGAATCTGTTAGAAGGAAAACTAACAAACAAAAGCAATAGCATCAACATCAACAAAAAGGACATCCACACCAAAACCCCATCTGTAGGTCACCATCATCAAAGACCAAAGGGAGATAAAATGACAAAGATGGAGAGAAACTAGAGCAGAGAAGCTGAAAAGTCTAAAAACCACTGCACCTCTTCTCCTCCAAAGTGTCACAGCTCCTCCACAGCAATGGAACAAAGCTGGATGGAGAATGACTTTGATGAGTTGACAGAAGTAGGCTTCAGAAGGTTGGTAATAAAAAACTTCTCCAAGCTAAAGGAGGATGTTCGAACCCATCGCAAGGAAGCTAAAAACCTTGAAAAAAGATTAGATGAATGGCTAACTGTAATAAACGGCATAGAGAAGACCTTAAATGACCAAATGGAGGTGAAAACAATGGCACAAGAACTACGTGATGCATGCACAAGCTTCAGTAGCCGATTTGATCAAGTGGAAGAAAGGGGATCAGTGATTGAAGGTCAAATGAATGAAATGAAGTGAGAAGAGAAGTTTAGAGGAAAAAGAGTAAAAAGAAATGGACAAAGCCTCCAAGAAATATGGGGCTATGTGAAAAGACCAAATCTACTTATGATTGGTGTACCTGAAATTGACAGGGAGAACGGAACTAAGTTGGAAAACACTCTTCAGGATATTATCCAGGAAAACTTCCACAACTTAGCAAGGCAGGCCAACATTCAAATTCGGGAAATACAGAGAACACCACAAAGATACTCTATGAGAAGAGCAACCCTGAGACACAGAATTGTCAGATTCACCAAGGTTGAAATGAAGGAAAAAAGGTTAAGGGCAGCCAGAGGGAAAGGTCGGGTTACCCACAAAGGGAAGCCCATCCGACTAACAGCAGATCTCTGAGCACAAACTCTACAAGCCAGAAGAGAGTGGGGGCCAATATTCAACATTCTTAATGAAAAGAATTTTCAACACAGAACTTCATATCCAGCCAAACTAAGCTTCATAAGTGAAGGAGAAAGAAAATCCTTTATAGACAAGCAAATGCTGAGAGATTTTGTCACCACCAGGCCTGCCCTACAAGAGCTCCTGAAGGAAGCAGTAAACATGGAAAGAACAACCAGTACCAGCCACTGCAAAAACATGCCAAATTGTAAAGACCATCGATGCTAGGAAGAAACTGAATCAACTAATGGGCAAAATAACCAGCTAACATCATAATGACAGGATCAAGTTCACATATAACAATATTAACCTTAAATGTAAATGGGCTAAATGTTCCAATTAAAAGACACAGACTGGCAAATTGGATAAAGAGTCAAGACCCATCAGTGTGCTGTATTCAGGAGACCCATCTGACATGCAGAGACACATATAGGTTCAAAATAAAGGGATGGAGGAAGATCTACCAAGCAAATGGAAAACAAAAAAAAGCAGGGGTTGCAATCCTAGTCTCAGGAGAAACAGACTTTAAGCCAACAAAGATCAAAAGAGACATAGAAGGCCATTACATAATGGTAAAGGGATCAATTCAACAAGAAGAGCTAACTATCCTAAATATATATGCACCCAATACAGGAGCACACAGATTCACAAAGCCAATCCTTAGAGATGTGCAAAGAGACTTAGACTCCCACACAATAATAATGGGTGACTTTAACACCCCATTGTCAACATTAGACAGATCAACGAGACAGAAAGTTAACAAGGATATCCATGATTTGAACTCAGCTCTGCACCAAGTGGACCTAAGAGACATCTATAGAACTCTGTACCCCAAATCAACAGAATATACATTCTTCTCAGCACCCCATCTCACTTATACTTAAATTGACCACATAGTTGGAAGTAAAGCACTACTCACAAATGTAAAAGAACAGAAATCACAACAAACTGTCTCTCAGACAACAGTGCAATCAAATTAGAACTCAGGATTAAGAAACTCACTCAAAACTGCCCAACTACATGGAAACTGAACAACATGCTCCTGAATGACTACTGGGTACATAATGAAATGAAGGCAGAAATAAAGATGTTCTTTGAAACCAAAGAGAACAAAGACACAACATACCAGAATCTCTGGGACACATATAGAGCAGTGTGTAGAGGGAAATTTATAGCACTAAATGCCCACAAGAGAGATCAGGAAAGATCTAAAATCGATACCCTAACATCACAATTAAAAGAACTAGAGAAGCAAGAGCAAACACATTCAAAAGCTAGCAGAAGGCAAGAAATAACTAAGATCAGAGCAGAACTGAAGGAAATAGAGGCAAAAAAAGCCTTCAAAAAATCAATGAATCCAGGAGCTGGTTTTTTGCAAAGATCGACAAAATAGATAGACCACTAGCAACACTAATAAAGAAGGAAAGAGAGAAGAATCAAATAAACACAATAAAAAATGATAAAGGGGATATCACCACCGATCCCACAGAGATACAAACTACCATCAGAGAATACTATAAACACCTCTATGCAATAAACTAGAAAATTTAGAAGAAATGGATAAATTCCTCGACACATACACCCTCACAAGACTAAACAAGGAAGAACTTGAATCCTTGAATAGACCAATAACAGGCTCTGAAATTGAGGCAATAATTAATAGCCTACCAACCAAAAAATGTCCAGGACCAGATGGATTCACAGCCAAATTTTACTAGAGGTACAAAGAGGAGCTGGTACCATTCCTTCTGAAACTATTCCAATCAATAGAAAAAGAGGGAATCCTCCCTAACTCATTTTATGAGGCCAGCATCATCCTGATACCAAAGCCTGACAGAGACACAACAAAAAAAGAGAATTTTAGACCAATATCCCTGATGAACATCGATGCAAAAATCCTCAATAAAATACTGGCAAACCAAATCCAGCATCACATCAAAAAGCTTATCCACCAAGATCAAGTTGGCTTCATCCCTGGGATGCAAGGCTGGTTCAGCGTAAGCAAATCAACACACATAATCCAGCATATATACAGAACCAATGAAAAAACCACATGATTATCTCAATAGATGCAGAAAAGGCCTTTGACAAAATTCAACAACGTTTCATGCTAAAAACTCTCAATAAATTAGTTATTGATGGGACGTATCTCAAAATAATAAGAGCTGTCTATGACAAACCCACAGCCAATATCATACTGAATGGACAAAAACTGGAAGCATTCCCTTTGAAAACTGGCACAAGACAGGGATGCCCTCTCTCACCACTCTTATTCAACATAGTGTTGCAAGTTCTGGCCAGGGCAATCAGGCAGGAGAAAGAAATAAAGGGCACTCAATTAGGAAAAGAGGAAGTCAAATTGTCCCTGTTTGCAGATGACATGATTATATATCTAGAAAACCCCATTGTCTCAGCCCAAAATCTCCTTAAACTGATAAGCAACTTCAGCAAAGTCTCAGGATACAAAATCAATGTGCAAAAATCACAAGCATTCTTATACACCAATAACAGACAAACAGTGAGGCAAATCATGAGTGAACTCCCATTCACAATTGCTTCAAAGAGAATAAATACCTAGGAATCCAACTTACAAGGGATGTGAAGGACCTCTTCAAGGAGAACTATGAACTACTGCTCAATGAAATAAAAGAGGATACAAACAAATGGAAGAACATTCCATGCTCATGGGTAGGAAGAATCAATATCGTGAAAATGGCCATACTGCCCAAGGTAATTTATAGATTCAATGCCATCCCCATCAAGCTACCAATGACTTTCTTCACAGAATTGGAAAAAACTACTTTAAAGTTCATATGGAACCAAAGAAGAGCCTGCATTGCCAAGTCAATCTTAAGCCAAAAGAACAAAGCTGGAAGCATCACGCTACCTGACTTCAAACTATACTACAAGGCTACAGTAACCAAAACAGCATGGTACTGGTACCAAAACAGAGATATAATCCAATGGAACAGAACAGAGCCCTCAGAATTAATGCCGCATATCTACAACCATCTGATCTTTGACAAACCTGACAAAAGCAACGGGGAAAGGATTCCCTATTTAATAAATGGTGCAGAGAAAACTGGCTAGCCATATGTAGAAAGCTGAAACTGGATCCCTTCCTTACACCTTATACAAAAATTAGTTCAAGATGGATTAAAGACTTACATATTAGACCTAAAACCATAAAAACCCTAGAAGAAAACCTAGGCAATACCATTCAGGACATAGGCATGGGCAAGGACTTCATGTCTAAAACACCAAAAGCAATGGCAACAAAAGCCAAAATTGACAAATGGGATCTAATTAAACTAAAGAACTTCTGCACAGCAAAAGAAACCACCATCAGAGTGAACAAGCAACCTACAGAATGGGAGAAAATTTTTGCAACCTACTCATCTGACAAAAGGCTAATATCCAGAATCTACAATGAACTCCAACAAATTTACAAGAAAAAACAAACAACCCCATCAACAAGTGGGCGAAGGACATGAACAGACACTTCTCAAAAGAAGACATTTATGCAGCCAAAAAACACATGAAAAAATGCTCATCATCACCGGCCATCAGAGAAATGCAAATCAAAACCACAATGAGATACCATCTCACACCACTTAGAATGGCGATCATTAAAAAGTCAGGAAAGAACAGGTGCTGGAGAGGATGTGGAGAAATAGGAACACTTTTACACTGTTGGTGGGACTGTAAACTAGTTCAACCATGGTGGAAGTCAGTGTGGCCATTCCTCAGGGATCTAGAACTAGAAATACCATTTGACCCAGCCATCCCATTACTGGATATATACCCAAAGGATTATAAATCATGCTGCTATAAAGACACATGCACACGTATGTTAATTGTGGCAGTATTCACAATAGCAAAGACTTGGAACCAACCCAAATGTCCAACAATGATAGACTGGATGAAGGAAATGTGGCACATATACACCATGGAATACTATGCAGCCATAAAAAAGGATGAGTTCATGTCCTTTATAGGGACATGGATGAAGCTGGAAACCATCATTCTCAGCAAACTATCGTAAGGACAAAAAACCAAACACCACATGTTCTCACTCATAGGTGGGAATTGAACAATGAGAACACATGGACACAGGAAGGGGAACATCACACACCAGGGACTGTTGTGGGGTGGGGGGAGTGGGGAGGGATAGCATTAGGAGATATACCTAATGCTAAATCACAAGTTAATGGGTGCAGCACACCAACATGCCACATGTATACATATGTAACAAGCCTGCACGTTGTGCACATGTACCCTAAAACTTAAAGTATAATAATAATAATAATAATAATAATAATGATAATAATACATTTTTAAAAAGAGAATTTCTTTGTTAGTTTTCATCACAATGATTGTTCTGTCTAAAGCTGTCAGTGGGATGTTCAAATCCCCCACTATTTTTTTTTTAATTATACTTTAAATTTTAGGGTACATGTGCACAACGTGCAGGTTAGTTACATATGTATACACGTGCCATGTTGGTGTGCTGCACCCAGTAACTCGCCCCCACTATTATTGTGTGGCTGTCTAAGTCTTTTTGCAGGTTTAGAAGTATTTGTTTTATGAATCAGAGTGCCCTCATGTTGGATGCCTATATTTTCAGGATTTTTATGTCTTCTTGTTGAACTAAATGCTTCATCATTATGTAATGCCTTTTTTTTTTTTACTGTTGTTGGTTTAAAGTCTGTTTTATATGACATAGCAATAGCAACCTCTGGTCTCTTTGTTTTTCATTTGTATGAGAGATCTTTCTCCAACCCTTTCCTTTCATCCCATGGATGGCATTACATATTAGATAGGTCTCTTGAAGACAGTATATGGTTGAGTCTTCCAACTTACCACTCTGTCCCTCTTAAGTAGGGTGTTTGGACCATTTACATTCAAGGTTAATATCGATATGTGAGATTTGTATCTTGTCATTGTTTTGTTAGCTGGTTGTTTCGTAGATTCAACTGTGTAGTTGCTTTACATGGTCTTTGGGCTATGTATTTAAGTGTGTTTTATGTTAGCAGGTTTTATTTTTCATTTCCCTAAAGAACCTCTTGTAAGGCTAGTGTAATGGTAACAAATTCTCTTAGCATTTGCTTGCCAGGAAAGGATTTTATTTCTTCTTTGCTTAAGAAGCTTAGTTTGGCAGGATATGAAATTATTGGTTGGAATTTATTTTCTTTAAGGATGCTGAAAATAGGCTCCTAAGATTTTAAGGATTGTAAGGTTTCTGCTGATAGGTCTACTGTTAGCCTAATAGAGTTCCCTTCGAAAGTGACCTGACCCTTTCCTCTAACTCCTGTTAAGGCTTTTATTTTCATGTTGACCTTGGAGAATCTGATAACTGTGTCTTGGTGATTGTTGTCCTGTATAGTACTTCACAAAAGTACTCTAAATTTCTTGAATTGGCATGTTGGCCACTCTAATGTGATTGAGGATATTTTTGTGTGGATTATATTCCCAACAACTTTTCCAATTTTTTTTTTTTTAGATGGAGTCTCGCTCTGTCCCCCAGGCTGGAGTTCAATGGCACAACCTTGGCTCACTGCAACCTCCACCTCCCAGGTTCAAGCAATTATGCTGCCTCAGCCTCCCAAGTAGTTGGGACTACAGGCATGCACCACCACACCTGGCTAATTACATATTTTTAGTAGAGACTGGGTTTCTACATGTTGGTCAGGCTGGTCTCAAACTCCCAACCTCAGGTGATCAGCCTGCCTCAGCCTCCCAAAGTGCTGGGGTTAGAGGCATGAGCCACCACGCCCAGCCTGTTTTAACTCTTTGATTATCTGAATCTTCCAATTCCCCCCAACCACCAGTGAATTATTTCTGCTAATTTTTTTTTCTGTTTTTGAAAAGAGAATGATGGAAACCAACCCTGTTCCAGTGGGAGAGTACAGGGATTCCCTGGAAAGACTCTGGCTTGGAGCCCTCAGACCAGAGTTTAGGTCCAGGGGTCCACTTGGTGACTCAGGAGAAACCCTGGACCCCACCTCAAGGAATCTTGGATCCCCCAGTGGGGGTCTCAGAAGCAGGAGGTTGCTGGGCCACGGCAGGGACAAGGCTTTCTCCAGCACCCCCATGCAAGGTTCCTCCATAGGAAGAAATCATGTTGCCCGTTCCGCAGCAGGCATGCCATCCCAGGCCCCTGAGAACCCCAGGGGACATCCCTGCTCTGCCAACCGTGTGAATACACTCCACCTCCCAGCCTCTGCCATGTCACAGATGACTTGAGGCTTCAGATGAGTGACTCCCCAGAGTCACATGGGCCTATGCTTGGGTCCCAGCCTCTTCTATGACCCTTGAGGTGGCTCTCAGCGTAGGAGGCTGATTTCTAGGCCTCTCTGTGCTGTTCTGTGAATGGGACAGGTAACAGACCTCTATGGCAGGCAATAAATGCCAAGTGCCCACCACAAGGCCTGGCAACAAACTCTCAGCAAATTCAGGTCATTCTCTGGGAGTGGCCACAGATGATTCTCAGAACCCCAACCTCTGGCACTGCTCCAGCCTATGCTGGACCCTTCATCATCCAGGTGTCCCAGGCCCACAAGTATCTGACACCTCAGGTGGCACTTGTGGCCCACTGTGTGACCCTAAGCATACCTCCATGTTCTCTGGGCTGAGTCTCTGAGCCGCCACAGCTCTGCAGAGCCCAGGCTGTGGGCTCCAGCCCCTGACCTCCAGCTTGACTTACTAAATGTAATCTCCAGGGCTAATTTTAGTCCTGGGCAGGAATTGGACACATTCCCATGGCTAGGATGAGTCCCTGGAGGCTGGAGGTGACACCATCCCACAGGACCCAGTGCCAAGATAATCCCCCAAATGACCCCTATGCATGTGGTCTCATGAGAGCCGGGACTGGGGCTGAGCTTGGGCCTGAGTCTCTTGGGCATAGAAGGCTCAACTAAGCCCCTTCTCAATCTGTCTCAATTTTAGTTATAGGGACACTATGGCTAGTGCAGAGGTCACGTGACAGGGGAACCCCGAGAGGCAGGAAGTTGGGGGCCTTTCTGGACTGATGTCCTAGAGCTGAGACAGGAAGTGAATTCCATGCAGAAGAAACAGCAGGTACAAAGATCCCAAGGGGGAGAGAAACAGCAGTGAGGTTGGAGTGGGTGGGGAGGGCAAGAGGCCACAGAGGCTGGGCCACACTGGGCCTTCTGAGCTGCAGGAGGCTCTGGGTTTTAGTCTAAGAGCAAAGACGAGCTATGAGAGGGTTTTGAGGAGAGAAGGGATGGGGCTGATTTATCATTTTAACACGCAGCTCATGGCTACCATGGAAAGCAGGACTATCAGGGCTGGGGTGGAGATGGCAGGAGGCTGGAGATGAGGTCAGGGCTGTGTCCATCTGAGCAGAGCCTGGGGCGGTACCCTCTCTGTGCTGGTCTGTACCTCACACTGTAAGTCACTGGATCCCACGGCTTATTTGGCCCTCCAGAACATCAGGAGGTCCCCCACCAACTCTGGTGCGAGGTGACAGGTGCAGATGAGTTGATGCGGGGCTTAACTCTCCTGACCCCCCATGACACTGGAACTCTCCTGATCCCATCACCAAAGAACCAAGCTGTCCCCCACTCTGCCCCTGAGAGATCAAGCTCTAATCATGGCCTCCCTTGCTCACACATTCTCCATGGTTCCACATTGACCTTGTGAGAAAATTTCTGCATCCAGCCTGACATTCAAACACCTTGCCCTAATCAACTCCTGCCTGCTTCTCTCTATCTTTGACAAATATTTCTGTCTAGAAGGTCCTTTTTTCCCTTCTTCACCTAGCCAAATCCTATTCACACTTCAGAACTCAGCTCAGGTCAGATAAGGTGGTTCATGCCTGTAATTCCAGCACTCTGAGAGGCCAAGACAGGAGGATTACTTGAACCCAGGAGTTTGAGACCAGCCTGAACAACATGATGTAACCCCATCTCTACAAAAAATACAAAAATTAGCTGTGTGTGGTGGCATGTGCCTGTAGTCCCACCCTGAAGTAGGAGGATCAATTGAGCATGGAAGGTCAAGGCTGCAGTGAGCAGTGATTGTGCCACTGCATTTCAGACTGAGCTACAGAGAAAAAAAAAAACTCAGCTCAAGAACAAGCATTCCTCCAAGAAGCCCTCCCTGTTGTTCCTCTGGAATCCCACAGTCCCCATCCTTCCCCTGTAGTTCTGACCCCATGGGGCTGGCAGTAGATACATCCAACTTTGTCTCCCCTAGACTAGACAGCCCTCTAGATCAGGCCTAGGAGTGGACAGTAAAATTTAGAGAGTGCAACAGGTGAAGAGAGACGTGACTGACTCCCTCCTCTTTAGCTTCCCTTGACAGCTTCCTCTCAGACTGCCCCAGCTGATATCCTGCCCAGAAACACACATGCTTGCAAATCCAGCCACTAACCATTGACCTGTCTTGGACTCAAGTGTGAAGAGCCAGCCAAGGAATGCAGACCTGGAAGCCTAGGGTGTATGTGTGTGTATTTGTAGTCAAGTGAAAATCCCACCCAAGCTCCAGACAGACCCTGGCGGCCCATTCTGCAGATGTTGGTGAGGTTGGTATTTCTGTGGAGGTGTCAGCAAAGGTTGAATGCGCCAGGCATGAGGCAAAGGCCAAGGTTTAGGGGGACTTCTACACACACACCTGCCCCCTTGCCTTGTCCAGCCAGAAAGCAGAGAGCAGTGGCATCTGCCCAGCACAGAGGCAGATGGGTGGATCCACTCACCCGAGGATAGAGCAGGGAAGACGGGACAGGAGAAATCCAAGAGGGCTTCTCAGGGGAGGAGGCGTGTAGTTTGGCTTAGATACAGAGGCTAGACAGGGGCCTGAGCAGATGAGTAGGGGACTGGGCATTTGAAGCCAAGAGTCTTGCACCTCCCTACCCCTTTCTTTGCACCCTCATACTCGAGCATTTATTAGCTACTTGTGCTAACCACTGAGCTAAGCTGACCTCCAAGTAATTAGAAAGCTTAAGTAAACCAACATCTGTAGATGAGAAAGGTGACTGAGGACCTACTGTTACAAAGGCAAGGTAATTTGAGGCTGTAATGAGCTATGAGCAACTGTGTTCCAGCCTGGGAGACAGAATGTAAAAAAATAGTAATAACAGAAAGTATACATCAATCTCAATTTTTTTTAAAAAGGCAGATGGTTTTACAGTTGTTTTATCAAAACTCAAAGAACAGGAAAGCCCACATTATTTCAGCAAAGTCAGACCTTTTAAACAGATGATAGCTGCCCAAGTCATTTTTATGAAACTTCTTTATATCAAAACCTAAGTCTAAAAAGAAAAGTGTTGACCTTGATACGGGCTGTGTTAGGCAGAGATTTCAATGAAGTCCTCTCTGAAGAGGTGACATTTGATCTGAGACCTGAAGCACCAGAAAGAGGCAGCCAAGCCAGGAAGAGGCAGGAATGGGAAGGTCTAGGGAAAGACTGGTCCTGGCAGGCGGAACTGCAGTGGCAAAGGCCCAGCGGTGATCAGGAGCTTGGCATTTGCAAAAATAGTGTGTGTGACTGGACAGCGTGAGCAAGTGGGCAGAGGAGGAGATCGTGATAGGGTGTGCACTGGTCAGGCCACCTAGGTCCTGGAGCCCACAGTGAGAAGCATGGGCTTGACTCTGAGGGCAAAGGAGAGCCACGGAGAGTTTGGGTAAGGGGGAAAATTGGCATTTAATTTTATAGCTTTTTGAAGTTTGTTTTGTTTTCTTAGAAACAAGGTCTCAGTCTGTTACCCAAACTGGAGTGCAGCTCAAAATATTTTCCAATTTATCTTGTGATTTTTTTTGATCCAATGATTTAGAGGTGGGTTGTTAAATTTTCACATATTTTCAGATGTCCAATATTTCTTACTGTTGTTAGTTTCTAATTCTGTTTCAGTCAGATAACTTATTTGTTTTCCCTGTCTCTCCTGTCTTCTGATCCTGTTTTTCCATTGACTACCATTTTTAAAATCAACTTATTTCAGTGTGTCATTTACAATCCTATTTTAATTTTTTGCTCTTTCTCTGAAGTGGTTGTTCCAGGGATTATAATGTGCTTTTCCATTTTTCCAACGAATGAAGAACAAAGTGATCGACTTCTTGCCTCTGCCGGGGCTCTGAAGCGCTGCCCCGAGGCGGTGGATGGAGGGTGTCAGGCGTGACATCAAGAGCTCTGCAGCCAGGGCCTGGGACAACCTCCCGCTCCACCTCCCCGGAGCCTCGCAGCCAGCATCCCCAGCGGCCCGTGCGCCCCGGCCAGGCGGGACCTCAGCGCTGTGGCGGCCGCAGACCTCACCTGGGCAGGCCCCGGGCTGCATGCGGACCGCCGGGCGCCCAGGACCCTAGAGGCAACCAGCGGGCTGGATCCGCACAGCGGCCATGGGGAATGGATGGTGTACAGGGGACAAAGCTACACACGTCTTTCATTTTGGAGGGGGGAAAAAAGAAAAAACGGAAATGAAAGATAGAAAATGTGTGGGCTCTCCGTCCTTTCCTTTGCTCCTGAGCGCTCTCTGGGGTGGGGGGCTCAGCGAGCTTCAAGAGGTGGCCGAGATTCCCCCACCTCGCCCCCAGATCCCCGGGAGAGGTCAGCACGGCCCCTCCCGTGGGTGTCACAGAGACCGATGCGGGTCCCGCTCCCCGGGAAGGAGTGGGTCTGGGTCCAGTCCACAGGATCCCCTCGCGGATGCTGACGCAGAATGGAGTTGAGGTGGGGGCAGCGCTGGACCCCAGGGTCCCTCCCTGCCTCCTGGGGAGCCCGGTGACCCAGGCAGCCCTGGTGAGGCCGCAGGAGTCTGGGCCCTAGCGACGCCCCCGGGCTCCCACAGGACGAATGTAGACGGTGAGGCCAAGGACGCCCTGCTGCCCTCGGGACTGTCCCTCCAGCCCCCAGCTTTCCGTGGCTATTGGGCCCCCTCTGCAGAGGGGCAGGGGAGCCCACCCTGGATCCTGAGGCGCCGAGCTTGAGGGACCCCAGAGCTCCAGCCAGGCCGCTTTCTTTGAGGATGGTGAAGCTGAGGTCCCGAGGAGGGCAGGGGCAGGTCCCGGGCGCTCCTCAGGCAAAGGGAGCCGATTTAGGGGCTGGGGTCACAGGAGGGGCTTCTGCGACCTCTAGGGCCCTAGAGCCCGGGAGGATGACAGACTGGGGGCCTTTCTTCCACCCCTGGGGCTGGGCAGACGCTCAGCCTGTGCAACCCGAAGCTGCTTCTGCCCAGTCCCAGCCGCGGCCCCTTTAAGAGGGGGTGGTGCTTCAGCCTGGCGCCAGGGACGCTGCCAGCATGCAGGCCCCGAGGGAAGCCGAGACTGCGCTTCGTGCGAGGCCCGGGCAGCATCGGCGGCGTGGTCAGAGCGAGTCTCGGAGAAGATGTGGTGGCTTCCGTTTGTTGGTGGAGGAGGTGGCAGGCCTCGGCGGTAAGTGGAGGGGGATGAACCCCACCTGGAACCCTCTGGGTCTCCCTACTCCTTCCCGGCCGCTCCCTGCTTTCGGGCCCTGACTTCTAAGTGGGCATCTGGGCCCGAGTCGTCAGCGTTGGGGCGGTTGTGGGATCCTGGCCTCTGCAGCGTCCACACCCCCGCCGGGAAGGCTATGCCCCGGTCCGACCCACGTCCAGCCTATAGGAGCGCCCTGGCCCAGAGCCGGCGGTGAAGCGCTGGACTGGGTCCCTCCGAGCCCCACGGGCCTCTGAGCTGGGGTCTAGGGTTATTTTTTATGCCTCAGGACCTTTAGAAAGAGACCTCGCTAGAGCAGGGGACATCTGTAGTTTCAATTCTTTGAGGAGTTTCCAGCTATTTAACTGTTTTCCATGGTGTGTACCCTAATTTTCATTTCCACCTACAGTGTATGAGTTCCCGTTTCTCCAAAACCAAACCCCCATTCCAATTTTTTTTGTTTTTGTTATTTCGAGACGGAGTCTCGCTCTGTCTCCAAGGCTGGAGGGCAGTGGCGCCATCTCGGCTCACTGCAACCTCCACCTCCCGGTTTCAAGCAATTCTCCTGTCTCAGCCTCCTGTGTAGCTGGGACTACAGGCGCCCGCCACCACGCCCGGCTAATTTTTGTATTTTTATGTTTAGTAGAGACGGGGTTTCACGATATTTGTCAGGCTGGTCTGAAACTCGTGACCTCAGGTGATCCACCCGCCTTGGCTTCCCAAAGTGCTGGGATTACAGACGTGAGCCACGGCTCCCAGACCCTCCTATTTTTAAAAAATTTTTCTAGGAATATTCAATAAGTGTGAGACTATCTGCGTGTGGTTTTGAATTACAGTATTCTAATGAATAGTTAATTTCGAGGACCTTATCTCTTATCTGTTGTTCGATTTTATATCTGTGCAGAATTGTCTCTTTAGGTTATTTGCGAAATATTAGATTGGATTCTTTTTCTACTTTGTACTCTTTTTTGTGTACACGTTAGTTGACAACTCCTCGTGAATTACATGATTGCCTGAAATTTTTGCATAATCTATGGGATGCTTTTTTATTTGGAAAGTAGTTTTCTTTGCCATGCAGAAACTTTTCACGTTGATGTAGTCCCATATTTTTTTTTTTTTTGCGTTTTATGCGTGTCATAATGGTCACCCATATTAGAAAATATGCATCAGTAACAAAGCATTTAATTGTCAGTGAGGTTTTTCTTCCAGGGTGTTTGTTTCTTTTCCTCTTTGCAAAGGTTAACAGAGATTCAAGTGACCCAAAATATATGCTCAACCTGTGTTTTACTTAAGTAAACACAGTAATTTTTTAAAAAACATTTTGTGGTTTATGGTATTTTGTTTTGGCCTTCAGTTGATGGGGGGGGCGGTTGATTTTCATACATCGTGTAAAATAAGGGTCCTGTTTCTCGCTTTTGCATCCGGATATCATTTTTCTCAAAGCTATTCATTGATCAGACTCTGCCTTCCACATTGTGGTGTTCTTTATCAAAGTCAGTTGACTGTGTCCATATTTGTGTTGTTTTTGTCCTCCCTGTTTTTGTCCATAGTTCTAGGTATTTCTTTTTATGCAAGTACCATATATCTACTGCATAACTACAACTTGGCAATTTAATTTGATATCAAGGATTGTGGGTTCTCACTTTGATTGTATTTCTCAGGATTCCTTTAGATATTCATTGCTTTTGTGGTTCCCTGTGATTTTTAGCACTATGTATTTATTTCTGTTAATTTTTTTACAACATAAAGGGCCATAATTAGGGGTACATTTTTATACATATAAATTGGGTAATGATCAAATCAGGGTACTTAGGATCTCTATTCCCTCATACAGGTATTATTTTTGTGTAAAGAGAACATTCAAAATTCTCCTTGCTCTTTAGAAAAATGTAATACGGTTAAGTCCAGTCACCAGGCTGAGGAGAACACTCAGATTTATTCTTTTAATGTTAAGATAACTTTGTTTCCATAACCAATCCTTCTCCATTCCCCTTCTGTCTCCCAGACTCTGGTAACCAATATTGTGCTTTCTACTTCTTTAAGATAAACATCTTAAGATTTCACATGAGTGGTATCATGCAGTGTTTGTCTTTCTAGGCCTAGCTCATCACATTTATCATAATGTTTTCCAGGTTCATCTGGGTTGCTCTAAATGACACTGTTTGATTATTCTGATAGCCGAAGAATATTCCCCAGTGTATGTATATGAGAGTTTCTTGATCTCTTTATCTGTGGGTGAACAGGTAGGTTGAATATATAGCCAGTAGTGGGACTGCTAGATGGTATGGTATTTCCTTTTTTTTTTTCTATTGTTTGCAGGACCCCCAACTGTTTTTTATAGTGTTAATACCAATTTACATTTCCACAAACAGTCCCCCTTTCTGGAAATTCATACCAGGAATTTTATTTTTAAATATTTTAATCTTTTTGTGATGTTCATTCTAGTTGGAGTGAGATAAGATCTGAGAGTGGTTTTGATCTACATTTTTCTCATGAGTAGTAATGTTAACCACGTTTTTATAAATGTTGAATCTGTTTTCTGTCTTCTTTGCACAAATATCTACTCAGGTTATTTGCCCAATTTTGGTCTGGTTATTTCTCTGTTGTTTTGTTTTTTTGCCAGCCGTTAGTGTTACTGGCTTGTGCCTTTTCAAAAGTAACCTGTTATCCACTGTATGTTTGCCCAAACTTTTCTTATAAGTTTTAGTATGCCTTTTCATTTTGTTCGTTGTTTCTTTCCTTTTTTGGGCACAAATTCTTCAGTTTGATGCGGTCCCACATGTAATTTCTTGGTTAGTGTGCTATTGTTTACTAATCAAGAAAAAACAAAATCACTGCCAAAGCAGTCCATTGTCAGTGATTTTTCCCTTGTATTTTTGTTACTTTTTGCAAACCGTGAGCATACATCCAAGTTTCCCTAAATATACATACACTCGAGGTTGTGTTTATAAGAGCTTTATGGTTGCAAGTTTTGTGAATTATTTCTGTATTATTTAGTACCACACTTTTTGTATTATTTAGTACACTAAATATATTTTGTATTATTTAGTACACTAAATATATTTTGTATTATTTAGTACACTAAATATATTTTGTATTATTTAGTATAAATACAAAATAATACAAAATAAAAATTTTTTTATTATTTAGTACACACTATTTGTATTATTTAGTACCACACTTTTTGCAAACCGGGAGCATACATCCAAGTTTCCCTAAATATACACACACTCGAGGTTGTGTTTATAAGAGCTTTATGGTTGCAAGTTTTGTGAATAATCTTTAATCCTTTTGAGTTAAAGTGTTTTTTTTTTTTGGTACCACAAGAGTCCTGTATTATTTAGTACCACAAGAATCCTGTATTATTCTTTTGCATATGGATATCTAGTTTTGGAAACCTTCCCCATTGTGTTGTTTTGGTGGTGTTTTGAAAAATGTGTTCACTCTGTGTAAATTTGTGTTTATTATTGAGCGCCCTCATTTTGCTCACTGGTCTGTGTTTCTCTGTGTATGCCAGTAACATATGGGTTGGTTAACTAGGGATTTTCCTTTAATTAGAACCCAGGGAATGTGATGCAGCCCATATGGTTTGTATTTCTCAGGATTGCTTTAGAAATTCAGGGTGTTTCATATTTCCACATAAATTTTGGCATTGTTTCTTTGTATTTCTTAAAACACTATTTGCTATATACTAAGTGTATATAAGCAGAGGGTACAAGAAAGATTTCGATACATGTATATGTTGAGTAATGAAAAAATCAGGTTATTTAGCATCTCTTCACCTCATAGTTACTACTTTTTGAGTGGTAACAACATTCAGAATCTTTCCTTCTAGCTACTTTGAAATATATGATACATTTGTATTAAGGCTAGTCACCCTGCTGTAGAATAGAAGACCAGAATTGATTACTGTCATCTAAGAGTAACTTTGTACCCATTACTGATTCCTTTCCAGACCCTCTCCACCTCCCCAGCAGCCTCTGGTAATCCCTATTGAACTTTCTACTTCTAGGAGATAAAGCTTTTTTCAGTCTACATGTCTGAGATCACATGGCATGGGACTTTCTCTACCAGGCTCATTTGTTGGACCTGATGTTCTCCAGGTTTCTTCATGTGGCTGCAGATGGCAGGATTTCCCAAAGCTTTATGGCTGAAACATATTCCGTGGTGTATCTGTATGGCAGTTTCTTCATCCCTGAAGCTGTGTACAGACAGGTAGGTTGGTTTTGTACCTTGGCCACAGTTAGGAGTGCTTTAGTACCCATGGGAAGGTAGGTAACTCTCTTCAACCTAGGGATTTCAAGTGCTTTAATTGTGGAACCAGTGATGGGGCTTCTAGCTGACATGGTAGTTGTACTGTGAATTTTTTCAGGAACCTCTAGCTGTTTTTCATAGTGTGTATACTAATTTACATCCCCACCAATAGCATTTAAGAGGTTTCTCTTCTGTAAGTCTACACTGGCTGTCACCTTTAAAAATTTGTGTTTTGTTTGTTTTTGGTAGTATTCATTCTGAGTGGAATGAGATGGACTCTTAGTGTGGTTTTTGTGGACATTTTTGTGGGGATTGGTGATGTCGAGAAAGTTATTTGAGAAATCCCCACATCGTTTTCCATGGTGTCTGAACTAGTTTGCATTTCTACCAACAGCAGACCAGCATCCTCTCCTCCTCTGCCTCGCTGGCATTCATTCTTGTGGACTGTGTCATAATTGTCATTCTGACCAGTGTGAAATACTATCTCATGGGCCTTTTGCTTTGCATTTCTCTGATGATTACTGAGGTAGAGAAATGTCCTGTCCGTTGGTTGCTATAAACCTTCCTTTGAGATGTGTGTTTTCATGCCCTTTGCCCTTTCTTCACTGAGTTTTTGTTTTGCTGATTTATTTGCTTAACATTTTTGAGGTAGATCCTGGATATCAGACTTCATGAGATGCATACATGGGGACATTATCTCCCATTGTGTAGGCTTTCTGTTTACTCTGTTGGTAATTTCTTCTGCTGTTCAGCAGCTCTTTTGTATATTAGGTCCCACTTGTCAATAATTGTTTTAGTTGCACTTGCTTTTGGGGACTTAGGCATATCCATGCTGTGCCAAATCCTCTGTCAGGAAGTGTATTTCCTAGGTTCCGTTGCAGGCTTTTAATAGTTTGAGGTCTTGCATTTACAGCTTTCATTCATCTTGAGTTAATTTCTGTACATGGTGAGACACAGGGGCCCACTGTTTTTCTTCTGCAACTGGCTAGCCATTTTATCCCAGCACCATCTATTGAGAGGAGGGAGTTCTTTCTCCAAAGCTTGTTTGTGTGGTTTTTGTTGAAGATGAAGAAATAGTGTCAACCTGGTGTTTGATGTCCAATGTTCACCAGGCTCCAGGTGGACACCTCTAGAAGTAGATCTTTACAGATGAGAATCTGGAACGGGTTTGCTGACCTGTTTTAGTCGAAATGAATTCCTGACCTTCTTGTCAGGAGGAAACAGAAACCTGATCATCTGTAGTGTACGGTGGTATCGTGATTACTTAAATCATCAAATGTGGTTATTGGGAATGATGTGCTTTTTCAAGTGGTATATGAGAGGTAAAATTGCTATTGTAGTTGACTGTTGCAGTTATAATTTTGTCAACATGGTCTGTAAGAGTGCAATGGAGTCGGCCCGGCGCGGTGGCTCACGCCTGTAATCCCAGTACTTTGGGAGGCCAAGGCGGGCCGATCATGAGGTCAGGAGATCGAGACCATCCTGGCTAACACAGTGAGACCCCGTCTCTACTAAAAATACAAAAAATTAGCCGTGCGTGGCGGCACACGCCTGTAGTCCCAGCTACTCGGGAGGCCGAGGCAGGAGAATGGCGTGAACCTAGGAGGCAGAGCTTGCAGTGAGCCGAGATTGCGCCACTGCACTCCAGCCTGGGCAACAGAGCAAGACTCCATCTCAAAAAAAAAAAAAAAGAGTGCAATGGAAAGCTGGTAGAAAATGGACATTGTTTAAAGACCAAAACAACCACACTACTTTGCTAATCCCTATCAGCTAAAGCCTAGAGAATATATGAGGCATAGATTTACATGGTGTTTGACTAAGGCATGCAGAATATAATCTTGACATAGGCTAAGTTTATCAACATGGATACATAGAGATTCTGAAGTTAAAGTCTTAGCCCAAGAAGTTAGAAGGGGTGCTCAAGTTTGTCTGACAGAAACTGTGAATCCACACTGGCCTGCTTATTTTGAGGTTGTGTTGCCAGAGCTTTCCTAGCATAATAAAGAGAGGTGCATACAAAGGAATAGGAATAGTAGGAGGTGGGGGTAAAAATATCAGGTGTGATCCACATGCCAAGCCGACCCCCACTGTGTCCCACAGGAAGCCCCAGAAGATGTTTCTCTAAGAAATTAAGGATTCGTTTGTTGGGGAGGGCTGCTGGCATGATTGAAAAGTACTGTGACGGCTGAATTTTGTGGGCTTGGGGAGATTGTGGGTTCTCTGATTTCAAGGGGAATGATGTGATCCTAGAGTTGCAAAGAACAAGTGACAGTGGAGGCGCTTATGCTTTGTGATTGCACTAGAGACAAGGAAGACACAACTAGAATAATGGGGAGCAGGAATGGAGCGGCCAACAGAATATCTGACTGTTAGGGATCTTTGATGAAGGCTGATTCTCAGGGAGTGAACTAGATCAGTGACCAACTATTTGTCTTTATATAACTGGGTAATGTGGATGGATTCTAATAAAGGGACTACTTACAGCACAGCAGGAAAGACACAAAGAAACCAGACAGAAGAGTGTAAGTAGTAAGGGGCCAAGCAGTCACCTGACTAGAGAGAGTGCCAGCTTGCCAAGAAGGCACCAGACAGAAGCTGTGATCTTCAGCAAAGGGACACAGTCTGCCTGTGCTGACCCTGCAGGGGCAGAGGTGGGGGATAAACACACTCTTCTCTCACCTGTCTTCTGCCACCCCCTCCATTAGCTGAACCCCAATAAAAGCATGAGGGTAAGGGAGATCTCTGCAGTATCCAATTCAGGTGAGCCTCCTAAGGAACAAAGCAGAACGTAGAAAAATTAAGAATGGGTCTAGGGAATAAAATAGAGATATGCACCGGAGTATGATGATGTGTCTGGGAAAGAATATACAAATACTTTTAAAATTACTAGACAATAAACCTGAGATGACACTAATACAGGTAAATCTCATTTAATGGTAATATATTCCAAGAAATGCATCATTACGTGATTTTGTGGCTGTGCGGACACCATAGAATGTAGTTTATACAAACCTAGACAGTGTAGCCTACTACATACCTAGGCTATATCGTACAGCCTATTGCTCCTGGGCTACACACCTGTGCAGCACGTCACTGTGCTGAATACAGTAGGCCAGTAGTCCCCAACACCCAAGCCATGGACCAGCACCGGTTCGTGTCCTGTTAGGAACTGGGCACAAAGCAGGAGATGAGTGGCTGGCCAGCCGAGCATTACTTCCTGAGCTCCACCTCCTGTCAGATCAGCAGCAGCATTAGACCTTCACAGGAGCGCAAACCCTATTGTGAACTGCACATACAAGGGATCTAGGTTGTGTGCTCCTTATAAGAATCTAACTAGGCTGGGTGCTGTGGCTCACGCCTGTAATCCCAACACTCTGGGAGGCCGAGGCAGGTGGATCACAAGGTCAAGACACTCCTGGCCAACATGCAAACCCCGTCTCTACTAAGAATACAAAAATTAGCTGGGTGTGGTGGCGCATGCCTGTAGTCCCAGCTACTCGGGGGGCTGAGGCAGGAGAATCACTTGAACCCAGGAGGCAGAGGTTGCAGTGAGCCGAGATTGTGCCACTGCACTCCAGCCTGGCGACAGTGGGAGACTCAGTCTAAAAAAAAAAAAAAGAAAAAATAGAATCTAATGCCTGATGATCTGATGATCTGAAGTGGAACAGTTTCAGCCCAAAGCCATCCCCACTCCATGGAAAAATTATCTTTCACAAAACCAGTCCTTGGTGTCAAAACTTTGGGGACCACTGCTGTAGGCAGTTATATCACAATAGTAATATCTAAACATGGAAAAGATACAGTAAAAACATAGTACATTGGGAGACCGAGGCGGGCGGATCACCTGAGGTCAGAAGTTCGAGACCAGCCTGACCAACATGGAGAAACGCCATCTGTACTAAAAATACAAAATTAGCTGGGTGTGCTGGCATGGGCCTGTAATCCCAGCTACTCATTAGGCTGAGGCAGGAGAATCACTTGAACCCCAGAGGCAGAGGTTGCAGTGAGCCAAGATCGTGCCATTGCACTCCAGCCTGGGCAACAAAATAAAACTCCTTCTCAAAAAAAAAGAAAGAAAGAAAAAAATATATATATATTACAAAAGTTAAAGAGAGTGGTACACCAGTATAGGACACCTAGCATGAACAGAGGTTGCAGGACTGGCAGTTGCTCTGATGAGTCAGTGAGTACTTGGTGAGTGAATGCAAAGGCCTAGGATATTACTGTACATAACTATAGACTTTATATGCACTGTACACTTAGGCTACACTAAATGTATTTAAAATTTTTCTTTCTTTAACAAGTTCATCTTAGCTTATCATAACTTTATAAACTTTTAATTTTTTTAACTTTTTGATTCTTATAACACATCTTAAAACAAAAACACATTGAACAGCTGTACAGAAATACTTTATATCCCTATTCGATAAGCTTTATTTATTTTTATTTTTTATGTTTTAAACTTTTTTGTTAAAAACTAAGATACAAACACACACACTAGCTTAGCCCTGTAAGGGTCAGGATAATCAATATCACTGTCTTCCATTTCCAAATCTTGTCCCAGTGAAAGGTCTTCAGGGACTTCAAGGGCAATAACATATATGCAGCTGTCATCTTCTATGATAACAAGGCTTTCTTCTGGAAGAACTCCTGAAAGACCTTCCCGACGCTGTTTTATAGTTAATTATTTTTCATGAGTAGAAGTACTACACTCTAAAATATGAATAAAATGTATAGTATTGTAAATACTGTTGACCCTTGAACAGTGCAAGGGTTAGGGGACCAGCTCCTGTGCAGTTGAAAATCCATATATAACTCTGGGCTATCCCCAAACTTAACTACTAATAGCCTATTCTTAACTGCAAGCTTTGCTGATCAAATAAACAATTAATGCATACTTTGTTAATTATATACTGTATTCTTAAAGAAAGAGAAAAGAAAATTCTATTAAGAAAATCATAAGGAGGAGGAAATATGTTTACTATTCATTAAGTGAAAGTGGATCATCATAAAGGTCTTCGTCTGCATATTCATGTTGAGCAGCCTGAGGAAGAGAAGAGGAGAAGTTGATCCTGTTGTCTCAGGGGTGGGAGAAGCAGAAGGAAATTTGCATATAAGTGAACTTGTGCATTTCAAATCCATGCTGTTCAAGGAGCAACTGTACATAAACTAGTCACATGATCATTTATTATCATTACCAAGTATGACATATGGTACATAATTAGATGTGCTAACCTTTAATGCCACTGACAAATGTAGTGGGTTTGCTTATACCAGCCTCACTGCAAACACATGAGTAATGCGTTGTGCTATGATGTCATCATGGCCACAGTGTTACTAGATGGTAAGAATTTTTCAGCTCTGTTATCTTAAGCGACCACCATTGTATGCAGTGTAGCATTTACCAAAAAACCATTATGCCACACAGGACCATATTTGGGGCTTTTAGTGTCCCCGTCCCCAAGATCCTTCTATTCAAAATGTGAGCTCATGCATGGTTTAAAATTTGTGATGGTGTGCAGTGGACACATGGTGGATTGACATATTTTTTTCTTTACTTTTGAATAGTTGGATTTTTTTTTTTTTCAAGACAGAGTCTCACTCTGTCGCCCAGGCTGGAGTGCAGTGGCGCGATCTCAGTTCACTGCAAGCTCGCAAGCTCTACCTTCTGGGTTCACGCCATTCTCCTGCCTCAGCCTCCTGAGTAGCTGGGACTACAGGTGCCCACCACCAGGCCCAGCTAATTTTTTATTTTTTTAGGCGAGACTGGATTTCACTGTATTAGCCACGATGTTCTTGATCTCCTGACCTCGTGATCCGCCCACCTTGGCCTTCCAAAGTGCTGGGATTACAGGTGTGAGCCACCAAGCCCAGCCGAAGATGACTTCTTAAAATAGACACGAAGTATGAAAATACTTGTAGCCCAAGTAAATTCTTATTAGAGGGAATCCACTGAAGAGGAGTAATCGTATGCATACAATGACATGTTATATAATAGATGTTAGTCAGCTGATACTTGTTCAATGGGCTCATGGACAGATGCACATAATATTAAGGATAGAAGGTATTCACGACTTTACATAATCAAATTGTATCTGGACCAATGTAGAACAACTAAGGCTAATATGACAGCCTTCCCTCAGGGGCTACCCAGTCAACTTGCAGATTGACGACATTGAAACCCATCCCTCAGGGATTTTGTTCTCACTGAAATAGACACTTATTCTGGGTACGAACTCACCCTTTACATTCGCAGTTGTTCTGCTGGTACTACCATGCGTGAACTTTAATTTGTTATTCACCATCATGATATCCCATACAAAATTGTTTTTGACTAAGGAATTCATTTCACTGCAAAAAAAAAAAATATGGTATTAGGCTCATGTTTGTGCAATTCATTGGATTTACAACATAATCCCCATCACCTAGAAGAATCTGACATGATGGAATGGAATCATGTAACTCAGTTAATGCTCCCAGCTGGTAAACAACACATAGTGAGGTTGGGATGTTGTCCTACAGTGTGTGGTATAAACTTAGAGTCAGTGACCACCATGTAGTGTTATTTATCTTACAACAAAAACACATGAATCTGAAAGTCAAGGGGAGGGGGCTCCCTGCACTATTATGCCTAATTTGCACTTGCAGACTTTTTCTTCCCTTTTGTGAAACTTTGGGTTCTCCTCATTTAGAGATATTGATTCCCCAGGGAGGAAACTAACTTCTTTTTTTTTTCTTTAATTTACAAAAGGTAGGCTACGTTTATTAGAGTCACACACAGTTGACTGTCTCAGTGTGACTCAAGACCACAAAAAACCCATTTTTCCTTCACTTCTGAGTCCTGGGGTTAAGACTTAGACCAGCAAGCGTACTGCTTGGGGTGGCTTCACAGGTTTACACGTTTTTCATTGAGGGCAATCTGTGACTGTGTGAGGTTGGCCAGGTAGGCCACCATCAACAGGTCATTGATGTTGCTGTGGAGCATGGTCTCAAAGTCATCGGGAACTATTTTCGGTACTTGGTTAACCAGGCTCATCAGGAAGTGGCCCACCTTCCTGATTGTATTGTCAGCTGACACCTTTGCAGATAGTATATCCTCTGCATATTGCAACACTATGCTCAGGGCATCCTGGATGTGAGCTGATGCCCCTCCTACTTGCTGCAGGTCACTTGAGAGTCCAACCACTCTGTTGGGGCTAAAGCAGGTCTTCATGATCAGGTCAACTCTGATGCATTCAGTGTCATAGTATGCATATTTCACTGTCAAAGGTGTGAACACTCCCACGGTCCTCCCAGGGACACCCATTAAAGTGCTGACATAGGCTTTGATGCTCATATGGCCGTTCTGGAGACTTGTGTCCACAGTGAGGTGGATGGGGTTGGGGGCCTCTCGGCTGTAGTACTCATGGATCAGCACAGAGTGCTCTGTGATGTCATGGCCGGCAGCGTACCACCCCAAGATGAGCTCATTTGGAGAAACTTTTTTATGCAGTTCATACATGTTCTTAGCAAATTCCATGTCAACAACCACTTCATCTGACTCATTGTATGACACTGAAAAGCAATTGGTGACCTCCACAGAGTGTTTGTTGACAGTTCCCAACAGGGTCCCGATAACTCGGGCAGCACCCTTGTTGCGTCTCTCATAGCTGTCCACAGTGGAGGCCAAAAGGACTGGGTGCAGCCTGACCACACGGCCACCAGGGAAGGGCCCTGGAAGAGCAGGACCAGGCAGAGTGGGTGCTGGGGTCTGCACTGGAGCTTGTGCTGAGGCCAGGGTCTGGCTTTAGATGACAGGTTTCATTAAGTGGAAGCTGAAATACCATTTGGGGATATTTAGTTCTTCTTGAAACTAACGGTAAAGAAAACAGCAGACCTATTAACAGGTAATTGATCTAGAGATAGCCAAGGTGAAATTGGGTTTCTCTATTCAGTAGGGGCAGGGAGGACTATGTGTGAAACACAGGATTATCTCAGTCATTCCATGTGTGATAGTACATGAAAGAGATGAGCAGTTGTAGTGCTGTTCACTGTGCAAAAGTATCCCTTCTTCCTAACGTGGGAGGGCTGCTTTTGCAAATATGTCTGTGCTATTTCTCACTGGTCCTGCCTCTTCTGTTCTTGGAATCAAACTCAGTCCATGACAGATCCCACTACTAGCTGAATTTCTTTATTAGACTTTCACAAATGAAATTTTGTATTAGCAACTCAGGGGATTTCTTTAATTTTGCAAAAGTATGTCATCCTAATTTATTATTTTTTCCCTAAGATCTGGCAATGAGCATCGGTTCTCCGCTTCCTTTCTTACCCTGCTTACTCACAGCTGCTTCAGGTGACCTCCTTTTTAGGTTCAGAGTTATGGCTGACTTCTGCTTTAATCAAAACGAATGTATTTTGGTTTCTCATTTTGTTTATTGCTTCTATCTTCAAATTAGAAATCCTAGAGCTCATTAGATTTACTTTTATGTTTATTTTTGAAAGAGCATCCTGCTCTGTCACCCAGGCTGGAATGCAGTGGTACAATGACTGCTCATTGCGGCCTTGACCTCCTGGGCTCAAGTGATTCTCCTGCCTCAGCCTCCCGAGTAGCTGGGATTACAGGCACCTGCCACCACACCTGGCTAATGTTTGTATTTTTAGTAGAGACAGGGTTTCACCATGTTGGCCAGCTGGTCTCAAACTCCTGATCTCAGGTGATCTGCCCACCTTGACCTCCCAAAGTGCTGGGATTACAGGTGTGAGCCACCATGCCCAGCCGATTTTTATGACCATGAATGGGGACAGATTTCTTAAACAGATCACAAAAAGCCATAGTTTTAAGGGAATAAATTGATAAATTAGACTATATTCAAATTAAGAATTTCTGTTTATTAAGAGACACCACTAAGAAAGTGACAAGACAAGTTGCAGAGTGGAAACAGATCTATGAACACATAGAACTGACAGAGGGCTCACATCAACAATATGTAAAGAGCTCTTAAAAATCACTAAGAGAAAGAACAATGGGTAAAACACTTAAACATGTAATTTATAAAAGCAAAACTTGAATGTGTTCAGCTTTCTTAATATTCATGTAAATGCAAATTAACATCACAACAGGATAACATATCCTCCAAAACGGCTAAAATGTAAAAGATAGAACACCAAATGTTGGAGAGAATCTGGAGCAACAAGAACTCTCATCACTGCTGGAGGGGACACTGTGTTTGGCATTGAATAAAGGTTCTAGAAAGGAGCACATTTAGGACTCAGGTATTTCACTCTTAGGATAACAGAAACGCATGCACATCTGCATCAA
This sequence comes from Homo sapiens, assembly GCF_000001405.40. Classification (NCBI taxonomy): domain Eukaryota; kingdom Metazoa; phylum Chordata; class Mammalia; order Primates; family Hominidae; genus Homo; species Homo sapiens. The sequence goes on from NW_011332699.1 coordinate 207,642, forward strand.
AAGACATCTATGGAAATGTGTGTGGCATCATTCTCTGTCATTGGAAAAATATCTTGAAACAAAACCCAAATGTGACTTCTGTTTTCCAGCTTGGAAGCTGTCACTCCTGTCCTCACAACAACAACAAAAAACACCTTGAACAAACTGAAAATTAACAACTTTTCTTAGATCCATCAGAGACTTGAGGTTAACAGGGCAAACCGTTATCCCCCAAATTTGAGAGGCAGTGAGTCCCAGCCTAACAGGATCGGAGGCTGGCCACTGAAGCCAGAACCACGGTGGGAAGACTTACATGTAAACAACAAATCGCTGGAGGCTCCATGCACATAAACTTGGGAATTAAGAATTAAGGGAGCCCAGTCTTAGGGGGCCCTACACTTTCATGAACCTCCGAGAGCTCTGCCAGATGCTCTTATGCACATCAGAGAAAAATTCCCTCCTGCTTCCCACAGGGAAGGGGAAAAGTAACTACTTTGAAATACGCCCTGGGTGTTCCGTTCTCCTTAGCAAAAGCCTGCCCCAGGGAAACTATTTCACAAGAGTCTAACCACCTTGGGCTTTAGCAGGGCCTAACACATGTTAGAATAAGAATAAAAATTGCATCAAACTTTTCTTCAGAACCCATGCAAGCAAGCAAGAAAATTCCACCAACCTAAAATTCTGTATTCTGCAAAATTATCTTTCCAAAGTGAAGAAAAAGACTTTCTCAGAGAAACACAAATTTGCTGTCAGTAGATCTGTCAAAATGTTAAAAGAAGTTATCCAGAGAGAAGAAAATGATATAGGCTAAAAACTTGGAACTACATAAAGAAAAAAGGTTTTAGAGAAGGAAGAAAGGGGCTTCCTGCCTCCCTCCTCCATGGGGCACTGGTGCTATGCCCAGCACCCAGATGCCCCTACCCAATGCTGAATAAGAACACAGAGCACCGTGAATGGCTGGCTCTAAAAGGAAAAGTGGAAGACTTGTGTTCTCAACCCACAGCTGCTACTGCTACATTTAAAGACACTGCAGTGAACATTGTAAGTTCTCTGGCTCATGGAGGGAGGAATCTATTCCAAAGACTCTGAGAAAAACTGTAAATTAAACACAAATATGGTGGAAGCTGGTTCCTGAGCTTTATTGATGTTAATAATGCACCTTATTGGCCAGGCACAGTGGCTCATGACTGTGATCCCAGCACTTTGGGAGGCCAAGGTGGGAGGATCACAAGGTCAGAAGATCGAGTCCAGCCTGACCAACATGGTGAAACCCTGTCTCTACTAAAAATACAAAAATTAGCTGGGTGTGGTGGCACGTGCCTGTAATCCCAGGGACTCAGGAAGCTGAGGCAGGAGAATCGCTTGAACCCGGCAGGTGGAGGTTGCTGTGAGCTGAGATGGCACCACTCCACTACAGCCTGGTGACAGAGGAAGACTACCTCTCAAAAAACAAACAAACAAACAAAAAACAAAAACAAAAAAACAAAAAACTGGTCACCTTTTCACCATATACAAAAATTAACTCAGGTTGGATTAAAGATTTAAATTTAAGACCTCAAACTACAATAATCCAAGAAGAAAAACTTCAAAAGTACCATTCTGGATATGGGCTATGGGAAATAATTCATGACTAAGTCTTCAAAAGAAATTGCAACAAAAGCAAAAGTTGACAAATGGGACCTAATTAAACTAAAGAGCTGCCACACAGCAAAGGAAACCATCAGCAGAGTAAACAACCTACAGAATGGGGGAAATTATTCACAAACTATGCATCCAACAAAGGTCTAATATTTAGAATCTATAAGGAACATAATTCAACAAGCAAAACACAACCCCATTTAAAAAGGGGCAAAAGACATAGACACTTCTCAGAAGGAGACATACATGCAGCCAACAACCATGAAAAAAATGCTCATCATCACTAATCATGAGAGAAATGCAAATCAAAACCACAATGAGATATTATCTCACACCAGTCAGAATGGCTATTTTTAAAAAGTCAAAAAAAAAAAATAGCAGATACTGGCAAGGATAAGGAGAAAAGGGAATGCTTATACACCTTTGGTGGGAATGTAAGTTAGTTCAGCCACTGTGGAAAGCAATTTGGAGATTTCTCAAAGATCATAAAACAGAACTAACATTCAACCCAGCAGTCTCATTACCGAATATGTATCCAAAAGAAAACAAATCATTCCACCAAAAAGACATATGCACTTGTATGTTTATTGCAACATTATTCACATTAGCAAAGACATGGGATCAACCTAGGTGCCCATCAACAGTGGACTGGATAAAAATGTGGTACATACAGACCATTGAATACTATGCAGCCACAAAAAAGAATAAAATTATGTTCTATGAGGGAAAATGGATAGAGCTGGAATCCAGGAAGTGAACTAATGCAGTAAAAGAAAACAAACGCCTCATGTTCCTATAAGTAGGAGCTAAATTCTGAGTACCCATGGATATGAAGATGGTGACAATAGACACTAGGGACTGCTAGGAGGGGGAGGGAGGAAGGAAAAGGTTGAAAAACTGCTGAGTACCATGTTCAGTACCTGGGGGTTGGGATCATTCACACCCCAAACCTCAGCACCACACAATACACCCAGGAAAAAACCTGCACGTGTACACCCTGAATCTAACATAAAAGTTGAAAAAGAAAAAACAGAATGGAATCTCTGTTTATTCTCAACGTATCAGTTGTGCCACTCTTCAATTTGAAACTCTCACTATTGGCTATATTTGGGGGTGCCCTATTTCCCATCTCATAACTTATTTTAAGAACCACAGCAAAATAATGTGTGGGCTTGGCATTCAGTTTTTGAAACAAAACACTGAGCCTTCAATGACCTTCCTGTACATGTAAAAGCACACCTGTCTGCATGGCAGCAGTTGGACCTCACAATGTGGATTGTGCCTTCACCCTGGAATGTTTATGCCCTATCGCCATGGTGATGGGATTAGGGATCTCCTGCCCTTGGTCCTAAGTGCCACTGTCTGTGATGAGTTTTTCAAAGGTCAGAGCAGATTGAACCTTTGTGGTTTCATTTTCCCTGATTTTGATTTTTCTTATGGGGAACCTGTGTTGCTGCATTCAAGGTATGTTCATACTGGCCTGTCAAATGCGAACTCTTCAAATTACTAGTTAATGCTTTCAAAATATGTTATTTAAAAAATTATCCTCTGTATTTTCCATATGCAGTTATAAATATGTTTCATGGCTATGTTTTATTCCTCAATTTATATGTTTGATTATTGTACCAAGCAGAGTACCTTTGAAATTTTTCTTCATTTAAAAAATATGTATCTTGGCTAAGGCCTGTAATCCCAGCACTTTGGGAGGCCAAGGCAAGAGGATCACAAGGTGAGAAGATCAAGACCATCCTGGCCAATACAGTGAAACCCTGTCTCTACTAAAAATACAAAAAATTAGCCAGTCATGGTGGCAGCTGGTGTACTCCCAGTGTGGTGTAGTCCCAGCTACCTGGGAGGCTGAGGCAGGACTATCGCTTGAACCCGTGAGGCAGAGGTTGCATTGAGCCAAGATGGCGCCATTGCACTCCAGCCTGTGCAACAGAACAAGACTCTAAAACAAAATTATATATATATGTAATATATAATATATATAATATGTCATAATATATGTAATATATATTATATGTCATATATATGTAATATATATTATATGTCATAATATAATATATGTAATATATATTATGTCATACTATATATTATATATTATATATTATATATCGTAAATAATATATATAATTATATACAATTATATATAATTATATAATTACATATATAATTTTATATATTATTTATAATAATTATATCTATATCATTATATATATTACATATAATTATATATTATTATTTATTATATATAATATATTATATATAATATAAGCATTCAGGATGTAAAAGGAAATTATATATGTGTTATATATGTTATATATATTATATTGTATGTAATTTTATATATATATGGGGTTGCCCTATTTCCCATCTCATAACTTATTTTAACTAGCACAGCATAATAATGTGTGGGCTTCGGATTCAGTTTTTGAAACAAAACACTGAGCCTTCAATGACCTTCCTGTACATGTAAAAGCACTCCTGTCTGCCTGGTAGCAGTTGGACCTCACAATGTGTATTGTGCCTTCACCCTGGAATGTTTATGCCCTATCGCCAAGGTGATGGGATTAGGGATCTCCTGCCCTTGGTCCTAAGTGCCACTGTCTGTGCTGAGTTTTTCAAATGTCAGAGCAAATTGAACCTTTGTGGTTTCATTTTCCTTGATTTTTATTTTTCTTATGGGGAACCTGTGTTGCTGCATTCAAGACATGTTCATACTGGCCTGTCAAATGTGATCATTTCAAATTACTAGTTAATGCTTTCAAAATATGTTATTTAAAAAATTATCCTCTGTATTTTCCATATGCAATTATAAATATGTTTCATGGTCATGTTTTATTCCTCAATTTATATATTTGGTTATTGTACCAAGCAGAGCACCTTTGAAATTTTTCTTCATTTAAAAAATATGTATCTTGGCTAAGGCCTGTAATCCCAGCATTTTGGGAGGCCAAGGCAAGAGGATCACAAGGTGAGGAGATCAAGACCATCCTGGCCAATACAGTGAAACCCTGTCTCTACTAAAAATACAAAAAATTAGCCAGACATGTTGGCAGCTGGTGTAGTCCCAGTGTGGTGAAGTCCCAGCTACCTGGGAGGCTGAGGCAGGACTATCACTTGAACCCGTGAGGCAGAGTTTGCAGTGAGCCAAGATGGCGCCATTGCACTCCAGCCTGTGCCACAGAACAAGACTCTGTCTGCAAAAAAAATATGTATATAATATTTATTATATATACATAATATTTTTCATATATTGTTATATAATATTTTATATATTGTTATATAATATATTATATATCATATATCATATAATATATTATATATCATATATCATATAATATATTATATATCATATATCATATAATATATTATATATCATATATCATATAATATATTATATATCATATATCATATAATATATTATATATCATATATCATATAATATATTATATATCATATATCATATAATATATTATATATCATATATCATATAATATATTATATATTATATATCATATAATATATATTATATATCATATAATATATATTATATATCATATAATATATTATATATAAAATATAGATTATATATAATATATGTCATGATATATATAATTTACATATAATATATATTATATATTATATATGTAATATATAATGTATATTATATAATATATATCATATATAGTTTCATATAATATATATTATATGTCATATATAATATAGATTATTTACATTATATATTACATAATATATTATATTATAATATATTTTATATATTATATTATATATAATTATATATATGTAATTACATTATGTATATATTTATATATATTATACTGATATATATAATTACATATTATGTATTATTATATTCTATATAACATGAGGATGCAGGATGTAAAAGGAAATGATATATATTATATATAATATTATATATATAATATATAAGATGACATATATTTTATATTATATATATAATATATAAGATGACATATATTTTATATTATATGACATATATAATATATAGTATTATATATAATATGTTATATATATTTTATATATAATATGTTATATATATTATATATGTAATATATATAATATATATTCTATATTATATATAATTATATAATATATAATTAATATATATATCATATATATTATATATAATATATAGCATATATATTTCATATATAATATATAATATATATTTGAAACAAAACACTGAGCCTTCAATGACCTTCCTGTACATGTAAAAGCACACCTGTCTGCATGGCAGCAGTTGGACCTCACAATGTGGATTGTGCCTTCACCCTGGAATGTTTATGCCCTATCACCATGGTGATGGGATTAGGGATCTCCTGCCCTTGGTCCTAAGTGCCACTGTCTGTGCTGAGTTTTTCAAAGGTCAGAGCAGATTGAACCTTGTAGTTTCATTTTCCCTGATTTTTATTTTTCTTATGGGGAACCTGTGTTACTGCATTCAAGGTATGTTCATACTGGCCTGTCAAATGCGATCTTTTCAAATTACTAGTTACGTCTTTCAAAATATTTTATTTAAAAATTTATCCTCTGTATTTTCCATATGCAGTTATAAATATGTTTCATGGTTATGTTTTATTCCTCAATTTGTATATTTGATTATTGTACCAAGCAGAGTACCTTTGAAATTTTTCTTCATTTAAAAAATGTGTATCTTTTCTCAGGCCTGTAATCCCAGCTCTTTGGGAGGCCATGGCAAGAGGATCACAAGGTGAGGAGATCAAGACCATCCTGGCCAATACACTGAAACCCTGTCTCTACTAAAAATAGAAATAATTAGCCAGGCATGGTGGCAGCTTTTGTAATCCCAGTGTGAATTGGGATTCAGTTTATTCCCAAATTCCCAAATTATATATATATATGTATTTTATATATATAATTGTATATATAATTATATAATATATAATATAGATATATAATATATATAATATATTATTTATATATTATATATATTGTATAATATATATTATACATATATAATTATATTTATAATATATGTATAATTTCCTTTTACATCCTGCATCCTTCAACGTTCCATCCCCCACCCCACAGATTAATTATTCCCTAGGGGAGAATATGGCAAAGTCTATTTTAATTCAGTTTTTAACCTAATTAAGAACCTATGAAATCATTACTTTCCAAAACTTTGGAACAAAGCCACAGTAGTATGGATGGGTTGGAGGCTTTTCACACCATAAAATGTACCTATCTTTGTTTTTAACATGTTTTTCCCTTCCTCTCTTCTTTTTTTGTGAAATGTGTATTTACTTTAATAAATTTGTAGTAAGTCATTTCCATTCACATATTAATTTTTTAAAGTAATAAGAACGTGTATTGTCTGCGTGTGAAATAAAACTCACATTTATTTTTATGCTTTTGGAGTTATCCAAAATCATGGAATTGTCAATCACAGTCAATCACCCAACCTACTCACCTTTCCAGTGTAATCTTAGTCAAATTTTTTTTTGTTATCCAATGAGATGCAGTATTTCAACTCAGAAAGATAAATAGAATTAATTGGTAGAGACTATTAACTAAGAACATACAGTTTTATTTATACTCAGAAGCAAGTAGATTATGTACATATATATGAAGATTAAAATTAAAAGGATAATTGTGTAAATTTGCCTGTAGAGAGCTTTGAAATCCTGTTTACTTGTTAATGCTGTTTTGATGTATTGTGTGACTTTGTTCTCCCGACCCATCATCCAGAGCTCTCTGCAGGAGCTAAGTGCTCATCAGTTCCATGACTTGGCAACTGTCTAAGTTTAGAGGCACTTGTATTTGTTAGTAAATAAGGCAAGATGATATTGTTTCACAGGTTTTAGTGCAGAAGACTGAATAGATAAGCTGCTCCACCCAGTACACTGGTGTTCATTTCATGGTCATCTCATCTGTTAACCATGGATAAAAAACACTTATCTTCAATGATCTTCCTGTACATGTAAAAACACACCTGTCTACATGGCAGCAGTTGGACCTCACAACGTGGATTGTGCCTTCACCCTGGAATGTCTATGATGCCCTATCGACCATGGTGATGGGATTAGGGATCTCTTGCCCTTTGCTCTGCCACTGTCTGCACCAGCCAGGCCACTGGGCCATTGTGGCAGATGGTGATGCCCTTTGTGTGGAGCGCACTGTGTGTGCGCTGAGGCAGACACAGTACTTTTGACAACTTTATCTGCTTCTTTCAAAACTGGGTCTGCATTATGATAAAGTGGTTGGTTTTAGGCCAAGCAGGTGCATGTCATAGAACAATGACTTGGGAGTTCAGAATCCTGGGCGTGAATAAGCCTCTGAGCCTTATTAAGCTGTGAAATCTAAAGCAAGACATTTCCCTGATAATTAAGCCTCATGAGCACTTATACTGTACACTTTACCTACATCAAATCATTCGGCCATCACCACAGACAAATGGCATGATTGATTTACTATCACCTTTTACTGGGCAGAAAAAGACAGAGATGAATGTGCCCAAGCTTATTAGCCCCTCAGCAAAAGAGCCAAGATGGGAACCCAAGCATACAGCCCCAATGCTGAGGCTCTGAACTACTGACCTGCCCTCAGCACTCAGCCTTGGGATCATGAGTCACTGTGCAAGGGAGTCCCAACATCTGCATGTATGTCTGGAATGATCTGAGCCTGTAGAGTTCCTACACACTGGCCACATTATAGGGTGGTGTCTGTGGTCACACAGCTCAGGGCAGGTATTAGTACATGAATAGCTTAGCGGTGTCATAGTCTTTATGTGAAAGGCTCATAAAAGCCCAAATGCTTTTGAACTGGTTGCGGATTTTGAGTTGGAGGAACACTTGGGACAACCGGTCACATTCCTTCAGTGCGCGGCCACTCCTCAGCACATATCCCAAAGCCGGTAAATAATGGGAAGACCCTGTACTGATGTTTGATGGTGTTATGAACTTCAAATGACCCCTATAGAAATGTTAAAAAAAAAAAAAGTCTGTGAGCTACACAACCTGGGGACAAGACAAGAACACAAAATACCACTAAATAATGAGCCTCATGTGTCACCCTGCTTGCAACTCCCTTGGCAGCTGGTTTCAAGAGCCTCAGTGCTCACCAGGGCCCATCTCCCTGCTCTGCCCTCTCTCGCTGTGGGTTGCCTGGGCTGAACATGGGCAGCCCCTCACACGATGACTGCAAACACAGGGCAAAGGAAGACTGAACGGAAAATGTATGGTTATAGTGGTTATTTTAAAATATAAGTATTTCAGTATTTTCTAATCTTTAATTATTATTTTTAGGGGAGGTTTTTTTTTTTTTGAGACAGAGTCTTGCCCAGGCTGGAGTGCAGTGGCATGATCTCAGCTCACTGCAACCTCTGCCTCCTGTGTTCAAGCGATTCTCCTGCCTCAGCCTCCCAAGTAGCTGGGACTACAGGCACGTGCCACCACGCCTGGCAAAGTTTTTGTGTTTTTAGTAGAGATGGGGTTTCATTCTGTTAGCCAGGATGGTCTCAATCTTCTGTCCTCATGATCCACCCACCTCAGCCTCCCAAAGTGCTGGGATTACAGGCGTGAGCCACCACACCTGGCCTGATTTTTTATTTTTTATTTTTTTGAGATGAAGTCTCTGTCACCCAGGCTGGAGTGCAGTGGTGCAATCTCAGCTCACTGCAATCTCTGCCTCCAGGTTCAAGGGATTCTCCTGCCTCAGCCTCCTGAGTAGCTGGGTTTTTTTTTTTTTTTTTTTTTTTTTTTTTTTAGTTGAGATGGGGTTTTACCATGTTGGTCAGGCTGGTCTCGAACTCCTGACCTCAAATGATCCGCCCACCTCCACCTTCCAAACTGCTGGGATTACAGGTGTGAGCCACTATGCCTGACTATTTTCATAACCAAGAAAAGAAATAAGTACAATTAATGCTGGTGCATGGTATTAAATCTAGTTTTTAAAAAATTCACACATAAACAAGGCAGAACCCTATACCCTCCATGATAAATGCAGTAGCAGTGTATGTGGGTCTGTGGAGGTTGAAAGGGACTTGGTAGATGTCAAGAAGGTAGTGGCAGTCTTGCTGGGCTTTTAAAGGGTCTGAAGAAGTGACAGGATGCTGTGGTTGAATCCTAGCATGTATTTTAGCATTTGTTCATTTGGAGTTTGATTATTTCACGTTGCTTTCATTTGCCATTACCTGGAAAGCCAAGGGCTCTACTCTCATTTCCTTGCTCCTGTTTCTTTGCCTTCCTTGGTCCGTGAAGAAGATGGTCCAGGAGAAGCTCATTCCATGCTTGTTAACCAGGCACACCCCTAAGTTCCAGTCCCTGAGTCATTCATGAGTAGCACTGCCAATGAACTGACAGCCATGCTGTGTCCCTCCACATCCCCTAGGTGACTCGAAGAATTCTTCCAAAAAGCGTGTGAAAAGGGAGCCCTACTCTACTACCAAGGTAAAGCAGCCTGTCTTTGCCTAAGATGTAAATGTTGTTTTCTTGGATCCTTTATTTTTCGGTTGATATCAGCTATGGGAAAATTATCCACTACATTATAGATGTTAGATAATATTTCCTTGGGGATGGAGGAGGTGTATTTTACCAACTGACACCTGATTCCAGAGGACGTGCAAAATTGGCAGTGTCAGATAATACACTGCGTGTTAAGGGATGTTTTCTTCAGGAACAAGCTTTCCACTTTAGATAAGAATTCTTCAATTGCTACTCAAAAATTACCTAGACAGAAACATTCTTCAAGAAAAGCTCCTGTGCTTTCCTAAGGGAACTCTACTCTAGAGTTGGGGCTTTTGACTTGAACCTTATTTCCAATCTTGGTTACCCAGAGTTTCCAAGTGAACAAAAGACCTGTGTGAGCCATCCATAGCATAGCCTGATTCTCAGAGTGTTTTCCTTCTCTAATTACAGGTGACTTCAGGGAGCACATTCAATGGTACGTATTCTGGAATCACTCACTGGTTGTTAGAAAAGGATTCTACAGGAAATCTGGAGCTTAACTGCTGGCTTTTGTCTGGAGAGCCTCCATGATCCAAGATATCTTGTGGGAATGAGGATGTGGGGTATAGTAAAAGAAACTGGTTTTCCAGGTGACATACTCTTTTTATCTATTTATAGTTTCTGGGAACGTGTTCACATTAGGTTGTGTGTGGTTATGTGTGTATTAGGGCGGGGGTGGGGTGAGGTGGTCTGTGTGCAAGTCTGCATGATTTGCTTGTGAATGTGTGTCTATGTGTGTTTTCCCTAGGAAAAAAATGTTGTGTTTACCCAGCACAACTCTCAGTGCCATTTTTCTTAATTTAACAAGTCAGACCACATACTTTACTTACATTAGTTCACACCTCATCATCATCATGCCCATATGTTGTGAGCTTGTTTATTGAGCCCACATGCCAGATGGAGAAACTAAGCCACATAAATAAATGTGCCCTGGTTCACTTGCTGCATAGTGAAGAGTCAAAATGTTTACTCATATGGTGCTAATGTTGAAGGCCTGAACTACAACCTCTATTTATCAGCCAGTGAAGAGATCACTATTCACCATGCAAGGGAGTTCCAGCACCCTCTATGCCTGGAATTACCCACGCCTGCAGAGATCCCAAACGCCACCCCTCACATAAGAGAGCCTCATGATCTCATAATCCAGGTAGCTATGTAGACACCTTCCTGCAGGTGTCACATAGTCCTTTGTGTGAAACCAACATAGAAAGCCCATGTTTCTGATCAAATCACAGGTTCTGAAACACTAAGGGAGGCACTAAGTAGGACAACGTGGTGCCTGCGTGTCATAGCTGGGTCTCCTCAAGACATGGATCAAGTCCAGTAAGAATTGGGGAGACGCTTTAGAGTCTTGATGGAGTTATCACCACAAGCCCTCTGAGCTACACACATTAGGGATCATGACCATTAAGTACTCAAATTACCATTTGGTTGTTATCCGGGTATCTGTCGTCCTTGTGGCAACCCTCTTGTGAAGCTGGTGTGGACAGCCTCAGTGCTGGAGCTGTGCCTCCCTTCTGAGTGGACCCTTTCTGTGTTAGCAGGTGGGTACAAGCGTGGGGGTCAGCACACTCAGTGGATTTACACACACAGCATTAAAGAGTAAGGCTGCGCTTTGTTTATACATTTTCAATAAATGATGATCTTCATAACATAAAATCAATGATGTAGTACACTAGAATACTGTCCCTAGTATTGAATCTTGTCTCTCAACAAAGGGTTGCTTAAAGTCACATGACAGATTCCATTCAACTGATGACACATGCTGTAGCAGCAGTTAAAGCAGTCATTTGAAAAGGCTTTTACTATAAACTTATGTGTGAGCCTGAAGTGGGGGATAAAAGAGGTGATTAGCTACCCTGTGCCATGTTTCTATTATGTGTGTGGTGGAGGAAAATTACACAGGAAGGTGATGGAGAGAACAGAGCAAAGGATTGGACAGGTCCATTGAACCCATAAGACTATGTTGAGGTTAGTGAATGAGACTGGTCATTTTAGGTCAAATTTTACCCAGAGCTGGTGCAACCACTGCCCATTCTTAGCCAGACCTTATTGCAGGTAGCTCTGATCAATAGTCAAGGAGGCAGTGGGGGTTGCAGACTTAATTCATTAAATCACCAAAGCACCAGCCCACATGGCCACTTTTCCAGTTAATTCACAGTAGCTTGCATATTCAGGTTTGATCATTGGAAGCGAAGTTACTCTTTGCAGACCCATCTTTTGACAATCATTTTGCAGTGTCAGAAGGTCTGAGCAGCCTCGGGAGGCAAGCAGTCCCTGGTCCCTCAGTGTAGTCACTGGAGGAGACAGTCACTGAGAGGCAGCTGGCAGGGTGAAGGGAAAGGGGAGGCAGGCCACAGAGATGACAGCCTTTAAGCTGTCATACTGGGGAAGTCAAGGATCTGAAAGAGGAAGGAGAATTCTTTATCATTAAGGACCTGTCCTTATCTCAGGCATTTCCTCCAGAGCATCACCTTTGTCCACCCACACACCTTGGGCTAGGAGGACTGGGGAAAGACAGTGAAGGGCCTCTTGGGTCTCTGGCACAGGGCGTGATGAAGAGGTGGCAGTTTTTCAGGAAACTCTCTCTCTAGGGAACCAAATACATTTCCCATCTCAGGTCCTTCACTCAGCGGGGTTGAGGTTCTGCTCGTCACTTATCATCTCTGAATGTCAGCACCCTCAAGTGTAAAATCTCAGCCACAGCCCCTCCTCTGCACCCCCTGCAGGGCTGATGTTCTCCATAAACCATAAGGCATCATGCCCACGGAAAAGCTGAACAGGAAAGCATGCTCCACTGCCCCGGAGCCATCCAAGTTCCCCCTCCATATTCCACCACTGCTAAGTGTCCAGCTTATTCCTCCTGGCATGTAGTAAACACTTAGAGAACATTACTGAAGTACCAGTCCTCTCTAAGGTTTTCCTGTATTTAGTGATTTTTTAGCCCCGTACTGTGATACTAAGAAGTAGGGCCTAAATAGGGCCTAAAAAGTATTGCTAAAATTACATTATGACAGTGCAGAGAACTGAGGGCAGAGGGAGGACATGAGATTTCTAGGTCCACATGGCTTAGTGGAATTTGAATCCGGGCCCCCACTCTGCACCAGCCCTGCACTCACAGTCATCCTGCTGTGTTCTCCTCTCCAGGAAGGCACTGCCCACACAGTCTGTCTGATAGAGGTGTTGAGTGCTCACTGAACTCCGTGATCTTCCTGAAACCCAACTTTGATTCAGTGGGCTCTGCTTGGAAGCCTGTAAAGAAAAACATCATAAGTTTAAACTTAGAACAGATTATCACTGTTTTCCCTCTGGTCTTCAGTCAGCAAGATGTCAACAGCCCTATCTATTGTAAATGCGTTAACCAGCATCTTCTCTGATAGAGAATACAAGAAGATATGCTGTGCACACCAACCAGTGTCGGAGACCTCATGGCTCCCCGGTAAAGAAGAAGATGTACCCACAAGAAGGTACTGTGGAAGTTCATTAATTAAGTTGCTTCAAGAATTGCAATTGCGGGGAGTATTCAGTGTCCCATATGTAAGAGGAAACTATGAAGAGACTAAGCCATATTTTTTAATGTGTCAGGATTCTAATTTGCCTGGTCAGTAAATATTGCTACAACCACAAAAGTAAATATCTACTTAAAAGTCAATTGTGGTTCATGTTTAATGATAGACAATGTTTCAAGCTAATGTCTAGAACTTACCTGGTTGTTAAACATAAGCATAGATCTCCCTGAAAGAGTGGTGCTATATTATTATTTTTCAATTAATATATTTCTTTAGAGAGTTTTAAATTGACATAAAAACTGAGCATATGGCCAGGCGTGGTGGCTCACGCTTATAAACCCAGCACTTTAGGAGGCCAAGGCAGGCGGATCATCTGAGGTCAGGAGTTGGAGACCAGCCTGGCCAACATGGTGAAACCCCATCTCTACTAAAAATACAAAAAAATTAGCCCGGTATGGTGGCAGGCGCCTGTAATCCCAGCTACTCAGGAGGCTGAGGCAGGAGAATCGCTTGAACCCGGGAGGCAGAGGTTGCAGTGAGCCAAGATCATGCCATTGCACTCCAGCCTGGGTGACAAGAGTGAAACTCCATCTCAAAATAAATAAATAAATAAATAAATAAATAAATAAATAAAAATTGAGTATATAATACACGAAGTTCCCATATTATTCTGTCTCCTCATCCTCACTTCCTAATTTCACCTATTAGTAACATCTTACATTACTGTGGTACATTTGCTAGAATAATGAGAAAATATTGATACATTATTATCTAAAGTCTACATTTGCATAATGTTCATTCTTTCTGTTATACATATATATGAATTTTGAAATATTTAAAACATTATGTTCACCCTTATGGTCTCATAAAGAAAATGTTCACTTCCCTAAAAATCCTCTCTTCTCATTAATCTCTGTCCTCTTTCTCCAGAAACCATGGCAACTATTAACATTTTTACTATCGCTTCAACTTTGCCTTTTCCAGAATGTCGTATAGTTGGAATCATATATTATGTAGTTTTTTCAGATGAATTTATTGCACTAAATTGATGTACGCTTTAGCTGCTTTCATGTCTTTTTTATGCCTTAATGGCAAAAAATGGCACATTAAATCACCAAATAATATTGCATTAAATGAATTTTTGTCTTTTTATTCGCCTGTTGAAGAATTCGGTAGATTTCATGAGAGAAACCATCTGGGCCTGGTGCTTTCTTTTTCGGAATGCTCTTAATGTGAATTCAACTTATTTAATAGACATAAGTTTATTCACATTAGGATTCTAGCGTGACCTTGGGAAGATTGCCTTTCAAGGAATTGATAAATTTCACTGAGGTTATCAAACTGCGGTCATAGAACTGTTCATAATATTCCTTTTAATGCCTAACAGTTCAGTAGAGATGGCTCCTCTTTTATTTCTGAAATTGGTCATTTGTGTTATCTTCTTTTTCTTGGTTAGCCTGCATATCAATTCATTCATTGTAATGAGCATATCAAAGAACCAGCTTTTGGTTTTATTGATTTTCTGATGATTTCAGTGTTTTAATTTTATTGATTTCTGTGATGTTGTTTATTACTTTTACTTGCTTTCCATTGCATTCCTCTATTTTCTACAGTTCCCTAATTGAAACATGATATTACTGATTTTAGATCTTGTGATTTTTAGTATATTACATCCAATGCTATAGATTTCCCTCTAAGGACTGCTTTTGCTACATCCAGAAATCTTGCCAAGTCACATTTTCTTTTAATGTAGTTAAAAGTATTTTTAATTTTCTATTGAGACTTCTTCTTTAACCCATGAGTTATTTAAAACTGCATTGCTAATTTGCAAATATTTGGGGATTTTGTGGCTCTTTTACAGTTGTTGATTTTTTGTTGTCAGGTATGTGTTGCAAAAGCAGTCATCTACCTCATCTTGCCACCACCCAAGATGGCCCAGGATGTGGGCTCTCCCTGAGTGAATCTTTGGCAATCTGCCAACCTGATGTGGTCGGCCTCCTTCTTTAGTCTGAGCTTGTCTTCTGCTTAGAAAGGGCCATTCTCAGTTCTGGCAGGGAGTTTTCCCAACATTGAGAAGGTGGCATTCTTACTCCCCAGTGCAGCCTGCACCTCTGACCGGTGGTCAGCAGACAGGACAGAGGTCCTCATTAGACAGAGTTCAGCGGGGTCTCTGACCAAAGGGCATCTTCAGAGTCTGCACCTACCCACTGTGACCATGGGCAGGCTCTGAGTCCTAAAGCAGGAGGAACCGTGCGACCATCCTGATTGGAAATTTGTGAGGATCACCATGTTACTCAAGTAAGGTCTTTGGAAAGTGTCGTATTACTACTGTTTGTGAACTTCTTGTTGGTGGCCTGGCTGAGCCACACACTTTATGAAAACCAGGACCCCTCAGCTGGTGTGGGTGTCTATGCAGCCTGAGACCCTCATGTGAACAGCCTCGTGGTAGCTGTCTTTGCCCCTTGCCACCATCAGTGCCTCCTTGTTCCTGGGCACTGCTTTCTCTGATGGTGCTCCATTGTTTTCCTGCACCTCAGTGTCTACAGCTGGATGTCTCTTCTGCAATCTAGGTGAGGGGGCATCAATAACAGTTCTGCTGTGGCACTGCCCTCCTTCTTAGCTTGTCTTGCTCCGTCTTAGGCTCCCTCAAAGATCCCACCCTTCAGGTTCTTCCACAAGTTTCTTATTGAAATCCGAGCAGAAAACTATGACCAATATGACCAATCGTATACCCACTGAAGACATGAATGTAGAATTAAAACAATTCTCCATGGACTCTACCATATAGATCCCTAGAAGTAATTTCTAAAAAAAAAAAAAAATCAAGGAAGATGTAATAGTTTTCCATAAATTAGAATACCCTACATGTACAATTAAATGAAATGGCTAGTATAGTCTTGAAACCAAAACCAGATAAGGTAAATTAAATTCTGTGATATTTTAAAATACTGTAAATTCTGACTAATGTGAGTTAATCTCAAAATATGAAATAGTAGATTAACATTGAAAATGCAATAAATAAAATTAGCTACCTCAAGAGTTTAATGGAAAAAAATGTGATTATTGCAATAGATTCAGGAAATTCGTGAATAACATTCACCCTATATTTGTAGGACAACTATCTGATTAAGTGACCTGTGACAACCATTTGAATTAATGCTGCTTTCACAGCATATCTCTTGGCTTGTTAAAAACCCGACAAGAATTTCCATAACATTAATTTATTTTTAACACCTATATTGGGTGTGAACCCACCATAAAGTTTGCCCACTGAAAAGGTCTGCAATTTGATGCTTTATTAAATTGATACTGTGTGCACCCAACA
Organism: Homo sapiens; assembly: GCF_000001405.40. Classification (NCBI taxonomy): domain Eukaryota; kingdom Metazoa; phylum Chordata; class Mammalia; order Primates; family Hominidae; genus Homo; species Homo sapiens. The sequence continues at coordinate 224,609 of NW_011332699.1, forward strand.
CCACGATCTAATTTAAATATGTTTCCCTCACCCAAGTTCTCTCTTGTGCACTGGCAGTTAATCCCCACTCCCATCTCCAGCCCTAAGCAATACTGCTGTGACATTCCATCTCCATAAATTTCCCACTTGCTTTATAGAAATGGACATATATATATATTTGGAATCTGACTTCCTTCATTTAGCATACTATGTTTGAAGTTAATTGACGTGTTAGCACGTGCTGGTCATGTGTTTTCCTTCATAGTCTGCTGTGTTTATTCATACAGATAGTGTTTATTCATTTATCAGTTAATGGACATTTAATTATTTTGTTTTTTTCTTTGATGAGTAATGTAGCTTTGAGCATTCATATACAGTCATGTAATGCATAATGACATTTTGGTCAAAAAAAATTTTTTTTTTTTCTGAGACCCAGGCTGGAGTGCAGTGGCACAATCTCAGCTCACTGGAACCTCCACCTCCCAGGTTTAAGCAATTCTCATGCCTCAACCTCCCGAGTAGCTGGGACAACTGGCACACACCACCACGCATGGATAATTTTTGTATTTTCAGTAGAGACAGGATTTTGCTGTGTTGGTCAGGCTAGTCTCAAACTCCTAGCCTCAGGTGATCCGCCCACCTCTGCCTCTCAAAGTGCTGGGATTATAGGCATGAGCCACCACACCCAGCCTAATTTTTTTAAGAAACGAGAACTATTTTCTAAATTACTTTTGCCAATTTATATTCCTACCATGATGCATAGTACTAATTTCACTGTACAATGTATGGTAGGCCCCAATATGTAAGAAATGATGAAAGTAACACATAAAGATTAGTATAAAACAAATGAGATTATCATTGTTGCTATCATCTTTGTCAAATTCTGAAAACAATCTGAGTATATTTTTATATAAATATGCTTGGCAACATAGCTGAAAAAAGCATTATCAGTTACATTTATCAGTAACAAAGACATAAATTTGAAGGGGGAAAAACACTTGTACTAACAACGCAATGTCAGAATTAACATAAAAATTCTGCTGGTCACTTTGGAATATTTAATTGCCTGGGGCAGTGTTTAGTAGACAAATGAGCAACTATGGAGCACCCAAAGTAGGGGAATCAACAGAACTTGGGTTTCAAAAGTTATCTGGGTTTAGAGCGTGAAACTTTGTTAGAGGACACACACCTTGCATGAGCGAGGTGACTTGGTGTGTGTGGACGTGTTGGAGGCACAGCATAATGGTGGCTTCCTCCAGAAAGGGACATTTGGGGTGGATTCATTCCATCTAGACAACACAGCCTGATGTGGCATGGACATGAATGGAGGTGAAATGGTCAGTAGTTGAGAGGATCAGTCCTGACAAGGGCCGAAGTGAAAAACCTGGGAACCCCTTCAGGTGCAAAGTCTTCAGTTGAAAAAGGAGGTGGTCACAGGAAATACTGAGACGGGTCAGCAATGCATGGGAGACAGAGTTCTTGGCCCTGCAGGGTGAGTAGTGTGGATTCTCAAGTTTTCTCCTCTCTCCATTAATTTCTTTCCCAATGCAGATGACTTCCATCATACAATCTTCAGCAACCTTGAAAGATTGGACAAGCTTCAGCCCACTCTTGAAGGTAAAGGAAGGCAGCTAACAAGACTGGCATCTGGGCTTGGCTGTGCATGTTTGCTATCTTGGAGAAATATATATAACACAATATTTATCATTTGAACCTTTTAACCAAAGTGTGCACTCCGTGGCATTCAATATATTCACAGGGTTGCATAACCAACACCACTATCTACACCCACAATTTTGATGATTTCTTACAAAACCTTGTCCACAATAAGCAATATAGCGCCTTCCCCCTATTTCCAGCCCATGGTGATTCCTATCCACTTTCTCTTGTATGAATTTGACTATTCTAGGCACTTCATGTAAGTACAATTATACAATATATTCCTTTTGTGTCTGGCTTATTTCACTAAGCATAATGTTCTCAATGTCCACCCATGTTGTATCATCTACCAAAATTATGTTCGTTTTTTACAGATGGATGATGTAGCATTGCATGTAGACCACCTTGCTTTTATTACATTCATTTGTTCACTGATGGTTGGATTATTTCCACCTTTTGCCTCCTGTGAAAAGTGATGCTATAAACATTAGTATACAAGCATCTGTTTGATTTCTGTTCTCTATTGTTTGGGGTGCCTAAGAGTAGAGTTCCTGGGTCTAACGGGAGTTCTACATTTAACCTTCTGAGCCACTGCAGACTGTTTCTCACAGTGGCTGCAACTTTATCCATTTCTACCATCAATGTATCAGGGTTACAATTTCTTTACATCCTTGTTCACACTTATTTTCCTTTAAATCATCCTAGTAGGTGTATATTGGTGTCTGCTTGTGTTTTTCATTTGCATTTCCCTAATGACTAATGATCCTGAGCAGCTTTTCCTGTGCTACTATCTGTGGCTATATCTTCTTTAGGGAAATATATGTTGAAGTCTTTTGCCCATTTTTAAAGAGTTGTCTGATTTTTATTTAGTTAGTTTGTTGTTGTAGATTTTTGAATATATCTTAAATATATTTAAAATATATTCTAAATTTTAGTCTCTTACAAGATAAATGATTTGCAAATATTTCCCCCTTTGTGTAGAACTTTAGATTCACAAACTTCATTAATTTGTAAGAAATCCTCAGCAGTTGACCCCAAACAGATAAGACTGAAGCAGTATCTTAGGAATAGTTGAAAGTATGATCACCACAAAACATAAGCGTAATCAAATCCTGCAAGCTACATGTAAGGCACAATGACAAATAAGGCAGCAAAGGGCCATCTGGTGATTAGTTCACCACACTTGTTGCAACTGTTTGTGCTGCAGAATTAAAACATACCAGCATTCAACCCATGTCTCCTCTCTTGAAGTAAACTGTCGTATGTTGGCTGGCCTGAACAAGCGTAGATATTCTCCATCCTCAATTAATATGCATGCATGACAAAGAAAAGGAGGCCGGGATGAAAAAATATTGTGTGATTAATAATTATGCTTTAATTAATTTTAAAGGATATAATTTCAGTACTTCTAATTCTCCCATCAGCAGTTATAACAAAGGATTAGTGAATAAATACCATAGACTGTTTTGCCTAGAATTGAATCCAATCTGTCTATTAAACTTTGCTTTTATTCAAGTGCAAAATGCTAAAACACATAATAACTACAGTGACAGCCACTGTGGATCCTCAGAGGCAAAATTAGTCTTGGGACATAAATCCTGCAAGCTAATATTGTTTTTACAGGGTTTAGAAAACCATTTAGCTGGGTTTCAAACCTCACAGTGTGAGCAGTGGGACTCTCATCAAACTATAGCATGTGCTTCAGTACCATTTGTAGACTGACTCATTCCCATTGCCTTAAGTTGCCATCAGCAAAATGCCAGGGACTCTATTTCTTGCTCCTTAGCTCCTCGTTCTTGCTTGTCTTTCCACGAGGGAAGATTTTCTAGCAGGAGCTCAAGCTGTGCTTTTAATGAAACACATCCACACACACTGTCCTGTTGTCCACATTAAGCAGAGCTCCCTGAATAACTCATGAACAAAAGCATCTATGACTAACTGTTGCTGTGTGTCCTCCTAGCCTCTGAGGAGTCTCTAGTTCACAAGGACAGAGGAGATGGAGAGAGGCCAGTCAACGTGAGGGTAAGGTTGCCTTGCTTTCTCTGAAATAGAAATGTTCCTTTCTTGGTGTCTTTCTTTTTCAACTGACTTTACATGTGAAAAAATGACAATGTCCATGACAGGTATTAAATGCAGTTTTCTGAGGGGGAGGAAGAAGTGACTCTTAGCAACTGATATGTAATCCAAAATGGCATTTAGCTATGACGGCTTCAGGTTGTAGACTGTATCCTTGGGATCCTTGTCCTTGGAAGCAATGTCTTCTCCTTGGATTCAGTATTTTGCACTTGCCAACCTACGTGGACCTGAGAGATACACCATCCAGAAGCTGATGTCTTTTCCAGTGTGTATCCTACCCTTGTCTTGGAGGCCTTGAAGTTGACTACACTTTCTGATCAAGTTTTCAGTATTCATTGAGAGAAACAGAGCCTTGTGCAAACAATCCACAACATGACATACCCCTCAAAAAGTTTTGTTTCTGTATTGCAGGTGGTGCAGGTGGCCCCTCTGAGGCGTGAATCTAGTAAGTATTCTGGAATCACTTGCCAAGAAAACAATCTGGATGCCAAGAAAGGTGTGGCATCCTTGCCTGGTTTCAATGTGAAGAGCCACCCTGATCCTGGGATTGTGATAGGAATAAGTATAGGGGAAGTGTTTTTTTAAAACCTGAATTCCCCAGGGAAAAATTATGGCCAAATTTTGAGGAAGCAGCTGTGCTCCCTTTTGGGTGGTGCTGAGTTGGGTGCTTGAGGATTGGTGGTGTCTTGTTTGAGGCTGCATCGTGTGGTGTGAATGTGTGTGTTTCTGTACAGGTGAGGCTGTGTGTTTTCTCAGGAGAGATTTCCCACTTATACAACCCAATCACCAGTGTCCACTTCTAACAATAAAATCCACCCCCGCTCTACTCTCTCTGTACAGTGACTCCTCTACCCTCACCAGAGCCATCCCCGGGTCTGCCTTATTATCCCGACTACTCAGGTGGAGAACCTGAAGGGCCAAGGGAGTGGCCCCAGCTCCTGAGTTCCTGAATGAAAAAGTGAAAACACGAACCCAGGAGTGTGGGCCAGTGCTGACACTGACATGCACTTAGTCATGGAGTGTTCACCACCACACAGGGAGTTCAGCATTCATCTATAAGCCCTAAAGCACCGAGCCCAAAAGGCCCCAGACACTGCCCATCATCATAAAGTGGCCTCTGTGGTCACACAACCCAGGGCAGTTATAGGCTCATCTCCCCACGGACAGGCATAGTCATCAGTGTGTCAAAAGCACAAAGATCCCCAGGTGTTTTGCTCAGCTCACAGATCTTTTTTTTTTAACTTTTAAGTTCAGGGGTACATGTGCAGGATGTGCAGGTTTGCTACATATAGAAATGTGTGTCATGAGAGTTTGTTGTACAGATTATTGCATCACCCATACATTGAGCCTAATATCAGCTATTTTTCCTGATCCTCCCCCTCCTCCCACCTCCCACCCTCCAGTGGGCCCCACGCTCACAAATTCTAAGAGGAGTGGGGGACCACAAATGCCAGTGTGGCCCACTTCAGTTGTGAAGTTAATTTGCTCAGCAGCTGGCCAAAGCCTGTAAGGATGGGTGATGTATTTTAGTAGATTTAGTAATACTATCTTCCCAAGCCCTAAAATGCTCAAAACCTGCCAGCCAAAAATGGTGAGGAGGGACAGATAGGAACTCTGTGTGGCACTTGGTTATTAGCCTGGCTTCCATCCCTTAGTGGCAACTCTCTTGTATATGTGGGTTAAAGACCCTCAGCCTCAAGCCAAGCCTCCTCCATGAGGAGCCATCTCACTATTGACTGGCTAGTGCCGGGTATGGCCACCAGCCCAACTGAAACAAAATGTTGCTTTAAAACAAGTGTAAATCTCATACAACAGGCAAATGCAGAAGCAATGTGGTCTCGCAAGTTGTAAAGAGGACAGTCGCAATTTTGCTGGACTTCAACCTGGGTAGAAGACATGAGGGAACTCTGTCACTGAATCACGGCAGAGTTCAAGGCCACTTGTAGACTATTTCATGTTACAGAAGGTAGCCTTTAGCTACTAAGCAAAGGCCTCGGTTTCTCATTTCTTTCCTGTTCATCTTCTTGGTCATCCTTCTTCCGCAAGGGAAACGAGCCCAAGCAAAAGGCAGTTTCAATATTAATTTGACCGAGGTTTTGTGCAGTTTATTATCATCCAGGTAATCAGGTGCAACCCAGTCTGCCTAGCAGCCCCCCTCTCTCTGCTCTGTGTTTTCATTTAATAAACATTTTGGTCTACTTACTATGTGCTAGATTTTCTCGAGACCAAGTAAATGAGATAGAATCTTTATGTTGGCAGCTAAGTTAGATTTAACATAACTGACAAAAATTAAAATTTCTGATTTCTTGTAAAAATTGTATGTGTGAATGCATACTGAAAGTAAAGTGGTTAACAAAAAAAATCACACTTGCACTCATGGAAGGCTTTTCATGAATTTGTCAATTTCTATTTTTTTATATTTCCCCACTTCACTGGATAATGCATATCTGAACCTGGAAACTGATTCCCACTGTAGAAAGTGTTCTGAGCCACATCCCTTAGCTTCACTAGTGCAGGTCCACCTGGGAGTATGTCCCAGCATCAGCTTGGCCCATGCTGTGATAAGCCACCTCCATGCACCACACCAAGCAAGCCCCTGGGTGATTCACAGTCTCCACCACCAGGGCACTGACCTTTATTCTGTGTTCTTCAAGCTCCCCATGGGGACACCATCCACGACATCACGAACGAGGACGCCGTCCACGACACCACCGACGAGGACGCCGTCCATGGCACCGCCGACGAGGACGCCGTCCAGGGCATCGCCGACGAGGACGCCGTCCACGGCATCGCTGACTGGGACGCCATCCAGGGCCTCGCTGACAGGGACGCCGTCCACGGCTTCGCTGATGGGGACGCCGTCAAGGGCATCGCTGACGGGGACGCCACCCAGGGCATCGCTGAAGGGGACGACGTCCATGGCATCGCTGATGGTGTCGCCGTCCAGGGCATCGCTGACGAGGATGCAGTCCAGCTCATTGCTGATGAGGACCCCGTCCATGGCATCACTAAAGAGGATGCCACCCAGGGCTTCGCGAACAAGGACGCTGCCCAGGGCATCGCTAATGAGGAGGCCATCCACGGCATCCCTAACGAGGTCGCCATCCAGGGCGTCGCTAACGACGACGCCGTCCAGGGCGTCACTCTCGATGACGCCGTCCACGGCGTTGCCGACGGGGTTGCCGTCCAGGGCTGCCGTCCAGGGCAGCGCTAACGATGCCGTCCAGGGCATCGCTAACGAGGACGCCACCCAGGGCATCGCTAACGATGACGCCGTCCACGGCATCACTAACGAGGACACCGCCCAGGGCATCGCCAACTGGGATGCCGTCCAGGACATCGCCAACTGGGATGCCGTCCACTGCATCGCTAACGAAGATGGATTCCACGGCATCGATAACGAGGACGCTGTCCAGGGCATCGCCGACTGGGACGCCGCCCAGGGCATCGCCGACGGGGTCGCCGCCCAGGGCATCGCTCTCGATGATGCCGTCCACGGCATTGCTAATAAGGACGCCGCCCAGGGCATCGCCAACTGGGATGCTGTCCAGGACATCGCTAACGAAGATGGATTCCACGGCATCGATAACGAGGACGCCGTCCAGGGCATCGCCAACTGGGACGTCGTCCAGGGCATCGCCAACTGGGACACCGTCCACAGCTTCGCCGACGGGGTAGCCTTCCACGGCATCGCCGACGGGGACGCCGTCCAGGGCATCGCTCTCGATGACGCCGTCCACGGCATCGCTAATGAGGATGCTGCCCAGGGCATCGCCAACTGGGATGCTGTCCAGGACATCGCTAACGAAGATGGATTCCACGGCATCGATATCGAGGACGCCGCCCAGGGCATCGATAACGAGGACGCCTTCCAGGGCATCGCCAACAGGGAAGCCTTCCACGGCATCGCCGACGGGGACGCCGTCCAGGGCATCGCCGACGGGGTCGCCGTCCACGGCATCGCTGACGGGGTTGTCGTCCACGGCATCGCCGACTGGGACGCCGCCCAGGGCATCGCCGACGGGGACGCCGTCCACGGCATCGCTGACGAGGAAGCCGCCCAGGGCATCGCCAACTGGGATGCTGTCCAGGACATCAATAACGAAGATGGATTCCACGGCATCGCCAACGAGGACGCCACCCAGGGCATCGCCGACGGGGACGCCGCCCAGGGCATCGCCGACGGGGACGCCGTCCAGGGCATCGCCGACTGGGACACAGTCCACGGCTTCGCCAACAGGGTCGCCATCCACGGCTTCGCCAACAGGGTCGCCTTCCACAGCATCGCCAACGGGGTGCCGTCCAGGGCATCGCTAACGAGGAGGCCGTCCACGGCATCCCTGAGGTCGCCGTCCAGAGCATCGCTAACGAGGACGCCGTCCAGGGCATCGCTAACGAAGATGGAGTCCACGGCATCGATAACGAGGACACCATCCAGGGCCTCGCCGACGTGGACGCCGTCCACGGCCTCGCCGACGGGGTCGCCGTCCACGGCCTTGGCGATGGGGTCGCCGTCCAGGGCAGCGCTAACGAGGACGCCGTCCAGGGCATCGCTAACGAGGACGCCGTCCAGGGCATCGCTAACGACGCCGTCCAGGGCATCGCTAACGAGGACGCCATCCACGGTATTGCTAACGAGGATGCCGCCCAGTGCATCGCCAACTGGGATGCCGTCCAGGACATCGCCAACTGGGATGCCGTCCAGTGCATTGCTAACGAAGATGGATTCCACAGCATCGATAACAAGGACGCCGCCCAGGGCATCGCCGACGGAGACGCCGCCCAGGGCATCGCCGACGGGGACGCCGCCCAGGGCATCGCCGACGGGGACGCCGCCCAGGGCATCGCCGACGGGGACGCCGCCCAGGGCATCGCCGACGGGGACGCCGTCCAGGGATTCACTGACTGGGACGCCGTCCAGGGCCTCGCTGACAGGGACGCCGTCCACGGATTCGCTGACAGGCACGCCGTCCATGGCTTCGCTGACGGGGACGCCGTCAAGGGCATCGCTGACGGGGACTCCGCCCAGGGCATCGCTGACGGGGATGCCGTCCACGGCATCGCTGATGGTGTCGCCGTCCAGGGCATCGCTGACGACGCCGTCCAGGGCATCGCTGATGAGGACTCCGTCCAGGGCATCGCTGACGACGCCGTCCAGGGCATCGCTGATGAGGACGCCGTCCAGGGCATCGCTGACGAGGACCATGTCCATGGCATCACTAACGAGGATGCCACCCAGGGCTTTGCTAACAAGGACGCCGCCCAGGGCATCACTAATGAGGACGCCGCCCAGGGCATCGCTAACGAGGAGGCCATCCACGGCATCCCTAACGAGGACGCCGTCCAGGGCGTCGCTAACGAAGATGGAGTCCATGGCATTGATAACGAGGACGCCGTCCAGGGCATCGCCGAGGACGCCATCCAGGGCATCACCAACTGGGACGCCGTCCAGGGCATTGCCAACTGGGACGCCGTCCAGGACATCGCTAACGAAGATGGATTCCACGGCATCGATAATGAGGACGCCGTCCAGTGCATCGCCGAGGACGCCGTCCAGGGCATCGCCACCTGGCACGCCGTCCAGGGCATCGCCACCTGGCACGCCGTCCAGGGCATCGCCAACTGGGACGCCGTCCAGGGCATCGCCGACAGGGACGCCGTCCATGGCTTTGCTGACGGGGATGCCGTCCACGACTTCGCTAGCGGGGACGCCGTCAAGGGCATCGCTGACGGGAATGCCGCCCAGGGCATCGCTGATGGGGACGTCCTCCACGGCATCGCTGACGGTGTCGCCATCCAGGGCATCGCTAACAAGGACGCCACCCAGGGCATCGCTAATGAGGAGGCCGTCCACAGCGTCACTAACGCGGACGCCGCCCAGGGCATCGCCAACGAGGATGCCATCCAGGGCATCGCTAAAGATGACACCGTTCAGGGCATCGCTAACAAAGATGGAGTCTACGGCATTGCTGAGGACGCTGCCCAGGGCATCGCTAATGAGGACGCCGACCAGGGCATCGCTAATGAGGACACCACCCAGGGCATCGCCAACGAGGAAGCCGCCCAGGGCATCGCCGAGGACGCCATCCAGGGCATCGCCAACGAGGAGGTTGCCCAGGGCATCGCCAATGGGGTCGCCGCACAGGGCATCGCCAATGAGGACGCCACCCAGGGCATCGCCAACTGGGACGCCGTCCACGGCTTCGCCAACGGGGACGCCGTCCTCAGCTTCGCCAACGGGGACGCCGCCCAGGGCATCGCCAACGGGGACGCCACCAAGGGCATGGGCAACGAGGTCACCATCCACGGCATCGCTAACGAGGACGCCGTCCAGGGCATCGCTAACGAGGTGGCCGCCCAGGGCATCGCCAACGAGGACGCCGCCCAGGGAATCGCCGAGGATGTCGCACAGGGCATCGCCAACGAGGACGCCGCCCAGGGCATCGCCAACAAGGAGGCCGCCCAGGGCATCGCCAACGAGGACGCCGCCCAGGGAATCGCTGAGGACGTCGCACAGGGCATCGCCAACGAGGATGCCGCCCAGGGCATCGCCAACGAGGAGGCCGCCCAGGGCATCGCCAACAGGGTCGCCGCCCAGGGCATCGCCAATGACGCCACCCAGGGCATCGCCGAGGACACCGCCCAGGGCTTCGCCAACGACGACGCCGTCCAGGGCATCGCTAACGAGGACGCCGTCCTGGGCATCGCCAACGACGACGCCGTCCAGGGCATCGCTAATGAAGATGGAGTCCACGGTATCGATAACGAGGACACCGCCCAGGGCATCGCCAACTGGGACTCCGTCCAGGGCCTCGCCGACGGGGACGCCGTCCAGGGCCTCGCTGACTGGGTCGCCGTCCAGGGCCTCGCTGACGGGGACGCCGTCAAGGGCATCGCTGATCGGGACGCCGTCAAGGGCATCGCTGACGGGGACGCCGCCCAGGGCATCCCTGACGGGGACGTCGTCCACGGCATCGCTGACGAGGACACCATCCAGGGCATCGCTGACGAGGACGCAGTCCAGCTCATCGCTGACGAGGACCCCGTCCATGGCATCACTAACGAGGACGCCGCCCAGGGCATCACTAACTAGGACGCCGCCCAGGGCATCGCTAACTAGGACGCTGCCCAGGGCATCGCTAACGAGGACGCCGCCCAGGGCATCGCTAACGAGGACACCGTCCATGGTATCCCTAAAGAGGTCACCGTCCAGGGCGTCACTAACGAGGACGCCGTCCAGGGCGTCGCTAACGATGACGCCGTCCAGGGCGTCGCTAACGAGGACGCCGTCCACGGCGTCGCTAACTGGGACGCCGCCCACGGCGTCGCTAACGAGGACGCCGCCCACGGCATCGCTAACGAGGTCGCCGCCCACGGCTTCGCTAACGAGGACGCCCTCCACGGCATCGCTAACGAGGATGCCGTCCACGGCATCGCTAACGAGAAAATCAAATGTTAACCAGCAGTGCCCTGCTTCAACACCATCATCGGAAGTCATAAGTTGAACTCTTTTTTGATGTTTAAAGCCTGCATAATATTCGCTGTGTTATTATTCAGCCTATTACTATTTCCTTCATGATGGAAATTTGGTTTATCCCAATTTTCTATTCTATCAAAACACCGCTACATAAAAAATCCCCATGCACATATTTCTCCTAATTGTGGAAATATTTTACCTAAAAGACTCTAGACATGGGATGAAATTCCCAGGTTACTGGAATTTTAAAATAGATAGGTACTTCCAAATTGACCTCTTACAAATTATATGAATTTGTAAGCTTCCAACTGTTATGGAGTTACCCCTTTTGAGAAATCTGTGCTAAAAGGACCCAAACAATGCTGATGACAATGATCAGGATAATAAGTACGCTGGGAAGAGAACAAAATGATTTAGATCTTAGACAAGTCATTCTAGGTGTCTCCACTGTTTCAGTTCTCGCGTTCGTTCATTCTTGTGCTTTTTCGTTTTACCAAATAAAATAGCCCCTTGATGTCATATGAATCCACGCTATGCTTAATGAGTATTGGTTAGTAAAATGCCTATAACTAGTAATCTTCATCTATGCAATTAAATATTAATTCATAAAACACTTCAAATGTAAACAATAATTAGTAAATGAAAAGTACATAATACCTCGATTAGAAAAAAATCACTCCATTAAAAGACATTATTTGTGTGATAAAAGAGTTTGCCATTTTTGTATTTTTCTACAAGGTTAAAGAAAACTGAGTCAACTTATACAAGTGAATTTTAAAAGACTTTAGGGTGGGCGTGGTGGCTGACACCTGTAATCCCAACACTTTGGGAGGCCGAGGAGGGCAGATCACCTGAGGTCAGGAGTTCGAAACCAGCCTGACCAACATGGTGAAATCTCATTTCTACTAAAAATACAAAAAAAATTAGCCCAGTGTGGTGGCACGTGCCTATAATCTCAGCTACTTGGGAGGCTGAGACAGGAGAATAGTTTGAACCTCGGAGGCGGAGGTTGCAGTGAACCAGGATTGCACCATTGCACTCCAGCTTGGGCAACAAGAGCGAAACTCCATCTCAAAAATAAATAAAAAATAAATAAGTAAATAAATAAAAGCCTTTAACCCAGAATGCTGAGTAAATTGTCCAAAAATGCTAACCTATGCATTTCAATACTATAGGAGTCGTGTAGGTAGAAATAACTAGATGAAATACTTCTGGTATTTCACCTTCCCAACTCACACGAGCCAGTGTTTTTCTGTGAATAACAAAAACAGCAGAATTTACTTGCCTATCCATAAGAGGTTACCACTTCTGTGTGTTCCCCTGAAACAAGTGGTGGCTGGGTGAGAAGGTGGACAGCACTAGGGTAGGAGATGGGGGCTCCAGTATCGTGGGTGAGCTTCCTAAACCTCTGCAACTTTCAGCCCCTAAATGGGATGAGCCATCAGAATTTTTAGCACAATGCCCAGAACAAAGTAAGGATTTGACAAATGATGCCTCTCTCCACATTGTTCTGTCATCAGCCACCGCATCCTGTACCTCCAAGCCCACTGGGCTCCGGCTGTTTCCATCACATGGAGAATGACTCAGAGCCTGGCATCCAGCCACCCTCCTGGCCTTTCTGCTTCTCACTCTGCCACTGGCTCCTCATGGACCAGCCTGGGTGTCCTCAGATATACCGCAAACTTCACTGTGGGAGTCACGTAGCCCTCACTGCTCCTTCACCAGGGAGCCACGGGGCTTTCCTCCTCAGGAGGACTCTGCAAGCAGCTGGATGAAGGGCCCTCCCATCTCTCATCCTTCCTTAACTTTTGTCACAGTTCTCCTTCCTTCCACTCAGTGCTGCACACACTGATTGATCCTCCATCTTCCCCAAAAGACAGGAACAGCATGAGCAGTAGAGAGTAGATTCCAATGATAGAAAAAATAGTGATTTCTCATTTCCATTGATCATCAATGAAGAAAATGTATCCTGAAGGTCATGTACCTCCTATGGGACTGCTGCATCCTCAGCCTCCTGAATTTCAGCCCAGCACCTTCCTCCCCAGCACAGCAACAGGTCAGCCCTTACCAGCATCCCTCTCTTATTGCCTTTGTGCACAGCCAGCACCAGGGCCGGGGGAGGCCTTGGGATTGTCCCTCCCCAACAATCTGTGAAACAATCCTTTATGTCACCAACAAAGCACAGCCTTATGCATTGGTGGTCAGTCCCTCCCAACACCTCTGTCACTGTAAAGCTGGCAGGCAACCCTCCAAGGTTGGCCTTCCCAAGCACTGCACCTCTAGGTGACAGAGCACGTCCTTACCTTGAGGCCTGGGCACCCAGTCTATCCTGTCCAGTGAGCGAGCTGTGGAGAAGGGGGGATTTCGGGTTAAGGGGAGACTAGCAGGGCTCCTGCTTTTATGTTGCCCTGTTGGGAATGCTATTAAAGAAACACAAAGTGCTAAGCAGTGAGGATAGAACATGTTTTCATTATTTAAACCAATACATTCCACAGATGGAATAATAAGAAATGCTACAACCAAGCTAACCGAATCCAACAGCATAACAAAAAGATAATCCACCATGATTCAAGTGGGTTTCATACTAGGGATGCAGGGATGGTTTAACATAGGCAAGTCAATACATGTGATACATCACATAAATAAAACTAAAAACAAAAATCACATGATAATCTGAATAGATGCAGAAAAAGCCTTTGACAAAATCCAGCATTTCTTTATGATTAAAACCGTTCATCAAAATTGGCATAGAATGGACATACCTTAAGGTAATAAAAGCTATCTATGACAAACCCACAACCAACATTTTCCTGAATGGGGGAGAGTTGAAAGCATTCCCCCTGAGGACGGGAACAAGACAAAGATGCCCACGTTCACCACTTCTTAACACAGTGCTGTTCACTACAGCATTGGTTATAAGAGCAAGACTGGAAACAGAATGAATGGATACCCATAGCGGGGTGCTTAAGTAATTTTGGGAATAGTCATAGGGTGCAGTACTTTATAGCTCTGAAACAATACAATGGATTTACATTTGAAATGTGGAATGATAACTAAGGTGCATTGCCCAGTGATATATGCAGAGGTGCAGAGGACTTTGTGTAAACACGATCACACATCAGCATGCATTCCAGGTGCATGTTTCTATTTGCACATAGATTGCAGGGATGATAGGCAAACAAAAATGTTGACTTGGTGTTTGGAAGTTCAGAGTGGAAGGGAAACTTCCTTGCTAACCTTTTATGATATTTAGAGTTTCTAAATGTGAATACGTAATACATTTAGAAATCTTAGTTAATAAGAAAAGCCTCTGTTCCTGGCCTCTTGCTGGCACATGTCAGGTGGAAATGGGGCTGTAATGCTAATGTGTGCAAACTGAGAAAAATCCAAGAATGGGAGTCTGCTTTTTTCATCATACAAATAATTGTGAATAGAAACAGTATGATAATTGCTCATTGATATACCATGCATATTCTATTAGATAATAATAAATTTCTGAAATTTGAACTATACTTACACATGGAAATTGAAATATATGGATGAAACATTGTGGCTTATATAGGCAATTGTTTTATTGGCGTTTTACAAACTGATCATCATTTCTCATGGCACGGGTCCATGTGATATTAAGTAGCTTGTTATGTTTGGGAAAGGCAGTGATGACCACAAGAATGACTTCAACTACTAAAGTACAATGGAGATTTCAACAATGTTTTGTTTAAATATTTCATTGTGCTCCCAGGCTTTTTCTCACCCTAATAGCTCTCATCCATATAATGTTGGTCCCATTAATACAGATACCTCCGAATGCACCACTCTTCCATTATATCCAGTCAATTGCTGGTTACCTTGGGCCTACAACTGTGGGAGGGCAGGGGCTGCTGGCCACCTGCTCATCTACAGTAAGAGTCAATGAGCAGTTAAGTGGATACTGATAACCATTTATCCTGCTGGAGTGAGAAATAAATGGTTTCTTTCAACAGCGTAGTAAAATGCATCTTTTCCAAACTATTTATATGACTCAAGGCCCATCTCAATTTCAGATGTGGTTAGCCTCAATTCCTGATTCTCACCAAGGTGTGTAATGTCATCCACAGCCCAGTGCAGAGGAACACAGGTGCTGCCGTTAGACTGCCAGGGTCCGATCCCTCCTCCTCACTCACCCCGGGAGATCCCTTTAAGCCAGGAGTCAACAGTGAGGATGGAAACATGAGTGCTTTTTAAAGTCCTGAAAGTTCAGAGGCCGACTGTCAGTTTCTCCTCCACCCCTGAGCACACACCAGGAGAACTCTGTCTCCGGGTTGAAGGAAGTGCCTGTGAGAGAGTTGTGTCCCTCAGATTCTGTTCACCACAGGTGACACTCGATGCAACCCCAAACCTCTTCTGCACAATCCCAAGGGGTGCTGACTAATCCAACCCAAAGGCTGTGATGTTTGGCAGAGGCAGAAAAGAAAAGGCCAGGTGTTCTGGGAAAGACCACCTTCAAATAACACAGCACCCTCATAGCCCAGAGAGACAGTTCTAACTATTATGCCAATAAACCTGGAAAAGACCAAATACAGTATGACACATATTTCCTGTTTCATTTTGATTTCATGCCCCCTCCCTTAACCTCCCAAGCAGCATGGATACCCCGAAGGCCCCTGGGAACTCTCTCCCATTGGATCTTACGTGGAAAGTAGTTACCTACCTACAAATCCCCATCATCGGATATGCTCTCCACAATCAAATCTTCAGAAACACAAACACCAGGATAAGTCATTAGAGAGAGTCCCACCCACTCCCACCCCAGCTGAAGCCATGGTGCTTCGCACAGGATCCCCTGGTGTTTCACCATCTTGGCCAGGCTGGTCTCGGGCTCCTGACCTCATGAACCACCTGCCTCAGCCTCCTAAAGCGTTGGGATTACAGGCCTAAGGCACCATGCTTGGCCATATTTATTTATTTAATTATTTAGAGACAAAGTCTTGCTCTGTCACCAAGGCTGGAGTGCAGTGGCGCCATCTCAGCTCACTGCAGCTTCCACCTCCGAGATTTAAGCGATTCTCATGCCTCAGCCTCCTGAGTAACTAGGACTACAGATACTCACCACCACGCAGGGATTTTTTTTTTCTATTTTTTTGTAGAGACACGGTTTCACCATGTTGGCCAGGCTGGTCTCAAACTCCTGACCTTAGGTGATCGGACAGCCTCGTTCTCTCTAAGTACTGGAATTACAGGCATGAGCCCCTTGCCCGGCCTCTCACTACATTTAAGTGACGCCATGGCTCATGCCTGTAATCCTAGCACTTTGGGAGGCCAAGGCAGGTGGATCACCTGAGGTCAGGAGTTCGACACAAGCCTGGCCAACATGGGGAAAAACCGTCTCTAGTAAAAATACAAAAATTAGTCAGGCGTGGTGGTACAAGCCTGTAGGCCCAGCTACTTGGAAGACTGAGGCAGGAGAATCACTTTAACCGGGAGGCAGAGGTTGCAGTGAGCCAATATCATGCCACTGCACTCCAGCTTGTGTGACAGAGTGAGACACTGTCTCAAAAAAAAAAGAAAAAAAAAAGAGAAAAAAATATGATGCCGGGGCATCTCAGCCTAAATACCTGCGTGAGCACAGTCATGTCCAGGCCAGGGCTGCTGGTCGAGGTCCAGCCCCATCTCTTCCAGCAGAAAGGGAGTAAGCTTGTGGGGTGGCTGGGGGACAAGATCCCAGGAACTTGGCCTCTGCTCATGGATCAGCTCTGAGACCCCAAGTGAGCTGGGGGTGCTCTGTGCGCATGGGTTTCCCCAGCTGTCAAGTAAAGGGATTGGATGAGGAAGTGTTGTCAAGGTGGAATGATCTCAGATTTGGGCAGCAGTGAATGATCCCACTCCCTGGGCCATGCCAGTGGCCTGGCCTCGGCTGAACACAGCCCCAACACTCTGGAATGGGGATGAGGGGGCAGTCAGCTCTTGCTCCTAGTAAGAGAGATGCAACAGGGCTCTGTGGCTGAGCTGGGTGCCTTGCCTCACACCGGTAATCCCAACCTTTGAGAGACCGAGGCAGGAGGATTGCTCCAGGCTGGGAATTTTGAGAATAGCCTGGACAACATAGCCAGACCCCATGTCTACAAACTAATAATAAAACACACAGCTATAGTCCAAGCTACTTGGCAGGCTGAGGCAGGAGGGTCCCTTGAGTCCAGGAATTGGAGGCTGCATTGAGCTATAATCACACCACTGCACTCCAGCTTGGGTGACAAAGTGAGACCCTGTCTCTAAAAGAAAAAAAATTGGCCTGTGAGCATGGGTTTGATTTTCAAACAGGACCCGGAGGGTAGGGTAAACGTGTGGGTAAATCTAAATGAATGTTATTGGTATAAAATTACAGTAGTATAGAAAATGATATCTTGTGGGGTTTAAAATAAACATACTGAAATATGTATGGGTACAGTTATATATCTGGGATTTGCACTGAAATAATGTGGGGTAGAGGGAAGCAGGAAAGAGTATACATGAAATGAGCTTGGCCATAAGATTGTTGTTGAAATTGAATGGATACGTGGGGCTTCATTACACAATTCTCTTTACTCTTACATAGCTCTACACTCTCAACATAAATAAGAATAAAAACACAAAAAACACACAGGTACATCTATGCACACACACATATTTAAAATACACAAAAATATTAGCATATAAGTCACTGGGGGTAAATTTAGTTCCTGTTCCAAGGTTCTTGTACTGACTAGGAAGAGGATAGAAGTACTAACTCATAGGCTGGGCGCGGTGGCTCACGCCTGTAATCCCAACACTTTAGGACGCCGAGGTAGGCAGATCTCTTAAGGTCAGGAGTTCAAGACCAGCCTGGCCAACATGGTGAAACCCTGTGTCTACTAAAAAAGAATACAAAAATTGGCCGGGCATAATGGTGCACACCTGTGGTCCCAGCTACTCAGGTGACTGAGGCAGGAGAATTGCTTGAACCCAGGAAGTGGAGGTTGCAGTGAACCAAGATTGCTCCACTGCACTCCAGCCTGGGCAGCAGAGGAAGACTCTCTCTATCTCAACAACAACAACAAAAAGTACTAGCTCATGTTAGACTTTGATAAGTGAAGGATGCATGTTGTAAGCTCAAAATAATCCAGTCATCTTTTAAAATAACTCTAAGACTGCACAGTTATGAAACTAATAGAGAAGGAGGAAATTAAATAATAAAAATAATAAATCCAAAACAAGATGTGAGAGGAGATAAGAAGAAATAGAATAGGCATGGAAAACAAATTGGTGGTGGGTTTCAACCCAAATAAATCATTAGTTACATTTAAAAGGACAATAAAAATTAAAATAATTGAAAATAAAGTAAAACCCAACTAATGCCTTTTATATAAGGATACAGAGAGGTGGAAAATAATGAAAAATAAGTCATGCATGCACTAACCAAGAAAGCTGTATAACTTTTTTTTTTTTTTTTTGGAGATAGAGTCTCACTCTGTCTCCCAGGCTGGAGTGCAGTGATGTGATCTTGGCTTACAGCAATCCCTCCCTTCTAGGCTCAAGCGATTCTCCCACCTCAGCATCCCAAGTAGCTGGGACTACAAGTGTGCCAACTTAGAATTATATTAGCCACACCCAGCTAATTTTCGTATTTTTTGTAGAGGCAGGGTCTCGCCATGTTGCCCAGGTTGGTCTTGAACTCCTGGGCTTCAGTGATCCACCCACCTCGAACTCCAACAAAGTGCCAAGATTACAGCCATGAGCCACCATGCCCAGCATAACTATTTTTAATGAAGTAGACTTTAAGAAGAAAGTATTATTAGAGGTAAGAGACACATCACGGAAAAGAAGAATTTACTAGGAGCCAGGCGCAGTGGCTCATGCCTGTAATTCCAGCACTTTGTGAGGCCAAGGCGGTGGATCACCTGAGGTTGGGGGTTCAAGACCAGCCTGACCAACATGGAGAAGCCCTGTCTGTACTAAAAATACAAAAATTAGCCAAGCATGGTGGCACATGCCTGTAATCCCAGCTACTCAGGAGGCTGAGGGAGGAGAATTGCTTGGACCCAGGAAGTGGAGGTTGTGGTGAGCTGAGATTGTGCCATTGCATTCCAGCCTGGGCAACAAGAGCAAAACTCTGTCTCAAAAAAAAAAAAAAAAAGTTACTAGCTAGTTTCAGTAATTCTTAACATCCAGGAAACTGGATGTGAAAGCTTTTCAGAGAAACTAAACCAATAGATTATACATAGAGAGAGATTTATTTAGGAATTGGCTCACATGATTGTGGGGACTAGCAAGTTTAAAATCTGTAGGGCAAGCCAGCAGGCTATAAATTCAGGTAAGGGTTGATCTCGAAGTCTGGAACCTAACATCTGTAGAGCAGTCAGCAGGCCAGAAACTCAGGCAGGGTTTCTGTGTTACAGTCTTGAAGCAGAATTCCTGCTTCTCTGGGAAACCTGTTTTTGTTCTTAAGGCCTTCAACTGATTGGAGGTGGCCCACCCATATTATGGTGGGTAATCTGTTTTACTTAAAGTCAATTGACTGTCAGTGTTAACCACATCTATGAAATAACCTCCCAGCAAGATATTGACAAGTATTTGACCAAACAACGGGGCACCATAGCTTAGCCAAGTTGACACATAAATTAACCATCAGGAACGAGTAGAATATCCAAAAAACAACATACTAGGGGTATTATATCTTATATAGCAATTATAATTATATAAAACATATAATTATAGAATGAAGATATTAAGATAACCATTAGAACAAAAATATAAACTTTTCTTTCTTTTTTTTTTTTTTTTGAGACCAAGTCTTGCTCTGTCACCCAGGCTGGAGTGCAGTGGTGCAATCTTGGCTTACTGCAACATTTGCCTCCTGGGTTCAAGTGATTTTCCTGTCTCAGCCTCCCAAGTAGCTGGGATTACAGGCACCCACTACCATGCCCAGCTAATTTTTGTATTTTTAGTAGAGACGTGTTTTCACCATGTTGCCCAGGCTGGTCTCCAACTCCTGACCTCACGTGAGCCACCCCCCTCGGCCTCCCAAAGTGCTGGGATTACAGGTGTGAGCCACCACACCCAGCCAAAAATCACCTTTTCTACAAGGATCAAAACAGTTATTATGCTGGAGATGACAGACCTCACTGTCACCATGCTCCTTTTGTATGTCTACTAGGCACGGTGCTGGGTCCACACTCACACAAAGCTTAGGAGCTCGCACCCAGGGGCTCCAGCTGTAGCAGAATCCTAAGAATAAAACCTGGTGCTGAAAGAGTAGGAGATGAGGCCGGGCGCCATGACTCATTCCTGTAATGCTAGCACTTTGGGAGGCCAAGGTGGGCTAATCAAGAGATAGAGACCATCTGGCCAACATGGTGAAACCCCGTCTCTACTAAAAATACAAAAATTAGCTGGGCATGGTGGCTGGCACCTGTAGTCCCAGCTACTCAAGAGGCTGAGGCAGGAGAATCATTTGAACCGAGGAAGCAGAGGTTTCAGTGAGCTGAGATCGCGCCACTGCACTCCAGCCTGGTGACAGAGTGAGACACCGTCTCAAAAAAAAAAAGCAGGACACTGAACTCTGGGAGGGCCTCCTGGTGAGAGGTGAGCACAGAGGGGAGAGATGGAGGCAGGAGCATGGGCTTCTGGTGGCCCCAGCAGACCCCGTGGCAGTGTGGCCAGGGTCCTCTGCAGGGAGGAATCTTGGCCAGGATGACGATGTAGCAGGCCTCTTCCTGAGGCCTCCAGCCAGCCCGGCCAGGGTCCCAGCATCCAGTGACCCCTGTTTCACAGCAGCAGCTGGGGCCAGCCCCAGGCTCTCTTCCACTCTCAGCTTCTTAAAACTGGAAGTGGAGAGAGTTGTTTGATAAAACACTGGGGCAAACCACATCCTCTCTTCACCAAGGGAGAGTTCGAGGGGATGCCGGCAGAGGGAGCTTTAGAGTAGAGACCCCTACCCAACCAGTGACCATCACGCACACAGCAAGGCATGCTATGGAGACCCCCAGACAGTCACTCGGTGAGACCCAGCAGGTCCAGACTCTTCAGAGATCTGTGGCAGCAGGTCCCCACTCCCAAAAGCCACGTGCCCATGGGTGGTCTCTGGTGCCTGAGACCCCAGTCTCATTTGCATCTTTGCAACTTCGAGTTTAAGTGGGTGTCGCATCCCTGTATGTGCTCCTGAGCAGAGGAGGGGCACAGCCCGGGGTGGCAGCTGGCGTCAAACCCTCAAATCCCCTGAGAGCCACTGGGGAGACTAAGCAGTCCCCAGCCCCCACTTGTCCCTGAGCTGCCATTCTCAGCCCTGTGGGAGGAGACAGAAAGCCCTAAAGAGAAACCAAAGGACCAGGTCAGGAGGGGCTGGGGGGTGGTGTGAGCAATCAGGGCAGGGAAGGATGGACAGATGGGGGAATGGAGGGAAGAAGGAATGAATGAAAAGGTGAATGAATGAACAAAGAGAGAGAACGGCCACTCCTCCCTTGCTTTAGTTTACAAAGTACTGGGATCCTCCCAACAGCCTGCAAGACAGAATTTCTGGGAAGCAGACCAGGTGGCTGGCAGGGAGGGGAGGCTTGCCCTGGCTTTTGTGGGCCCAATGGGAGGCAGGGGGCAGGAAGGGGCATCCTGTATGTGTCCTCCCTGCAGCAGCAGCAGCACCTTCCTGGAAGAGGGTCAGGAAACACCCACTGTGGCCCCTCTCCACCACGCCCTCATCCAGGACACCAAGTATCAGTCACTCAGCTCACGAGACCCAGGCCCTGACTCAGGGAGAGAGGATGTGAGGGGTGGGGCACCGGGCTCCCCAGGACTGAGAGACCTGAGATGTGGCCCCGGGCTGGGTGTTGGGGCAGACTGGCTATGGCAGCATTGTGTGTACCCCAGCAGGCCAGTACCCACGCAGGGAGCCTCCAAACCCCTTCACCCTTGACCCTGGGAGAAGACCCCAGCCTTGGAGAATTGGCCTCACTGAAGGGGCCTGCACCGGCCAGCAGGGTCAGGCGGGGCCAGACAGGTTCCCACCTGGGATATGCAAATGGGCCTCCTGAATCCTGGAGCCAGGTATGGACTCACACACCACCATTGTCCCCAAGTCCCCATCTGCCCCACGGGCACACCCTGCCACCTGTTCTGTGCAAGGGCCCTGAGGCTGTCTCCTTGCGCTCAAGCCCTGCAGGTGCTGAAGCCCACACACACAGCTCCTGCTTCCTGGGCCAGTGCACGTGCACACACACACACACGCGCACACACACCCCCACACATACACATACCCACACACAATCACACACATTCACACATACCCACACCCCCCATACTCACACTCACACACTCACACACACCCACAAACACGCACACATACACTCACACACACAATCACACACATTTACACACACCCACACACCCACACACTCACACTCACACTCACACACACCCTCACACAGCGAAACACAATCACACATATTCACACCCACCCACACCCCCACACTCACACTCATATACTCACACACACCCACACACTCACACATACACAAACACAATCACACACATTCACACACACCCACACTCACACATACACACACCCAAACACGATCACACACATTCACACCCACCCAAACCCCACAGACACACTCACACATATACCCACACACACTCACACATAATCTCACATACCCACACACACTCACACTCACACATAATCTCACACACACACACACATGCTCACACACACACGCCTTCTCCAGGAGGGGCTGGCTGCCAAGGGCCACCCAGCTTCCTCCCACGTCTCACTCACCGTACAACATTTGAGCAGACCTTGGAGTCAGCAGCAACAGCAGCGGGGACAAAGGCCTGGGGGCCACATGGGGCCTGGTGTCGAGAGAGGAACACAGCCAGCACAATCACAGCCAGCGCCAGCCCCAGCCCCAGCCCCAGCCCCAGCAGGACCAGGTCAACCATGGCTCCGCAGTCCTGGGCCATGGCTCTGTGGCCCAGAAGGAGAGGGGAGGCCGGTGGGCAGACGGAGGGACAGATGGTTGGGCAGATGAATAGACAAGAAGATGCATAGATAGACTCACAGGTAATTGGACAGATGGACAAACAGGTGGGGGCTGAAGACAGACACGAAGATGGATCGACAGACAGGCCAGATAGCTAGAAAAAGTGGACAGTAAGAGAAAGATGGTCAGATAGACAATGGGACAGAGATGGGCTTACAGTTGGGCGGACAGACAGACAGGTCTGAACAGCGGGCTGCCAGATGGACAGATGGGTGAATGGACAGATGGCTGGCAGCTGTGGTGAGCTGCTGCCCTCACCAAGTGCACACTACGGAGTGGCCAAACTCATGCCTCAACTTCTAGTTTTCAGCTCCTGCTTGTTCCTGGCAGGAGGCCAGGCAGCAAAGCGTCTGAGGGGAGTTTTCTTTGCCTAGAGAAGTCAGCTGCTGTGTTAACTCCCTCACTGCTGGTAGGTCCAAAGGCCCCACCTACTGCCTGCCAGAGCCCATGGTCACACTGTCGCAATGTGCAGGAGAACTTGGTGCCTGCTGCACTGCTGTTGCCAGGTAGGGGCAGGGCTCCCCGGAACCTCCACACCATTCCCCAGGTTCTCAGCTGCTCTGGGAAAGCAGAGTTGGGGCCGCTTAACTCTGCCCTGGATCTGGCAAGGCTGCCCCCCTCCCAGAGTGGAGCCCTGCTCCCCAGCTCCCATCTCTATCCCCTAACCCTCTCCGCATGGCCCAGCCTAGTCAGCATCAAGGTGGAGCTGAACAGAGGCAGAAGGAGGAGGACCCAAGGTGGTGTCACTCAGGACCCGGGTTCAAGTCCTTATGCTTCTGCAGCCTGGCCTGGGTCCCCCAAACCCCCAAGGTTAACAAGGGCTTCCCAGTCTGCACAGAGGACAGGGGGACTTGACAGCATCAAATGCTGGTGACTATGAGACACTTATGTGGGAAATGCAGACAGACCATGCCTCTAGCCCTTGGTACCCGGCACCATCCATCCCTGGGACTTGCTGTCCTGGAAATGCAGCATGGACCTCCAGGGAGGGGGGCTGTGCCATGTGGGGGCCCCACCCCACCTGCAGCTCTTTCCCACCCTGGCTGCAGGTCTGCTTCCCTGAATCCAAATCCGCTACTACTGTGCTGGCAGCACAGCCTCTCTGGGGACACTGGCCTGGCTCTGTTCTCCCCAGGCCTCAGGGTGCCTAAATGGGAGGCAGCCAGGGGAGTGAGGACCCACTGAGGGGCTCCGTTGACCCGGCTCAGCAGGGGTGCAGGTGATGTGGGGTGGAATCCTTCCCACATGGCCCCCACAGTCCTCCCCGCTTCCTCCCCAGCTGAACACTGCCTGCTCCAGATGTCTACACCTGGAGTCCGGGCCCCTCCATCTGGGCAGCAGAGAAACTGAGGCACAGAGACAGACTGTGTCCTTACAGGCCACACAGCCTGCCAGGCCCCTATGTCTGGCCAGAGCCCCTGGTCAGCCTGGGCTGCAGTGATTGTTTAGAGGTAGGCTGTTCCCACGGCTGCCTCTCACGGTATGGGGGCCTGTGGACGCCTCCTCCTGCCCCCACCCGACTCCCAAGCCTCAGTGACATTGCTCAACCAGGAGCTGAAGTGCATTCCTCGGCTCAGGCCAGCCCACCCATCGACCCGCTGCAGTCCTGGAAGCCCAGAGGCCTGGGCAGCAGGAACAGTGGAGACAGCAGTGTGGGGGACGTCCCCCCTCCTCTCCCCACCATCCTCATCAGGCAGAGGCCAGGGTGCAGGGACCATCCGAGCAAAGGCCCAGGGAAACGAATGGGTGTCATTCTGGTCCTGACCCGAGGCACAGCCAGGAAGGTCCCTGTGGGGAAAAGAAAGAGATATCAGACTGTTACTGTGTCTATGTAGAAAGAAGTAGACATAAGAGACTCCATTTTGTTGTGTAGTAAGAAAAATTCTTTTGCCTTGAGATGCTGTTAATCTGTAACCGTACCCCCAACCCTGTGCTCACAGAAACATGTACTGTGTCGACTCAAGGTTTAATGGATTTAGGGCTATGCAGGATGTGCTTTGTTAAACAAATGCTTGAAGGCAGCATGCTTGTTAAGAGTCATCACCACTCCCTAATCTCAAGTAAGCAGGGACACAAAACACTGCAGAAGGCCACAGGGACCTCTGCCTAGGAAAGCCAGGTATTGTCCAAGGTTTCTCCCCAAGTGACAGTCTGAAATATGGCCTCCTGGGAAGGGAAAGACCTGACCATCCCACAGCCCGACACCCCAAAGGGTCTTTGCTGAGGAGGATTAATAAAAGAGGAAGGCCTCTTTGCAGTTGAGATAAGAGGAAGGCATCTCTCTCCTGATCGTCCCTGGGCAAAGGAATGTCTCGGTGTAAAACCCGATTGTATATTCCATCTACTGAGATAGGAGAAAACTGCCTTAGGGCTGGAGGTGAGACATGCTGGCGGCAATACTGCTCTTTAATGCATTGAGATGTTTATGTATATGCACATCAAAGCACAGCACCTTTTTCTTAACCTTGTTTATGACACAGACATTTGTTCACGTGTTTTCCTGCTGACCCTCTCCCCACTATTACCCTATTGTCCTGCCACATCCCCCTCTCTGAGATGGTAGAGATAATGATCAATAAATACTAGGGAACTCAGAGACTGGTGCCAGCGTGGGTCCTCCATATGCTGAGTGCAGGTCCCCTGGGCCCACTTTTCTTTCTCTATACTTTGTCTCTGTGTCTCTTTCTTTTCTCAGTCTCTTGTCCCACCTGATGAGAAACACCCACAGGTGTGGAGGGGCAGGCCACCCCTTCAGGTCCCTGAATGTCCTTCCTCAGGAAATGATGGGGGAAGGGGTGATGAGAATGAAGGAGAGGATTTAAGTCCCTCACCCCCCGAGGTAGTCCTGGGCTGAGCCCCATGGGACCTGGAGAACCAGGGTGTACCCCACCAGCGTGTTGGGTCCAGGAAGTCTCATGGCCAGCTCCCACTTCTCTTGCTGCTGTGCAACCCAGAGCAAGGCCTGCCCCTCCAGCTTTAGTCTTCTCCCCTGCAAATGGGGCCACGGCTTTTCCTCTCAGGCCAAAATAAGGATTGAGGCCGGGTGCAGTGGCTCACCCCTGTAATCCTAGCACTTTGGGAGACTGAGATTGGGGGACTGCTTGAAGTCAGGAGTTAAGACCAGCCTGGTCAACATAGTGAGACCCCATCTCTATTGGTTTAAATTTTTTTAAAAAAAATTAAATAAATAAAATAAGGATTGAAGAGTGACTTGTACACCAGTTGAGCCTACCTCCACCTCACCCTTGCAGAGCCCCAGAGACACAGCCCTCCAGAGCTCAGACCCAGTGGGACTTGACTCCACAGGCATAAAACCCTGTTTGTCTATGGGCCCTTTGGAATCACCAGGTTTTTGGGGCTCCTGAAGGATAGCCCCGACCTGGCCTCACCTGGCCCCTGGCCCCAGTGCCCCTGGTGATATCCAGGTGCTGGGCTGTGATCACCGCCTCCCACCAGCCCACCTCCACCAGCCCTTCCCAGAACCCTGCTCCAGGTGTTGGAACTGTGCACAGAGGAGGGAGCAGGCCCCAAGGGAGGCCTGGAGGGGCTGCCAATGGTGAAGGCTGCTGTGTCTAGCTGTTTCCTTCTGGACCCACTCCCTCTGGGCTGCGTCCCCAGCTGGTCCAAGCCCTGATCCCTGGGATCTGGGGACATCTTCCCGTTTGCTGTTCCCTGAGAACCAGGCCTCCCTCTGGAGAGGATCACAAGCTTGGGTTTCACTCTGGGCTTGCTCTTGGGAACCCCCGAGGGGCGTGGCTCTGACCGAGATGTTTTCCTCCAGCCTGTTGCCCAGTCCCCATTCCTCGGACCTCAGCTTCACCGCCAGTGTCATCGGCAGGGTGAGCTGGAGGCCTACGGGTCTGAGAAGGCGCCCAGGTTCCCAGCATCAGCTGGCCACCCTCTGCCTAAGAAAGCGCCAGGGTCGTGACACCCCCTGGTGGCTGATCCTAGGTAGTGTCACTGCCCAGCCCCAGTAAGGGAGGGCCTGGCCCCAAAGTCCGAGGGATCAGGGTGGGAAGGGGCAGGGTTTGGTGTGAACCTTCCCCTGGCCCCCAGCCATGTGCCCGGCTCTCCCCATGCTGAAGATGCTGAGGCTAGTTCCAGTGCCCGCATTGTGAAGATCTCCGAATCCCACCTCTCTGTTCCTCCCCAGCCAGATGGCTCCATTTCACACACAATACACTGAGGCCCAGAGAGTG
Source organism: Homo sapiens (assembly GCF_000001405.40). Taxonomy (NCBI): domain Eukaryota; kingdom Metazoa; phylum Chordata; class Mammalia; order Primates; family Hominidae; genus Homo; species Homo sapiens. Next base: position 252,025 of record NW_011332699.1, read on the forward strand.
GGGAGACAGGCCAGGGAGGCCACCTGGAGCCTGGCACAGTGGCCTCATTTATTATGCTGCTCTGCTGCTCACAGGGGAAGCCCGTCCCCCAAAGTCCTCTTCCTCGTCCTCGTGAGTATCTTGTCCCTGGATTGCTTGTCAGCCTTGTCTGCCCGGAGCACTCAGTAGCCGGCAGGCTCCCCACCTTTCCTGGAGTCTGAGGCAGCTGCCCAGCCACCAGCCGTGCGGACGATGGCTTGCACCACAGCGATGAAGGTGGACGCGATCTGGGTGTGATGGTGCCGGGTCTCCAGGGCTGCAGTCACTGCCTGGGGGTGGGGGGAGAGGGGAAGGCTGAGCAGGGCTCCAGATGCCACCTGAACCACGCCTGTGTGGTCACAGGCCTCAGCCCAGGTGGTGCCATTTCAGGCCAGGTCATCAGGAAGAGCAGGTTGGGGCCTGCTGGGTCTCATTGGAGCAGGGGGTTTGGCCCTCATGGCACAGGGGCTCCAGATGGCCCAGGCACTAGAGAGAGGACACCAACCATTGTTCACTCTGTGATGATCCAGGCCTCCAGCCCAGGATGCCCTGGGGCCACACACCATGACTCAGTTTCTCCAACCCCTGGCCCACCTGGTCAATGTTTCTCTCCACTGTCGTGATGTTGGGCAGAAGCTGGTTGTGCAGCCGGTGCTCCTCCACGGCCCGCTTCATGTCATAGCCGAACCAGAGGTTGTAGATGATGGCCTGGGGCATGGGAGTGTGATCAGCATGGCTTGGGGGCTGTGCGGAGTGGGCAGGGCCAGGGAGAAAAGGGGTGACGCATACCAGTGCAGTGGCTGTGGTGATCTGCGTGCCCCCAGCAGCTCCCACCACCATCCGGACCTGGCCGTCCTGGCCCACCATGATCGTTGGGAACATGGACGAGAGCGGCTGCTTCCCTGCGGCTGATGGGAGAAGACAGGGATGCCCGTCAGCTGCCTGCCCAGGACACCCGCCCCTCTCCACCCCAGTCCCCCACCCCCGGACCTCCACCCCATACCTGGCTGGATGAAATTGGCAGGTGAGGGGGGTACCCCAAACTCATTGGTGATGCTGGGAGAGCTGAAGTCGTCCATTCATTATTGAACAGGATCCCGCTGACCGGGGAGCAGACCTTGGAGCCAAAGCTACCGCCCAGCAGGGTCAGACAGCGCCCGACCTTGCCTGGCCCAGCCTGGTCCCTATCCACCCACTGAGGCTGAAACATACTCACTGAGAGGCCCAGGATAAGCTACCAAGATTGGGCCTCAGTTTCCCACCAGGAAAAGAGGTGATGGAGCCACCTGACTGGATAAGTGGGTGGTCCCTGGGCCACCCACCTCTGGCAGTTTCCCACCCAGGCGGCCCAGCAGCCCCTACTAGAGGTTGATGGTGCTGGTGGCGGACACAGCACTGCCGTCCTCTGTGATGACAGACAGGTGAGCAGTGCCCCTGTCATCCGGCGTGTAGAACTTGGGCTTGTAGTAGGAGATCGTGTGAGTGGTGTTGTCAGAGATCTGGGCCCAGAGCTGGGCAGCGAAGAACTCAGAGGTCATGTTGCGGACCACCTGCCGAGACCCCAGAGCTGGCCTGAGGAGGTGGGGAGGGAGGGTGGGGAGGGGGCACAGGTCTCAGAAGGCCCCTGACTGTGACTCTGACCAAAACCCTCTGGCACCCACAACCTTCCGTGGCTCCCCAGGACCCAAGGGCAGGCCCAGGACCTTGCATGACCAGTCTGACTCCCTGTCTCTGTTGCGTTTCAGCAACTCTGAATGTCTGTCTGCCTGGTCCTCAGCCTCCAGACCCTTGCTGCATTCAATCACTCATTCCTTCATGCAAAAAATATTTCTAGAGTTTGCACTGCATGCCTGGCACTGGGGAATCAACAGGGAACAGACAGTTTTAGGTCCTGCCCTCATGCCAAGAAAAACAAACACACACAGGGAAAGTGCTGAAACCACAAGCCAGGTAAGGGGAATCAAGAGGCATGAGGTATGGGCAGAGTGGTCAGGGAGGGCTTCTCAGAGGAGGCAACGTGTGAAAAGAGCCTGGAATGCGGCCTAAATGGTCAGTGCAAAGGCCCTGAGGCAGGTGGTATAGGCTGGTGAGCGATAGGCAGAGAGTGAATGGAGTGGGGTGGGGAGAAGAGGATGAAGATGCAGGCTGGGGCCCATCCCACAGGACCTCCTAGGTCCCATAAAAACTGGCTTTTGCTCTGTGCCATGCAGGCTTAGGGCAGAGGAATGAGCAGGCTGGGGAGTGTTTTCACAGGGTCCCTCTGGCAGCTATGACGGGGATAAGGATAAATCCCAAAGGGGAGGCTGTGGGTATCAACCAGGCAAGAGATGATGGCCTGGGTGGGAGAAAGAGAAGAATCAAGGATGGTGCTGACTAGCGAGGTAAACCCTGCAGAAGGGGCAGGTTTGGGGATGGTCAGAAGCTTGATTTTGGACACTTCATCAGACCTGAACAGCATGGGTGCAAGTATAAAAAAAATAAATAAATAAGCATGGGTTCACGGGCAAGGGCGGGCTGAGAGATGAACATGGAGGTATTGACATTGAGTGGCTGCTGGATGCCATGAGCCTGGCCAAGGTCCCCAAGGCAGTGGCGAGGAGGAGATGAGGAGGTCAAGGAGGAGACAGAGAGGATGGACCCGAAGGCCGAAGAAAATGCCTCAAGAGAGTTTCCACACCGGGCGCGGTGGCTCACGCCTGTAATCCCAGCACTTTGGGAGGCCGAGGCCTGTAATCCCAGCACTTTGGGAGGGCGGATCACGACGTCAGGAGATCGAGACCATCCTGGCTAACACAGTGAAACCCCATCTCTACTAAAAATACAAAAAATTAGCTGGGCGCGGTGGTGGGCACCTGTAGTCCCAGCTACTTGGGGGGCTGAGGCAGGAGAATGGCGTGAACCTGGGAGGCGGAGCTTGCAGTGAGCCGAGATCGCGCCACTGCACTCCAGCCTGGGCGACAGCCTGGGGGACAGAGCGAGACTCCATCTCAAAAATAAAATAAATAAAATACAATAAAATAAAATAAAATAAAATAAAGTTTCAGCAACACCCCACAGATTAGTTGACCAATCCGAGGGAAAGGTGTTCTGTCTGAAACTGCCCTCAAGGAAACAGAAAGGCAAATCCATGATGTGGGACATTTTCCAAGACTACTGCCCTGGGCTTTAAAAATCAACAAAACAGGCCAGGCACGGTGGCTCATGCCTGTAATCCCAGCACTTTGGGAGGCCGAGGCAGGAGGATCACGAGGTCAGGAGATCGCAATCACGGTGAAACCCCGTCTCTACTAAAAATACAAAAAATTAGCTGGGCGCAGTGGCAGGCGCCTGTAGTCCCAGCTACTCGGGAGGCTGAGGCAGGAGAATGGCGTGAACCCAGGAGGCGGAGCTTGCAGTGAGCTGAGATAGCGCCACTGCACTCCAGCCTGGGTGACAGAGAGAGACTCTGTCTCAAAAAAAAAAACACACACACCTGTAATCCCAGCACTTTGGGAGGCTGAGGTGGGAAGATAGTTTGATCCCAGGAGTTTGAGACCAGTCTGGGCAAGACCCTGTCTCTAAAAAACATACAAAAATTATCCAGGTTTGGTGGCACGTGCCTCTGGTCCCAGCTGCTCAGGGGGCTGAAGTGGGAGGATTGCTTGAGCCATGGAGGTTGAGGCTGCAGTGAGCCAAGATCACACCACTGCACTCCAACCTGGATGACAGAGACTCTGTGTCCAAACAAAAACACAACAAAAACAAAACAGCCAAGGGAGCCTACTGTAGGTAAAGAGAAGGGACAGCAGGTTGTGTCACCCCGACATCCTGCTGTGCTATGTTCAAGTCTCACTTTTGAGACACACCCTGAGGTGTGACATCAGTAACCTACTGTGGAATCCCTCAGAAAAACACGAATCCCAATAGATGTGGGTGGAGATGGAGAGAGTTAGGAAATCCGGCAGAAACGTCCACACTGCAGACTCCAGGAAAAGGGAACATTGATGCTTGGGCAGTTTTGGTTTTTTTTTACATTTTTGTAAGTGCGAAAATTTGCAAAATGAAAACTCGAGGAGAGTGTGGTGAGCTGTGTGAGATGCTGCTGAGTGGGGCTTGATGGGGAAACTGAGGCTGGACATGGCGATCTGGTGGCATGGGGATAGAGCAGGGGAGGGGATACCCTGAAGGGAGAGAGGACATAGCCCAGCCATGTTTGCTCTAAGAGGAGCAAAGGACAGAAGGAGGCAGCAGATAGAAATTTCTAGAGCAACAACAGCTGCCTTTCTTTTGGGAATAATCCGTGATAAAGAAGTAAATCGTCAGAGGCAGAAAGGAGCATTGTAGGAACAGCACCCTGAGCCAGCGAGTAGATGAAAGAGTTGGCCTTAGCCAAAAGGGAGGGCAGAGGGACACGCTGCAGTGGCTCTGTCCCCTCAGAGAGACAAGACATCAGGTCACTGGCTGCAGCGGGAGTCAGAGGTGCAGAATGCTCACGGGGAAAGAGAAGACACCACCCGGGCAGCTGACGCCCCTCCTGGGAGGTCACTGGTCAGTGTGGGGGGCGTCTGCAGATCCACCCAGGAATGCCAAGGACCCAAGTAGGTAAGGAGGAATGTGAGGATCCTCAGCGGGAAGGGATATGACAGGGTCTTATAGGGACCCAGCGTGGAGCTGGAGCAACTACTGAGTGAGTGGGTCAGGTGGTGCAGGGCTGAGGGTGGCATCTGGGAAGCGTTAGTTTGGAGTGACAGGGAGTGGGTGGCCGAGGTCTCTGTTCACCTGGCCCTCTCCCTTTCACCCATCCATCTCACCATGCCCGAGGGCTGCAATGCCCCCATGCATTCCTCATCTCAGCACTGAACACTCGAGAACCACAGCATGTGCAAAGGACCTGAGGTAGGAGGGTGGCCACTAATTCCCCACACTGTCAGTTCTGTGGGGCAGAAGCCAAGACTGGGGGTCACCCACCAGTCCATCCGAGCACACAGTAGGCCCGCAATCAAAGTTCGTGGCAGGAATGGATTCATAAAGCGTATGTGAGGCTGTAGCCACCCTGGGGAGCCCACCTGATGCCTCTACAGCAGGCCCCACACCCACAGTGGGCCAGCCCCTGCCCCTTACCTCAGTCACATTCACAAACTTGGGGTCCCCAAGCAGGGTCCTCTTGGCGTAGGCAAACCAGAAAGCCTCTACGATGCGGTGGTACGTCAGGCCCTTCTGCTCGGGGGTCTCCACACTCTCCCAGGAGAAGTTGTACCCTGGTTGATCAGAGCCAGGTGCATGTTGCTGAGCCCCAGAGGCTCTGAGGGGCTCAGAGGGTTAACACCTGCCTGAGCCACTTTGCCCACCTCAAGGAGCGTTTAATAACCAATAGCAGCAGCTGCTTCAGAAGGCTGTGGTGAGAGTGAAGTAAGGTGAGGGCTCCCGAGCCTGGACCTCACGTCACGCATCAGCTCTGGCCATTCGGTGACCAAGTGGCAGGGTCACCCACTGGACCAGGGTACCCTCTGGACCAGGCCCTGCAGCCCTGAGCTCCTGCACCTCTCTCCTTCCTGATGACTCCTGTTCCTCCTCCAACCCTTGAGCATTGCCCGCTTCAGCCCTGTCGCTCTGCACTGCCTCCTTCAGGACATGGTGAGCTGTGACGCAGGGACACGCCTCGGGAGCTCAGTGATGGAAAGACGTGGCATGGAGGGCGAGCAGAGATGCAGCAGGGGTGGGGCGTGGGGAGAGAGAGGCAGTGTCATGGGTCCTACCACACGGCTGTGGTGCGACCACTCACCTTTGAGGATGTTGAGGATGAGGGCCAGCACGGGCCCGCTGAGCGGCGCACTGGGCATGTACAGCACCGCGTCTCCCAGGCTGATGTTCAGCGGGTGCTCGATCAGCTCAGCACAGTAGTTGTTCAGGTCCTCAGCTGTCACAATGCCCCCTGCGACGGGACAGCAGCTCGAATGGGCACTGGGATGGGGCTGCACCACTGCGTGGAGGATGGAGCTGCACCAGTGGTGTTGGGGGCAGGCATGGCTGCACCATGGTGGTGAGGAAAAGCCTGTACCTACAAAGGAGGACAGAGTGCACTACTGGAGGGGTGGGACTGTGCCCTGGGAGGAGGCCACAGGCAACCTCACCTCCTTGGGAACCTCACCAGCTCCGGCACTCCTGTCTCCCTGACACTGCTCACCACCCGACAGCTGGTCTGGGGCCACCTGCCCTCTGCCTGCTTGGCTTAGTGGCTTCCTGTCTGCCTTCTCTCATCTGTGGCCAGAGAGTGTTTTCTTTTTTTTTTTTTTTTTTTAGAGATAGGATCTTGCTCTGTCACCCAGGCTGGAGTGCAGTGGCTTAATCACAGCCTTGAACTCCCGGGCTCAAGTGATCCTCCAGCAGACCCTCCCCAGTAGCTGAGACTAAAGGCACAACTACACCCAGCAAATTTTAATTTTTTTTGTTGTGTTTTGCTATTTTTTTTTTTTGAGACGGAGTCTCACTCTATCGCCCAGGCTGGAGTGCAGTGGCATGATATCGGCTCACTGCAAGCTCCGCTTCCCAGGTTCACGCCATTCTCCTGCCTCAGCCTCCCAAGTAGCTGGGACTGCAGGCACCCGCCACCACACCTGGCTAATTTTTTTGTATTTTTAGTAGAGACAGGTTTCACTGTGTTAGCCAGGATGGTCTCGATCTCCTGACCCCGTATCCACACGCCTCGACCTCTCAAAGTGCTGGGATTACAGGCATGAGCCACCATGCACGGCCAGGTTTTGCTATATTTCTTTTCACTATGCTTTGAATTTTTTGTTTTCTTGTTCCCCACCCCCACCCCCACTATATTTATGTAGATTCTCAATACTTTTTTGTAGACTCACTATGTTGCCCAGGCTTGTCTTGGACCTCCTGGCCTCAACTTCTACCTCAGCCTCCCAAAGTGTTGTGATTACAGACATGAGACACCAAGCTTGGCCTCAGAGGGCCTTTTTTTTCTTTTTTTTTTGAGATGGAGTCTCACTCTGTGGAGTGCAGTGGTGCAATCTCAGCTCACTGCAACCTCAGCCCCCGAGGTTCTAGCGATTCTCCTGCCACAGCCTCCCAAGCAGCTGGGATTACAGGCACAACCCACCATGCCTGACTAATTTTGCATTTTTAGTAGAGACAGGGTTTCACCATGTTGGCCAGGCTGGTCTTGAACTCCTGACCTCAGGTGATCCACCCGCCTCGGCCTCCCAAAGTGCTGGGATTACAGATGTGAGCCACCACACCTGGCTCAGAGGGCCTTTTCTAACTGGAGAATTCCTGCCGGTGTCCCTGCTGCTTGGCCTCTTCTCCTCACGATGAATGGATAGAGGGAGGGAGGGAGGCTCTTAATTCTCCTGGAGTCAGCTCCAGACAGACAGGGTATTGGCACGCCAATTTCCAGCCTCAGTAGTAAAGGTCGACATGCTAATCACCCTCCTCCATGAAACAGTGACAAAAATTACCTGAAGAAAGCCACAGCCAAGCTCCAGGCCCCTGCCCCACAAATCCCCTTCCCCATGCCTCTCTCAAGGCGACCCTCATCCCTTGTAACCCCCTTGGTGAATCAAAGCCCCCTCTACTGGGCCTTAGCCCAGCTGTTCCTCTGCTAGGAATCCCTTCCTCTCTCTGCCTAACAAAGTTATCTGCAGCCCAGCCGCCACCTCCTCCAAGAAGTCCTCCTGGATCTTCAGGCTGTATTCTAGTGCTTCCCTAGCCCTGGCTCTTGCCTACACCTGCATTTACCCCAACAGGGACTTGCTCTCCTGGACTGTGTGGCCTCTCTTGGTTTTGATATAAGCAGGAGCTGTGGACCCACATGGCTAGTCACTGACCCTCCTCCACCAGGAACTTCCTGCAGGCTCAGGCAAGACAGGAGGACCCCATGGCTCTGGGCTACAGCTCAGGGTTTCCACTGCAGAGTTCCTTACCCAGGCCCTTGAGGTTACCCACTCACGGCCGCCTGGATGTCCTTCACAATCTGGGCCATGAGGCTGCCATTGTAGAAGGCCTGGGCACCCTCAATGGCCAGCGTCTCATAGGTGTCAGCCACCCGCGGCAGGGTCAGTCTCTCCCCCTCCCGAAGCACCTTTCTATCCCGGCAGAACACCTCACTGGGGCAGAGGGGGCTCATGTGAGGCAGCAGGTGGGGTGGACTTAGCTAGACCACCCCCCACACCTGCCCACACAGGAGACCAGCACAAAGCAGGGGCAGCGCCTGTCACAGGTGGGTGGCCCTGTCACTCAGCGCTCATCCTCCTAGTGTCCCTTCCGGGAACATTCTAGTGTCCCTTGCCACTCAGGACACATGGCCAGCCACAGTGGCCACTGGGACCTCACGCTCAGAATGTGTCCCCACGCTCAGAATGTGTCCCCACACGTGGTGGGAAGGGTCTGTATCTCCTCATCCCATTATCAGCGCAGGGTCCTGAAGGCAGAGGGCCGCTCCACTGCTGCTACGGCCTGCAAGGTCCTTGGGCTGTGCCTGCCCTGCCTGTGTCAGGGGGCCGCACCCACAGACATGCCACAAGACAGGCTGCTGCTCGATGACGGTCCGCTTGTTTTCCAGGACTGCCGCCAAGCCCTTGCCCACGGGGAAGCCCTGGCGGGCCAGCTGGATGCTGGGCTGGAAGAGGCGAGCCCAGGGCAGCCGCCCATGCCGCTGGTGTGCCAGCTCATAGCCTCGGATCTCCCCAGGCACTGCCACTGACAGCCCTCCTGGGGAGAGAGAGCCACAGTTAGTGACCCTGAGTGGGGGACATCGGGATCTCTCGCAGGCAGCATCCCAGGCACAGTCCCTGACTCGTTTTACAGATGGGGCAATGAGGCTTAGGAGGAAAGATTTTTTTTTTCTTTTTTGAGTTGGGGTCTTGCCATCTTGCCCAGCCTGATCTCGAACTCCTGGATTCAAGCAATCCTCCCACCTCAGCCTCCTGATTTTTATTTTATTATTTTTTTTAGGAGGGGATGTTTAATTTTTTTTTTAAGAGGGGCTTAGCAGGTAGGAGTGTACATGGACCAGGGATGTCTGAGGAGGGCACAGGAGGGGAAGCAGTAGCATGCGGCTGGGTTTTGCTGTCCCAGGATGAGGTGTCTGTCTGTGCAGGTGCCTGCATGTCTAAAATCCTGTGCCAGGCCAGACCCCCTCCCATCTCACTGACCACAAGGCCTTATCCTGTAAGACTCATGGGCTCCACCAGAATGTGCCAAAACAAGAGCAGATCCCACCCTGACCCAGGTCAAGCACAGGCCACCTTCAAGACACAGCCAGCCCCAAGAAAGGGCTCCCTTCCTCTTTTCTACTGCCCCAGATAGGCAAGACTGAGCCTTAACCTCCATCCTGTCCCCTCTCCCAGCCTCAGTTTCTCCATCCAACTATAAGGGTTTTTGTTTGTTTGTCTGTTTTGAGACAGGGTCTCACTCTGTTGTCCCAGCTGGAGTGCAGTGGTGCAATCATGGCTCACTGCAGCCTTGGCTTCCCAGGCTCAAGCGATCCTCCCACCTCAGCCTCTGAAGTACCTAAGACTACAGACATACCCCACTACATGTGGCTTTTTTTTTTTTTTTGAGATGGAGTTTCACTCTTGTTGCCCAGGCTGGAGTGCAATGGCACAATCTTGGCTCACTCCAACCTCCACCTCCCGAGTTCAAGTAATTCTCCTGCCTCAGCCTCCCAAGTAGCTGGGATTACAGGCATGTACAACCATGGCTTGCTAATTTTTGCATTTTTAGCAGAGACGGGGTTTCACCAGGTTGGTCAAGCTGGTCTTGAACTCCTAATATCAGGTGATCCATCCTCCTCAGCCTCTCAGAGTTCTGGGATTAGAGGCATGAGCCACCACTCCCAGCCTAATTTTTTATTTTTATTTTTTGTAGAGACAGGGGTCTTGCTACATTGCCAAGACTGGTCTCAAACTCTGGCCTCAAGCAATCCTCCCACCTCAGCCTCCCAACATGCTGGGATTACAGGTGCACCCAGTCTATACGGGGTTTTGCCTTCCAGTTCTGACTTTTGAGGAGGTCATTGGAAACAGACCCCTGGGCCTGCTTCCCCCCGAGCCCCACTGCCCATATGGACACTACAGACACTGACCCTTTGCCTAGAAAGGTACAACTATGGCCTCTGCCCCCAGGTACTCTCCTGCTCTTGCGAGAGATGATGGGGCCATTTGGCTTGGCTTGGCGGCTGCAGCTCTAAAACTGCCTCTCCCACCCTGAAGCCTGGCACAAGTTTCCAAGAGCTGGTGGTTTCAATTCCTAAAAGCTGCACATACATCCCGGAAGGTCTGACACCCAGCACATGATTCCTTCCACCTTGTGGTTAGACAGAAGTTCTTTTTTGTTTTGTTTTGTTTTTTTGTTTGTTTGTTTTTGAGATGGAGTCTTGCTCTGTCTCCCAGACTGCAGTGCAGTGGCATGATCTCAGCTGACTACAACCTCCGCCTCCCAGGTTCAAGCGATTCTCCTGCCTCAGCCTCCCGAGTCGCTGGGATTACAGGCACAGGCCAGCACGCCAGGCTAATTTTTGTATTTTTAGTACAGATGGGGTTTTGCCATGTTGGCCAGGCTGGTTTCAAACTCCTGACCTCAGGTCATCCACCCACCTCAGCCTTCCAAGGTGCTGGGATGACAGGCATGAGCCACCGTGCCCAGCCAAGACAGGAGAAGTTCTAATCTTTGATAGCAGACCAGGGTGACGATGCTTAGCAACAGTATTTTGTATATTTCAAAGTAATGAAGAGAGGACTATGGTGCTAACACCCAGAAAGAAAAATATTCAAGGTGACGGAGACTCCAAATACCCTGCCTTGATCATTATACACTCTCTGCATGTAACAAGCACTCACATGTACCCATAAATATAGAAAATATCATGTATCAACATCAGAAAAAAAATCTTCTCCTGACCTCAGGCCAATCAGACTCTCATGCCACCACACTTGCCAAGTTCTCTGGTGACACCCACACTGCCAGACCCAGTGCCCCTCTCAGCTTTACTGGGCTCATCACTCTCCCTGAGAGCCGCCCCTGCATCCCAGCACCTGGCTCCACCCGAGTATCCCCTGCCTGCCATCCTAGCTCCTACTCTCCCCTCTGTCTTTGCTCTCTCTCCTGGTGGTCTGCTTGACATCTGAGCTTCAGCCTCCATTTATGCACTGACAACTCCCAAATTGACCTGCTGGCCTGGACTGCTCCTCTGATCACCAGACCTGAGTATCTACCTGCCTGCTTGAAGAAAGCATCTCAAACTTCAACGTGCCCAAAACCGAGCTCCTGAGTGTCTGCTCAACCTGCTTCCTGAGAACCCTGCCTGCCTCCATTAGGGTCACCCCATCCTTCCAGGTACAGACAAAAGATCAGGGGTCCCTGGGGACTCCCTACACAAGCATCACACCCACCCCATCCTCAAATCCACAGGCTCCACTTCCAAGTGTGTCTGTCCAGCATCAGCCACTTCCCAGCACCCTCTCCACGAATTACTGCAGTGACCTCCGGACAGGTCCCCACATGCTCCCTGCCCCTTACACAGCAATCCAAGGGGTCCATAGGCCAGATCCATCCCCTTCCACTCACACACTCCACGAGCCCCCACTTCCCTCAGACAGGAAGCAGAGGCTTCACCATAACCTAAGAGATCCCGCACAACCTGGGCCATTCCCCTTGGATCACTTGCTGCAGCCTCCCCAGCTCCCCACAGGGCTCTGTCCCTGCCATCACACCTGGATAGCAGACCAGGAGATAACTCCCCCGACCCCATCTCTGCCTCTGGGTCTTTGCTCAGATGTCCCCTTCCCTGACTAGGTCACCCTCCATAGAGTCCCAGATTTTGAGGCCCTCCAGGTCTGTTTTTCTACAGCCCGTAACATACCGGCACCTGCCTAGTTTCTTTTCCCACCTGGAGTGTCACAGATTTCATCTGCCGTCTTTGTTTTTCACCCCAGCTTCAGGAACAACAGCTGATTCTTTAAGACAATGCTCAATACATTCTAGTTAAATAAATGATTCTAAGCATCCACAAGGTGCCAAGCCTATGATTCCCGCATTCTCTTACCCTGAGCAACTTCATGTCTACAGATGCTGAGTTTCTCAATGAGTATTAAAAACAAATGAAAGATTGGTGGGGCACAGTGGCTCACGCCTGTAATTCCAGCACTTTGGGAGGCCGAGGCAGGGGGATCACGAGGTCAGGAGATCGAGGGACCAGCCTGGGCAACATAGTGAAAACCCGCCTCTACTAAAAAATACAAAAAATTAGCCGGGCGTGGTGGCAGGCGCCTGTAGTCCCAGCTACTCGGGAGGCTGAGGCAGGAGAATGGCGTGAACTCAGGAGGCAGAGCTTGCAGTGAGCCGAGATCGCACCACTGCACTCCAACCTGGGCGACAGAGTGAGACTCTGTCTCAAAAAAAAAAAAAAAAAAAGAAAAAAAAATCAAAGATTGAGTATGTTGCAGAAGACTCCAAAGGGCACCACCCAGGACCCCCACCTGAAGTCTAAGACCTGCTATGGTGAGTGTGTCCTGCCCCTCCATCCTCCAACTTTTTTTTTTTTTTTTTGAGACGGAGCTTCGTTCTTGTTGCCCAGGCTGGAGTGCAGTGGCATGATCTCGGCTCACTGCAATCTCCACCTCCTGGGTTCAAGCGATTCTCCTGCCTTAGCCTCCTGAGTAGCTGGGATATTACAGGCCTGTGCCACCACGCCTGACTTATTGTACTTTTAGTAGAGAATGGGTTTCACTATGTTGGCCAGGCTGGTCTTGAACTCCTGACCTAGGTGATCCATCTGCCTCAGCCTCCCAAAGTGCTGGGATTACAGGCGTGAGCCTGTGAAAAAAAGGCCCAACCTTTTTTTTTTTTTTTTGACAGGGTCTCACTTTGTTGCCCAAGCTAGAGTGTAGTGGTATAATCATGGCTCACTGCAGCCTCAACCTCCTGGGCTCAAGTGATCCTCCCACCTTAGCCTCCCAAGTAGCTGGGACCATAAGCACACACCGCCATACCTAGCTAATTTTTTTTTCCATTTTTTTGTAGAGATGGAGTCTTGCTATGTTGTCCAGGCAGGTCTCCTGGGCTCATGCACTCCTCCTGACTTGGCCTCCTAAAGTGCTAGGATTAGAGGTGTTGAGTTGTTGAGACCCTCCCATCCTCCAACTTTTATCTCACAATCTATTGTGCCTCCTTTGGGGTCAGACAGTGGCTTCCTGGATGGACAGTGGCTTCCCTTCAGGTACCTGGGGAATTTGGGGGCCTCCTCTCCACTTAAGACCAGATTAGAAAAGAGAGACTCCACCTCACATTCTAGAGCGCCATCCCCACAAATGAACAAATGAGTGAATGGGATGCCTGTTGAAAAGGCAGGATATAGACAGCCTGGGATCAATTTTAGCTTCACCACCTCCCAGCTGTGTGACCTCAGCTGATTTGCATGACCTGTCTGAGCCTCAGCATCCCCACCCTGTAAAATGGGAATCCACACAGCATCCCCTAGCCCAAAGGAGCAGGGAGGGTTGTGAGAAGCTCGTGGGTGAAAAGCACAGAGCAGAGCGTGGGCCCCAGTGAGCCCTGGTCCATGAGGTCTGCTAGCATAATAATTATTCTTTCCATGTGCTGCACAGAATGGCCCCGGAGGCCTTAGCAGAAATAACAGAAGCTCCCGGCCCTTTACCGTGGTGATGATGGTCCTGACCACTCATTGTGGGAGGGTGCTATGGGGCCAGGAAGGGATGGGGGGTGCTAGAACTGCCCCTGAACCCTGACGGGAGCAGGCTCCTGTGGGCAAGGCCCCTTCCCGGTGGCTCAGCCAGCTCTGCACCCATGCCCCAAGTCTGCAGCATGGCTTACCCTTCTGGGACTGCTCCAAGCTGTTGAACATGCTGGCAAAGGCCAGCCTGGGGGCCACCTCGCGGGCATTGATGACCTCAGCTTTTCCTAGAAGGAGAAGCAGGTAGGCAGGCCCACCCACCCAAACCCTTTATGCCACGTGAGCCTGGGGGCCACCCAGCTGTGCCTCGGCCCAACCCACAACCCCTGCCCCTCTCCCTCTCCTCTTCCGAGGCATTCATGAGAGGTGCTGTTGTAGATGGTGAGGAAGAGGCCACCCCCGATGCTCATGCTGTGGGCATTCATGAGCCCCACACACAACAGGGCTGCAATGGCTGCATCCACCGCAGAGCCACCATCCCGCAGTGTGTCCCTGCCATGTGGCACATAAAGGCACGAGAACCTGCAGGCTTCCACCCTGGCACCGCATACATACCCTGCTGCCTACCTGCCCAAAGGAGGATGGAAGAGAAGTCCATTCGAGTTTTGGGGTTTTTGTTTTTAGTTTCTTTCTTTTTTGTTTTGAGATGGAGTCTTGCTCTATTGCCAGGCTGGAGTGTAGTGGCACGATCTCAGCTCACTGCAACCTCTGCCTCTCGGGTTCAAGCCATTCTCCTGCCTCAGCCTCCTGAGTAGCTGGGACTACAGGTGCATGCCACCACGCCCAGCTAATTTTTGTATTTTTAGTAGAGACGGGGTTTCACCATGTTGGCCAGGATGATCTCTATCTCTTGACCTCATGATCTGCCTGCCTTGGCCTCTTTTATTTTTTTTTTTTTGAGACAAAGTCTCTCTTTGTTGCTCAGGCTGGAGTGCAGTGGTGTGATCTCAGATCACTGCAGCCTCAGTCTCCTGGGCTCAATTGACCCTCCCATCTCAGCCTCCCAAGTAGCTGGGACTGTGGCCACATGCCACCATGCCCAGCCAATTTTGTTTGTTTGTGTATTTTGTAGAGATGGGGTTTCATCATGTTGCCCAGGCTGGTCAAGAACTCCTGTGCTCAAGTAATCCACCCACCTTGGCCTCCCAAAGTGCTGGTATTACAGGCATGAGCCACTGTGCCCAGCCTTTGTTTTATGAGACAGGGTCTCACTTTGTCACCCAGGATGAAGTACAGTGGCACAGTCTTGGCTCAATGCAGCTTTGACCTCCTGGGCTCAAGCAATGCTCCCACTTCAGTCTCCTGAGTAGCTGGGACTACAGGTAAGAACCACCACACTGGGCAATTTTTTGTCTTTTTTGTAGAGATAGGGTCTTTCTATGTTGCCCAGGCTGGTCTCGAACTCATGGTCTAAAGCAATCCTATCGCCTCAACCTCCCAAAGTGCTGGGATTACAGTTTCTTCTTTTTCTTTTCTTTCTTTTTTTTTTTTTCTGAGACAGAGTTTCACTCAGTTGCCCAGGCTGGAGTGCAGTGGCATGATCTTAGCTCACTGCAACCTCTGCCTCCTGGGTTCAAGCGATTCTCCTGCCTCAGCCCCTGAGTAGCTGGGATTACAGGCGCACACCACCATGCCCCGCTAACTTTTTATATTTTTAGTAGGGACAGAGTGCACCATGTTGGCCAGGCTAGTCTCAAACTCCTGACCTCGGGTGGTCTGCCCGCCTCAACCCCCCAAAGTGCTGGGATTACAGGTGTGGACCACCTTGCCCAGACAGTTTCCTCTTTATCAAGCAAACAAATGTACATGACTTTTATAATTGGGACAAAAAGGGAAATTGCTATACTTTATTAATAACATTTTTTTTTCCCTGCTAGAGATGGTGGCTTACACCTGTAATCTCAGCACTTTGGGAGGCCAAGGTGGAGGATCACTTGAGGCCAGGAGTTCAAGACCAGCCTGGGCAATAGAGTGAGACCGTCTCTACAAAACAGTCTTTTTAAATTAGTCAGGTGTGATGCACGCCTGTAGTCCTAGCTACTCAGGGGGCTGAGGTGGGAGGATCGCTTGAGCCCAAGAGTTCAAGGCTGCAGTGAGCTATGATCATGCCACTGCACTCCAGCCTGGGTGACAGAACAAGACCCTGTCTCAAAATATGAAAAACATAATATTTTTTCTGTTTAAGTCTTTAGAAGGGAACTGATCTTTATATATAACATGAGATAAGAGCCCAAAATAGAATAAAACAGTAGAAGCCAGGCACCATGGCTCACACCTGTAATCCCAGCACTTTAGGAAGCTGAGGCGGGAGGATCACTTAAATCCAAGAGTTTGAGGCTGCAGTGGGCTATGATCGCTCCCCTATACTCCAGCCTGGGTGACAGAGTAACACTCCACCTTAAAAAAAGAATAAGCCCTTCATGTCCCTGTTTGGGCAACAGCGTTCCTTCGGGGGAGGGGGGAGGGATGGCATTGGGAGATATACCTAATGCTAAATGACGAGTTGGTGGGTGCAGCACACCAACATGGCACATGTGTACATATGTAACAAACCTGCACATTGTGCACATGTACCCTAAAACTTAAAGTATAATAATAATAAAATAAAATAAAAAAAAGAAAGAAAGAAATTGTCTCCTAACCAAAAAATAAAAAGAAAAGAATAAGCCGGGCATGGTGGCTCACACCTGTAATCCCAACACTTTGGGAGGCCCAGGTGGGTGGATTACCTGAGGTCAGGAGTTCGAGACCAGCCTGACCAACATGGTGAAACCCCATCTCTACTAAAAACACCATAATTAGGCCAGGCACAGTGGCTCACACCTGTAATCCCAGCACTTTGAGAGGCAGAGGTGGGAGGATCACAAGGTCAGGAGTTCAAGACCAGCCTGGCCAACATAGCAAAACCCTGTCTCTACTAAAGATACAAAAATTAGCTAGGCATGGTGGCACATGCCTGTAGTCTCAGCTACTGTGGAGGCTGAGGCAGGAGAATCACTTAAACCTGGGAGGGGGAGGCTGCAGTAAGCCAAGATTGCACCACTGCCCTCCAGCCTGGGTAACAGAGCAATACTCTGTCTCGGAAACAAACACACACACACACACACACACACACACACAAATTTGTTGGGCGTGGTGGCACACACCTGTAATCCCAGCTACTTGGGAGGCTTAGGCATGAGAATCGCTTGAACTTGGGAGGCGGAGGTTGCAGTTAACTGAGATTGCATCACTGCACTCCAGCCTGGCAACAGAGCAAAACTCCATCTCTAAATAGATAGATAGATAGATAGATAGATAGATAGATAGATAGATAGATAGATAGGAAGAAATAAGTAAAAATAGCAACCAAACAACAAAACAGTGGAGTTTATCCAAAGAGACAGAGACTCTTAGAACTGAGAAAAGGGGCCTGTTTGGCTCTAGAGACCCACACCCTGCTCTCGGAGTCACCGTCCCCTTCCCAAAGGCTACTGAGGGAGTCCAAGCGAAGCTTACATGTGGGGAAACTGAGTCTCAGAGGGGTGAACGTATTGCTCAGGTCCACTTGCCCAGTTTTCAGGGCCCATGTCCCATGCCCTGCCCCGCTCACCTCCCAATCTCCGAGCACTGCTTGGCATCTGCAGCCACGGCAGCCCTGGTGTACACATGGTTGTCAGGTTCCTTGGAGGCTGAGGGCAGCCAGAGACAGAGATTGACAATGACCAGCACCAGGACCACGGCCAGCAGGCCCAGCACCACTAACTTCTTCTTCATGGCTCTGCTGCTCCCACGGGGTAAGGAGCAGGGTCAGGCCCAGCCTCAGACATTCCCTGGCCCCTCCCCAACAGGGCACAGTCTAAAGTCGGGCCTCAGAAACACAAGGCCTGTGTCTCCTTCCTGCTTCCCAGAATACGTACAGGCTGTCCGGCCCCCAGACCTTTGTGCAGGCCATGCCCTCTGCCAGAAGCTCTGGGCCTCATCTCTACCCTCCCAAATCCTCCCTGCTTGTCTTCAGAGCCCATCCTGGTAAGAACCCCATCTCCAGCAGTGGCCCTTCCTGGGAGCCCCCAGATTTCCACACCCCTCTTTCTGCAGGGCCTGGCCTACCTCCTCACAGTGGCTGAGCCTCCACTGCTTAGGGAGAAGCTCCAGCAGGGATGGGCCTGGCCTGGTTTCTCCTGTGTCCCCCACCCCAGCCTAGAGCCTGGCACTGTCCAGGAGTCCTCTGAAGACCCTCCACCCCACCTGGAGCATGGGGTTTAGCTTCCATAGTGCCCACAATCAGAGTGCCCCACAGATTCACTGCCACGGGGCCAGGACTTACCGTCCAGCAGCAGACGGGGGCCCCAAGCCTTGCCTGGGGTGTTGGCCACGAAAGACAGGAGGATTTGGTGGAAACAGCTGAGGAAATAACTGGGGTCTCCCTCACACTCTGCTGAAGCCTGTAGCCACAGAATCTTCTTCAGAGACTCTCTGATCAGGCAGCCTTCTCGTTCTCCTGAAGGTCAAGGGAGGTTACCTGAAGCACGCACAGCCCAGACCTTTCTGGGGGACTCCGGGTTACCTCCCTCTGCCTCTAGCTGGTTTCTCTGTCTCCAGTTGAACTCTGGAGGCAAAGAGGCTGTCAGTAACACATTTGTTTCCATGAATTCTCTCAGCATTTCTCCCAGGCACAGCTCAAAGAGGGTTTTGCACGGAGCAGGGCAGGTAGGGGACAGGGCATTCCTGCAGAAGCCCAGGATGTGCATGTGGTAAGCATGGCAAAGGGGGCTCAAGGGGCACCGCCAGCCTTCCCTGCTCTGATGCTGGACTTGCCACTCACCTGCTGTGGGGCCTCAGGCAAATCACTGAACTGTCCAGCCTGGAAGATGGCAGCACCTCACTTGCCTTGCTGCTGGGAGTGTTGTGAATAGAGTAGGTTAGACTGTGGGCAGGACTTGGTGAATGGTAGCTGTGATTATCATCATGGCTGCACTGGGGACACCCCCAGGAGGCCTGAGTGGCACAGGTCTCTTGCTCACTCTATGTCCCCTGTGGACTCCCTTCCAGGCTGTGCAGTGAGTGGCAGCAGTGACCCTTGGGAAGTCTCATGGCTATGGCAGCAAGTGACAGGTGTGACAACAGGGAAGAGGGATGTGGTGACAGAGGTTGGGGTTCCCCTCTCCCACAGTCAGTTTCCCACAAAGGGCGGTGTCTGCCAGCAAGCCCCTCCAATGAGCCCCAAGCTGGGTTTCCCTCCACTCCACCCTGTCCCAGTGCAGAGCGTCTGACCTCAGAGGCAGACACACTGTCCCAGAGGTGGTCTACGAATGGAGTCCCTGTGCCCTCCCCACACACAGGGAACATCCAAATGCCATCGTGGAAGGGTGGCCACCTCCCCAGGCTTGGTGGGCCTGGGGCTGATAGTGTGATACATTTGACCCCCTCCCAGCCCTGGATGCAGACACCAAGAGCAGAGAGACCTGGCAGTAGCCACACAGCAGCGCACCACCGCACATCCCCAGCACAATCCAAAGCAGCCCCTCATCCCCACCGTGACCACCACAGCCTGAATCCAGGCGCCACCTGTTTCTGATCTGAACTCCCTCACAGCCCCTGCCTGCACTCCCTCCCTCCAACATCACCTGCCCTTCAGTCTTCCAGAAAGCAGCTAGAGGGCTCTGTCTGTCCAACTACAGAACAGGCCCTGCCTCCTCCTTGCCCCGTTGGACAGCTCACACCCTTCACCAAGCCTGACAGCGCTCCTGCCACTCCAACACCCTGGGTCCCAGCCGGGAGTCCGGGTCAGGGTTAAGGGTTCCTGATAGAGACACCGATTCCTGGAGGTCCAAAGAGCCTCAGGAGCTGGGCCAGCAATATGCAGCATCTATTATGGACACAGAACATTCCCATCACATGGCCGGGTGCAGTGGCTCACGCCTATAATCCCAGCACTTTGGGAGGTAGAGGCAGGTGGATCACCTGAGGTGAAGAGTTGGAGACCAGCCTGGACAACATGGTGAAACCCCCATCTCCACTAAAAATACAAAAAATTAGCCTGGCATGGTGGCAGGTGCCTGTAATCCCAGCTACTCAGGAGCTGAGTCAGGAGAATTGCTTGAACCCGGGAGGTGGAGGTTGCAGTGAGGCAAGATTGCACCACTGCACTCCAGCCTGGGCAACAAGAGGGAAACTCCGTCTCAAAAAAAAAAGCAAAAAACAAAAACAAAAGGACATTTCCACCACAAGTCATGGGGCAGGGGCCTGGCCTGGTCAGTGACCCTGTCCTAGCATGACAGCCCCCTGCACCAAGGAAGCTATCCAGTCCCGTCCACTGGGCCGGGTCATGCTGAGTGCCCTGGAGGGCATGGCCTCATCTCTCCCAGGCTCAGGGTCATGAGCTGAGCCCCCAGTCAGGATCCTGGGGTGGTCCAACCATGACCCAGCCTCCCCCGTCTGTTAATCTCTCTACCCAAAGGCCCAAGTAGGCACCTGGAGGAGCAGGGGGCACCCAGCCAGGCTCAGACTGCTGGGAAGAACAGGGAGGGGAGTAGGCAGTGCTGGGCCCTGTCCCTTCCTCCCAGAGCAGGTCAGCAAGGGAGGGTGGGCCCAGCCTCCCACAGGCAGATGTCCACGGCTCGGAGGAAGACACCCTGCTGAGGTCCTGGGCTTCCATTTCCCATCCCTCCACCCTCAAAACTCACTGAAAGAATGTCCAAGCCCAGAGGCCTGGTTCTCACCCAAACAGTGTGAGAGCTGCACACACTAGGGGAAACTGAGGCTAGAAAGTAGGTCAGCTGCCATGGTTGGCCTCAAACCCAGACCCCCTTCCTTGTGACCCTGATGGGCTTACCTGAGGCCTGGGGACAGTGGGGGCCCAGGAGAGCACCTCTTCCTCAGAAGACAGTTCTGGGCTGCACCTGCTGGGGAGGAAGAGACAGACTTGTCTGCCTGGGAAAGTCCCAGCCACAGAACTGGCTGGGCACCCCCACTCTCCAGAGTGGCTCAGAGCCACGCCTGCGGCCCCCTGCAGCACTCCTCAGGGGGCCTCCAAATTGGGACTGGGATCTGGGGGTGGCCACCTCCGAGGAGGAGCAGAGGCAGGGAAAGAGCAGGAGCGGCCGGAGGACCCATGAGCTTACCTAGTCCAAGAGACCAGCCAGGGGGTGCCCAGCAGCCCTGGTGGACAGTGGGAGGCATCCGCACAGGGTGCAGGACAGGCAGGCCTCTCACAGAGATCCAGCCTGGCTGGGAGGATGGGGAAGCTGACGTCACAGCAGCAAGGAGGCGCACAGTGACTTGGCACGGTGACTCGGCCTGTCATCGCATGACTAAAGTTCACGCAGCCCTGGCAGGGCCCTGGATGGCAGGTGCTATGAGCCGGGGAAAGGGTTTCCTTCCTTTCAGACTCAGTTCCCTCCAAAGGGCACTGTCTGCCCACGAGCCCCTCCAGAGAGCCCCAGGCTGGGTCCCTCTGGCTCTCCCTGTCCCTGTTCAGAACATCTGAACTCACAGCCAGTGTCCCAGAGATGGCTCTGGAGGCGGTGGAGTAGTGGTGCCCCTGGCACTAGACCAGAACCCAGACTAAGGGGCCTCACCACACGCTGCTGTCAATGCTAAAGGTGTGTTCCAGGAACATGGCCTGGGGCCCTGAGTGCAGACTGGTTCTGCTGCCCATCCAGAAACATTAGCACCCCAGGCCCAAGGAACCACCTGAACAGCCCAGAAAGGCAGGGCCCAGAGAGGGCCTGAGCTGGCCCAAGCTCACAGAGCCCAGCAGTGCAGACTTGGCCACCTGGTAACTGCCCCAAGTTACTGCATGTTTCTGACCAGCCCACCAAGAAGTCTGAGCCAGGAACAGCTGCGGACCCAGCCCAGGGGACTTTGGACAGTGCTGCCCATTCCCCTGTGGCCCTCATCTGCCAAGGATATGGGCCAGAGTCTCCCTGAGTCATGGCTCCCTCCCCTGATCCTGGTCTACAGTGCCGGAGAGCCCCTGCAGCCTCCACCTGAGGTCTATTCCGTGCCCATAACACCTACCCCACAATCATCCTTCCAAGCTGCCCCAAGCTGACAGAAGGGGACATGAAGGCTGACCCAATATTGCTGCCTGCCTGGGTCACATAGGCCTGTCCTGTCATCCACTGCTCTCAAATGGGCTCTGGACAGAACCCACCAGACACACAACTGTGAGATCCTCAATAGCCCTAGGGTGGAGGTGCTATGACCAAGCCCTTTCTCAGGCTATTCCTCCCCCTGAAGATCAGGGTGACTAGGAAGATGACAGGGCAGGAACCAAGGCCCCATGACCTGTCCCTGAAGGCTAGACAGCCAACAGGAACATCAGGGGATTTGGCCCTGCTAAGTGGCTGAATTCCATGGCAGTCAGCCGGGAGGGGTCTAAAGTGGAGAGCCATAGGGCTCTGTCCCCTGCCCTGCTCAGCAGTTTCCTCTCTGCCTGAGAGCCTATAAGACATGCATGTTCTCACTCATAGGTTGGAATTGAACAATGAGAACACTTGGACACAGGAAGGGGAACATCACACACTGGGGCCTGTGGTGGGGTGAGGGGAGGGGGGAGGGATAGCATTAGGAGATATACCTAATGTAAATGACAAGTTAATGGGTGCAGCACACCAACATGGCACATGTATACATATGTAACAAACCTGTACGTTGTGCACATGTACCCTGGAACTTAAAGTATAATTTTATATATAATACTATATATATTTATAATATATTATATTATATAAATTACATAAATATAATAATTATATAATATATTATATATATATATATATATGACATACAGGATTCACAGCAGCAGGTGGGCAGGAAGAAAGTCTGAGTGGGTAAAGGATGGCCCAGATCCCTGCAGCTGACCCCAAAAGGAAAACCCTGGGCTGGGGAAAGTAGGGAGACAGAGCTGCCTTCCATGGGGCACAGCTGAAGCCTGGCAGCAGCTGAGGATTCCAGAGAGGGGAGACAGGAGGGGAGGCACTTTATCAAAGGACATGTTAATAGAGGTAGGGCCTACAGAATGAAGGAGGCTTTTCCTCACTTGCTGAGTGTGTCACATTCTGTCCCAGTCAGCCCTCTACCCCCTGAATGCAGAGAGGGCACCTAGGGGGAAGTGGGTCTGGGGAAGCCATGTCACCTGAGGAAAGACTGCAGGGGCTGGCCTAGAAGTCTTCTCCAGACCCCACAGCTCTTGTCCTGGGCACATAAGGTAGTGAGTTCCCTGTCCCGAGAAATGTGCAAGCCTCACTCACCCGGAGACACTGACTCTGGCGTCAATACCACCCACTTCCAACACACGTGCAAGCACGTGCACACACACACAACTGAGCCTCATCTAGGCTGAGCAGAGCAGCTTCCCAGGATGTAGCAGAGAGAGGAGTAGGAGGAAGAGGTAGACACGGCAGCCAGTCTGAGGTTTCCTGGTTAATCCTTCAACCCAGCTTGATGGCTTTGTCACCACAACCCCAGAGCCACAAGGGTGAAACCAGAGCACAGCCCCAACCCCATTCACAGGCAGGAAACTGAAGCTTAGACAAAAGGGATTTACCGAGGTCAGCTGGCCCCAGGAAGTCTGCAGACCTGTGGGTGAGCCTGGGACCCACCCACCCCTTACCCTGCCAGCCCCCAGCCTGAAGTCGCTATCCCTGGATATGAGAATGTACAGATCTCTGGCAGCTTCCCCAAGACCGTCTACACCCCTGGACTGGATGCTTACTACCCAGAAGTGGAGTTGGAATCTGTCTCTCACAGTTTCCACCCTTGCGGCACAGAGTTGAGAATCAGAAAAAACACCCCTTCAGTAAGATTTAATAACCACAACCTGCTGGAAACCTGTCGAAAGAACTATATATATCCCTATATATATAGCTGAGAGGTGGCAGGTGCCCCCTGGAGTTGGGCAATGACCCCTCGCACAACCGGCCCTGCCCTACCCCAATCCACAGCCACAAACAGAACCCAGGAGCGAGGCAAGCATGGCCCAAGGACACAGGGTCCCCCAACCCCATCACAGCTCTGGCTCTACTCCAGAGCTGACCCCCCACCCCCACTCAGGGCTGCCAGATCCTCCAGGGCCTGTTTGTTCATGCTTCACTCTTTCCTCTTAATTCCAAGAAGCCACGGCTCTCTCAAGAGCTTCTTCGCACAAGTCAGGTGACTCCCCCCAGCCCTCCTTCACCCACCCGCATACCTCACTCAAACTCACATAAACTCGTCAGCCAAGAAACAGAGGCCCCCCCAGCCCAGACCCAGTCAGATAAAGAACCCAGGGCTCTCCCCTTCTGTGGGATCCCTCTGCAGGATGCGCCCACACAAGTCTTGCCCCCTTCACCCCGAAGTGCAACTCACTCCCACTGCACGGGTACATAAACCGAGGCTCGGAGAGGAAGAGGAACTCCTCTAGAGCGCAGCAAGCATATGGCAGAGCTGAGAATGGAACTCAGGCCTCCAGACACTCATGGGAGTGCCCTGACCTGAGCTTCCCCACCTATGATGTCCACCAGCTCAGAGAGGGTGTGTGGCGCCTCTGGGTCACACAGCACTGGGGCGCAGCCAACTGCTCTCACTTCTGGGCTCACCCGACGCCCGGTCTGGTCGTCCAGCAGCACACCAAAACCAAGCTAAGATTCCCTGCTGTGACCCAGCTCCTCCTTCCCTCCCCCAGTGGCCTGGGGGTGGGGCGGGGGGAGGGGAGGCTTTAAAGGCACAGGAACTGCTGCAGGTGGGATGTGGGCTGGCTCCTGGTCCCATCCCTGGGGCTGTGTGATCTGGGACCGCTGCAGGCTGCAGGTCTCTCTGAGCCCGGTGGGGTCTCAAACCCTGAATGAGAGACCTGAACTCTGAAAGCCTCGGTGGGGCTGAATGAGGCTGGGTTTCAGCGGGAGGCAGATTACACCAAAGGTTCCCTGGGAGATGGGGCCACAGAGCTGGGCTGCAGCCAGATGCCCATGCCAGGAGGAGCTGGAGATGTAAGCATCTGAGGCCCCACAAGGTCTGAGGAGCCTAGATCACCTCTACAACCCCAGGGCAGGGGATGCTTCTCCTAACAGGTCCTCTCCCCAACTTTCAGGGCTATAGGCTGGGCTCTAGGAGATGTCACTCCAAGGACCCTGCTCACCTGGACTGAACAGAGTCACATGATCCAGGAGGGTCCTTCCTCAACCCCCAGTTTCAGGGGTCTGAGCAGACAGGCTGACCGAGGACCCCAGGCAACGGAAGCAGGGGGATGAGGCCCATCTGTCCATCATGCCCTCACCTGCTCTGCCCCATTCAATGAGAAGAGATGGGGTGGGTGCCCCCACAGGGCTGGCAGGCCGAAGCCTCTAAGCCCTCAGATCAAGGTCCACACATGGTCTGCAGCCTGCCAGAATTGTCACTCTTAGCAAGGCTAAGAGTGGCAACACAGCACCCTCCATGGCCCATCAGGAAGGACAGGCAGAGACAACAACAAATTGTAGGGATGTGAGAATGAGGGATGGAGAGGCCCTTAAGGCTACACTATGTGAGAAGTTGAAAGAACTAGAGATCTTTAACAGAGAAGGGGCATACATTTCATGTATTTGAAAGGAAATGACGCAGACTTCTCTTTGGTTTTTCCATGGGCAGATCTCAAAAGGGAAATTACAGGAAAGTGAACTTTTCAACAATCAGAGCTGCCCAAAAGTGGAACTGAGGCTTGTGGAGTGAGTAGCTCTCCCTCCCTGGAAGCATTCTGGCAGAGGTTGAGTGCCACCTGTGAGGGAGAGGAATAAGGGCTACACCACGGGGTCGAGGAAGGGCCAGAGGAGGAATGATTCAGTTTGGAGACAGGAAAGTCTTGTCTGGGCTGGGCTGGGAGCTAAGAAAGAAGGGGGATGCAGATGCATAAGACCAGAAAATGCCTTCTAGGTAGGAACTCTGGGTGTGGAGCTGGTGTAAGCCCAAGATTCAGGGTGCAAACTGCAAACCCAGAAGAAGATTCAGGAGCTGCCATGAACCCTGCCTTGCCACATTTTGCTAACCACAGCTGCCCTGCTCCTTGGTGAAGATGCTATCCACAGAAGCAGAGTCAAGGATGCTTCCATGAGTCTGCCATCAGCAGCAGGACCCACTGCAGGTAAAATGGATGGGATTGCAGTGTGCTAGGGTGATGGTCTGTGTACCTGCACCCACACTCAGCATGCACCTTGCAGACAGTCTCTCCACACCAGCCCCACAGAGCCCCACCCACCCCCAGGCAGTCTCTGCACTAAACCCACTGGCCCAGGACAGCCGTGCCCTGCGGCCTTACCTGGCTGTTTCACAGTGACTTCTGTGCGCCCAGAAACCTCCTCTGCCAGCTTGTACCAGGCGTAGTTGGGGCTCAGCAGCCACTACTCCATGTGGCAGTAGTAGCTGCCGCTGTCGCTGACCTCGGCTCTCTGGACGGTGAGGCTGAACAGGTCCCCCGACACATGCCTCTCAAACTGGAGCCTGGCTCTCAGGCCCTCCTCCTCCACGTAAGTACCGTATTCGAAGGCGGAGTTGTGGGTGGTCTTCAGGATAAGCTTGCCGTTGGCATCTGAGGGCTTGTGGACGTACCAGAGCACCGCAAAGTGGGAGTTCTGGCTGGTCTGAGACTTGACTGAGCAGTTCAGCTGAATGGGCTTGTTTTCCACCAGGGTGAGGGTCCTCTTCGATTTGCTCACCTGCAGCTTTGTCACTGCAAAGGAAAGGGGAACACAGGAATCACCACAGACTCCCAGAAACGTGGCCCATCCACCTCGAGGCTCTGAGTCAGTTTTCCTCCAGCACAGTTCCTGGGGGATTTAACACCGACTGGCTTCAGTGTGAGGAAGGCAGCACGGAGCCCAGGCCACCGCTAAACATCCTTCCCTGTCTCCTCCTTGCCATGTGCCTGGCTTAGGCCTTCACCATCTCTCCCCTATCCACTGCCTGCACAGCCCACCATCACAGGGCCTCTGAGGGTGATCCTGCTGAAATACAAATCTAGCTATATCAGGTCTCTGCTTGAAAAGTTTAATGGCTCTGAACTACCTACGGGCTAGAGAGAAACAATTCCTTTTCACAGCACAAAGTCCCTTCAGGATCTGGCCTGCACCCAAGTGTCCTGACTCATCTCTCACGACTCACCCTCAGGCACCCTCCACAGGCGCACGCCCCTGGTGCAGTTTCCCTGAGTGCTGGCCTTTGCCCTTGCTGTCCTCTCTGCCTGTCTCCTTCTGCCACCTCCCACCCTCACCCTTCTCTCCACTTATTCCTCATTCCCATCCCCCTGGGCTCCATACCCTTCCTCAGCACCCTCTATATATCTCTGGGCTGTGTGTCTTCACATCTCTCTCCCATATCCTAGATGGTGAGCTCCCCCAGGGCAGGGATCAAGCTCTTTCCACTCAATCAACCAGTATTTACGGAGTGCCCACTCAGTTTCCCACAGGATGCTAAGTGCTGGGGATGCCCTGAAGAGTAAGCCAGAGTCCCAGCCCTCATGGGGCGGACGGCCTAGCGGACATTCTTATCGCTGCACCCCCAGAGCCTAGCACAACACCTGGGCCAGGAAAGCATTTGATCAGTGTTTGCTGAAATAGGTGAATGAGTGGGTGAGCGAATGAGAGCACGTTGGAGAAACACGGCAACAGGTAATTAGAGGATGCTGCGGGGGTGGGGAGGGGGGGCTTCCTCTAGGGGAGTGAGAGAGAAGGCTGAGAAGACAGTAAACCACGGGACAAGGCAAAGCCAACTGCAATCCTCCCTTCTCCTCACTGTCCCGCTCCAAAAACAGACAAGAGGGCAGCCTGTGGAGCGCCTCCCCAGCAGCTAATTAATGATGATGTTCACCTTGCCAGTGGCAAGAAGCCAAGGTCTAATGAAATCCATGTTAGGAAGGTGATTTGAGATCTCACCCACCCCATCATCATTAACCTTGGCTCTGCATTCCCCCACCCACGCCTCTCCTGCTACTAAAAATGAAAAAAAAAAAAAAAACAATTCTAAGTTCCTCTTAGGGAACTAATAGCACAAGCATTGTTCCACCTCCACCACTCTCTTCACACTTAGTTTTTCCGCCACAGGGACCAAACCACTTCCCAGCTGAGAAAGAAAGCAGGGGCAAGGTGCAGATTCCACCCAGGGACAGCAACCTAGGCCTCCTCCAACCGATCTTGTGTGGAGGGCAGGGGCAGGGGCAGGGCAGGGGTGCCTGGCCAGGCTCCAGCACTCTGCTGGTCAGACTCTTGTCTCTTTAGTCCAGCTCAACCCCAGGAACTGCATCCAGACCCAGGACCCAGCCCACTGGTCATGACCCTGGCCTGCCAGCTGGCTTAAGCTTGGTTTGGCAGCATCAAGGGTTGATTGAGTCCCATGCATCACAGAACCAAAACTTGTGAAAGCCACAGACTGCCACTTGGTCTCCCTGTAACACACAGACAAATGTTCTGAATGGATGGAAGGATTTAGTAAGCCAAGGTGTGGCAAAGTCCAATTCCCAATGCCGTGACTGAGCAACACTGCGGAGCATCTCCCGGCGGTGAATCAGACATTCTCTCCAGGAAGACTTGTTGAATTCACAAACCCACAGACCTTCTCACGCCATCAAGAACACACCAGGCACCACTTAGAGAGAAATCCTGTGTGCCACGGCCCCACCCTCCCGGGTTCATCTTTTTTGTTAGCAAGTCCAATCTTCTGCCTTCTCCCTTCTTCAAATGCAGAAAGTCCTCTAGGGCACACTAGGAATCCAGGACAGGGTTTACCATTAAGCTCCCAAGCTCTGGAAGCTAGATTTGCATTCGCTTGCCAGTCGACTTTTCAGATTGGATTCCTATAATACTTGAAACAACCGGCTCCCTTTTCATTCCTTTCCAACCCAATTCACCGCATGCAAATGATATCTATATCAGTGCAAATGACACCACCTGAATTATCTGGTTCTTGGCCAAAAAAACTGGGTTGTTCAGCATGGAGTAGAAAGAGCTTTAAAATGTATTATTAATTGGGGCTGGATTATTTTTGCAACTGTTACTAAGGAAACCTCAATTGCTATAGTAACTGCATATGTTAAACTGGAATCCTGTGACTAAAATTCTATTCAGTCACGTGGTCTGAGAACAAGAATTCAAGGAAGAGAAATGTTCCAAAGCATTTCCATTTTTTTTCCTTCCCATGTCAAAATATTGTGAAGTGTTGAGAAGCTTGAAAGAGAGACATTTTTTAAATTTGGTGCATGTCTGACAGGTGGGCAAGGGGTCAGCTCCTATTCTATGCTCTGGATTTCCTCCCACATCTCCAGGGCAGGTAGGACCTTTCCTGAGGCACAGGGGAGACTGGAATCTCCACATATAATTAGGGAGCCCTCCCATGTCCTGCCAGAGCCCTGCCCTGGGCGGTGTACAGCTTGCGTGCACCACCTTCCTCCACAGAGCTAGGAGAGCCCTGCCCACTTAGAGACCAAAGGTGTTTTCATCTGCAAAATAAGAACAATGTCTCTATCTCCATTAGGAGTTTTGTGCAGACTAAAAGCAATTGTCTATAAAAAGAGTTTAGCACAGAACCTGGGATATAACAAACACCCAGTGAATTTTAGCTATTCTCATTCCTTTTTGGTTTCTGTGCCTTGTCCCAAGTTCAAAGTTCAACACTTAGATTAGGAGTTGTCAAGCATAAGTGGCAATCTTCCTGCTCAAAGTGCTGTTCTTGGACCAGCAGCACTGGGAGCTTGTTAGAAATGCAGACTCTCAGGCCCCACCCCAGACCCAGTAAGTCAGAATCTGCACTTTAACAAGATCCCCAGGTGATTCACAAGTAGCTTCAAGCCTGAGAAACCCCGGACTTGGCCGTGTGAGTGAACGGGCTTTGAGAGGCCATAAATGCAGACGTGAAAGAAAAGAGTGAGGCTTGGTTAACCCCCAACAGTGAATTGGCAGGAGGAAGAAAGAATCCAGCAAGAGACAGGAAGAGGGTCCGAGAGCTGCTCCAGCTCACGCCAGCAGCTGCCTTCACAGCAGCCCCCAGGGACCAGGCCCTGCTTTGAGGGAGTGGCCCTTTCTTTCTGCAGCTGGAGAGTTTCCTTCCCAGGCTTGTGATTAAAACTTGGAAGATCTGTGTTTTGTATGGTAGGAGAGGCTGTTGCATTTGTTACAAGCCAGGATAGGGTGGTTTCAAGGTGAGACATCAGGAAGAGGGAAGAACTCCACAGCGGAGACCAGCAGCAGCTTTCTCAGCCAGCCTACCCTCCCTTCAGATTCCACTCTGTGCGTGCTCTTCTCACTCAAAACTCATTTATTTCTTCAATAAAGGATTCCCTTATGCTCCACTATAGCTGTTACTGCTGCCTTACAACGAAGGTAATTTTTAAAGTCTTCTCTTTCTTACAAAATTCTAAGCATATGCAGGGCAGGGACTCTGACCCAATCATTGTTAAACTAATCAATGAATGGTTGAATAAATGTGGTTACTTTTTAAAAGGAGGGGCAATTCTGATTTTGATAGAAAAGAGAACATTTCAAAAGGTATGTGGCCTCTGAGCTAGGCCCTGAGAAACAAGCAGAGAAGGAGAGTGAAAGGGCATGCCAGAGAGAGGGGACAAGTGAAGAAAGATAACAACTACCCTGTGCACTCTATTCAAGGAGGAGCAAGTGCTCAGGTGTAGTGGATGAGGTTAGAAAGGTAAGCTTCGGCCACACTGCAAGGGGCCTGCAGCTTGTACTTGATCCTGACCACCTGTGGCCCTCAGGGTGCATGCCATGGATCTGCAGATCAGTATCACCTGGGAATTTGCCAGCCCCTGCTAAGTCAGAAAAACTGTGAGTAAGGCTCAGCAACCTGCAGGCTCATGAGCCCTCCAATTGATTCTGATGCACATTCAAGTTTGAGAAGCAACAGCTGTGCTGCTGAGGTGGTTGCCGGTAAGTCTGGAGAAAGCGGTTTCTGTGCAGTGGTGTGAGCAGCAGCCAGAGTGGCAGGTGCAAAGAGATGGGCACTGAGGGAGGAAGACACTGCTCTTTATTAAAGACAACAGACAGTAATGCTAGAGATAGAGGTGGCCAGTGGCTGCGGCAGGAGAGATGTTTCAAGTGGAGAGAAGCAAGTCAGATGAGAGACAAGGAAAGAATGCAGGGTGAGCTGCATGGGAAGCCAGTGGCACAGGCGCCTGCCACTCAAACTGTTACTACCCCTGAGTCCCTCTGTCCTTAACACCCCTTGGCTCCCTGCTCTCTCCACATGACCATTCCCTATTTGGGCCCTCAATGATCTCTTTCTCAGCCTCTTATAATTGGCCTGCATATGACACTCCCTCCCTCTCGGCCTAGCCACAGCCAGGGGATTTCCCTAAATGGCAAATGGGGCATGCTACTGCCCACGGCTGCCCACCCCACAGCCCGTGACAGCAGTTCTCAATAAGGCAGCTAATTGCAAGCAGGTCTCTGGTTGCCATATTGATTTGGGGAGGGGTATATATTCAATGGAATAAAGCCATTAAAGATGTAAAATCGTATCTGGGACAACTCCATGCAACAAAACTCTGCCTCGTGTCCTGTGTGACTTTCGAATGACATTCATATGGGCAAAAATTATGCCTCTGAGCCTAGAACCTACTTTCATTTTACTATAATCACAATACTTTTATTTTGCATGGTTTTAATACATGCCAGGTCAGTCAAGAGAGGATTTTCCTTTGTTTTGTTCAGAATTGTAGCAAGAGTTACTCAGGACTTCAGAAACCCTGTCAGGATGGCAGTCCTGCTCATGGTGCCAAGTCTGATACGGTGACTGTCAGTGTGCATTTAGGGACAGCGTTGACTGTGACTGTGCCTCCTAGCATAGCTGTCCTGAGCATTTACACATTGAAACACGTTATTTTACCATGAACTACTTTAAAAAAAAACAACTTTCTTTATCCCACAACTAGGACAGTATAGCAAATTTTAAAGATATGATTAGGAATGTTATATTGTATATGAATTTCATTTCTGGGTAAAGGGAATATTATAAATTATTACAAAAATGGAGTATATGATCTGGGTATGAGCTAAAGTCCTAATTTCTGAGTTTAGGATATTCTTATTTATTTAGCAAACTTTCGTCTGGTCCTATGTGCTCAGCACTATTCTAAGCACTTTATAAATATTAACTATTTGGTCCTCACCAATCCTATGAAATAAATATTATTCCCAATTTTATAAAGACACTTGCCCAAGGTCACACAGCTGGCTTAGTGGTAGAGCTGGGATTCAAACCCAGGCTGTCTGGTCTGTCCTTGCTTTTAGCTATTACATATGCCCACCCTCACCCCGTGCTCCCATGTACAAAAGGGACTTCTTGATCCCTGCCAGCTTGCCTGGGGGTGAACCCCTCCCAGACCCCATGCTTTAGTCATCTCAAGATAAGCATGCTGCTCCCACCCTCCATGACTATCTTTATTCACACTCTTCTCTGAGCCTGAAATGCTCCACTCCTCCTTCCCAACCTCCCACCCTCACCCCTACCCCATTCCCTCCTCACGCCCCCTGCCCCCTGCCCCGTGTTCATGCCCTGTGCTGGCTCTGCCTCCACACCTGTAATGCTTTTCTGCTCTCCTCTGTCCCTAGGCCTGCTGCCTCCCACAGAGCCCGCAAGGCAGGAACGTGACACACCCATCTCAGCAGCCTCACCAGCATGGCAACCTGGCACTTAGTAGGTGCTCAATGCATGCAGAGAGACAGGGAGGGAGGGGCAAGGGGAAAGCAGCAAGAGTCTGCAGGTGGAAATAGCTAATGAAGGTTACCCAGATGCGCTCTACCCTGCCTTACCTGTCTGCAGGCAGGGCAGTGACTCTGGCTCGTTGATGCCAATAACAAGTGCCCCGGTGTTACCATGACAACAGGCCTGAGGCATCTGGGAGGGGCTGGGCTCTCCTCTTAGGGCTCTTGCACTCACACCCATTCTATCTTGGCACAGACAACAGGCAGAAGCCACCTGGGATGGAAGAAGGAGAACCCGGACTCCCCTGAAAGAAGGCAGAGGCCAGTCCTCTGAGGGATGGGGCAGTCATCCCTCAGAATGTGAAAGGATAGCCAGTGTTCACATGCTCTGGACTCATGGAAGTCAAAGAAAAGCCCTCTGCTATCCCAATCTGCCAGGTCAGCAATAAGAAATAGAAGAAAACTGATTTGGCAACATCCAGAGGGTATTAAATATTCATCCTGAGTGCCCATCAGTAAAATCCCAGCAGAATACACCCTCTGACAAGTCAGCTTTCCACCACTGGAGGCTGTCCTCATGGAAGCTTGTTTATGGCTTTGTCAATTTTAATAGCCAAACCAAGATATTGTCGTAAACATTTGGAAAATGAGTGCTGACATTTCCCTTACTGCTTCTGTATTTAGGGATGTGTAATTGGAGGGCGTTTTGAGCTAAAGAAAATCAGAAGGAAGCAAGGCAATTATGCTTTACAATTAAAAGAGAAAACTGATTAAGAGCTAACAATCAAATATGTGAACTGGCTGAAAGTCTTGCCTAAGCACCCCTTGAGGGGTCACACTATGTGATCAATGGGGATCAGACTAAGCTAGATCAATGGCAACATGACAGTCATGGCATTCCTTGAAGATTCTGTTGGGGATGTGCATACGCAACAGGAAGCACACACAGGGCATGGTCAAATAACAGATCCACAAGTCAACTGTGCCATCCAACCAGAGATTCTGATGAATACTGATATGGGGGCAGGATCAGCAGGGACGAGTCTGGGGCACAGACCACAGAGAAGCTTGCTGTGATAAATGATATCACAGCAGTGGAAGGCTGATGGTAAATGGACCAGCATGAGTGAGCCAACAGTCCCTGGGTTCCTATTTGATTCTGATGGAATACGAATATTTAACACAATATTCTTTAAAACAGGGGTAGCAGGGGACACTTCTATGGAAGACACCAGAGCAGGGCTAAGAATCTATGTTTTGAGGGGCAAGGTATGCAGGGAGAGCAAAAGAAGAGAGGACAGCGCTGGTTCTGAGCTCTGGTATCCCCAGGTCTTAGAGCCACCTTGTGGCAGAAGCTGGAAGAATCAGGAGTTAAAAGAGGCACAAGATAAAACTTCTACACCATCAGCAAACTGTGTCTTGAGGAACCTCTACCAGTGTCTTATGACCCCAACTTCCAAAAAACAAATTTAAGGATTTGCTAAAGGGGATTAGGAAATCAGGAGTGGTTAACCAGAGAGAGGAAACACTAAATACAAGCATACGTTACCAAAGAGGATTCCTGAGAAGAAAAACACTTGTCTAGAACATATAATAATAAAATTAGGAACTTGGACTCTGGAGCCAAACTGCCTGTCTGGACTTGAATCCTGGCTCTGCCACTTACTATGGCACACTGGGCAATTTATGTAACTTCTGTGTCAGTGTCCTCATCTGTGAAGTTGGGTAAAATGGTCCCCCTCACAGCACTGCATGGATTAAGAAACAAGGAACTAAG
Organism: Homo sapiens; assembly: GCF_000001405.40. Classification (NCBI taxonomy): domain Eukaryota; kingdom Metazoa; phylum Chordata; class Mammalia; order Primates; family Hominidae; genus Homo; species Homo sapiens. The sequence continues at coordinate 286,145 of NW_011332699.1, forward strand.
TTATTATGTGTAAAGCATTCCCAGTGGTTTACAAGAAATGCTCAGTGAATATTAGCTGCTACTGTTGTTACTACCAGTAACACTAGTGCCATAACTCCTCCACATCATCAATCTACAAGGAGAAAATTCTTCTGTAAAGGACAGCATTAACTGAATGCAGAAAGAAGAATCTCTGATTACATAGCCTTTAAAAAGGTCAAAGTCTCCCTACCGCAATTACTTTTTAACGAGGCACACCTGGATTCAAATCCCAACTTCCCCCACTCACTAGGTGTTTAATTTGAGGAACTGAGAACCTCTCAGAGCCTCTGTTACTTCATTTATAAAATGGGAAAGCAATATGTTCCTCCCAGGGTTGCAGTGAAGATTAAGTGAGATAATATACACCAAGTGTCCAACAGTCTCCAGCGCACAGTCAGCTCTCATGTATTTTTCCACTTCTATTTCCCCAAAATGAATGCACCAGCACCAAAGTAAATAAGAAAGAGTAAAAACTCTTATGAAGCTCTCTGGAAAATATTAAGTGCTAAATGCATAAATATTTAATAGAGGAGAGACAGTAACACTTAAGGGGATGCACTCTCCTGGTGCCTCAACTGCCCTCTGGGAGTCCTGCACGGCCTCAAGCACCCACCTTTGCCCTTCCTAGCCTCCAAAGGGTCATAAAAGTATATTACTGTGCACCTTTAAGTAGCGGTCTCATAACAGCCTAAGTACAGTGATACTCATAAGTCTCCTCTGCCAACCACTGTTCATTCTCATTTTACAGTGAAAACACAACAGAAACCAACTCAAGACACCCAAGACACAAAGACAACCTCAGAGCAGATCTGGGGTCTCCCAACCCTCCAGCTACTTTACCCAGAAGGCAATTATGGTATAAAGGAATACATTTGCTCTATGGAAGTCAGAGATACCTGGGCTCCAATCTCAGTTCAAATCTCAGTTTTGCCCCTTAACCAGCTGGCTTGCCTCCATCAAGATTCCTGACCACTTTGAGCCTTGGTTTCCTCATTAGCAAAATAGGGATACAAACACCTACATTATTAGGTTGTTGGATAAATTTAAAAAAGAAAACATGAGTAAAGCACTAAGCACAAACCTGGCATCCAAGAGGTACTTCATACATATTTTTCCCTGTCTGCCTTTAGTAACACCATAAATTAATCCAAATAATTAGAACCTTCAATGAACTAATTCTGTATTCTTCCCTTAGGCACTCCAGTCTTAGATTCCAAGTAATACCAGAAATAGGCAAATACTAGGGATGGATTCAAAAAGGCAATGTCAGACAAGGTCTTGAGGTCAGCATCTCCTCTACCTTCTACAGCTGCAGAACCATGTGATGGGCAATGCTGCTCAGAAAACTGACTTTGAGAGCCAGAGGGGACCAAAAAAGGTGCAATTACAATCCTAATGTCCCACTCAATAACGCAGGCAAGTGGGTACCTCGACATTTTCCACAACAAGGGTTCACATAAAATGGGGTCTCTGCTTAACCTTCCACTAACCTGAAAATCCACTTAAGTAAAACAGCCTCTTCCCTGAGCCTCTTGTCAGTCAAAGTTTAGGCTCTCGTTGGCCAAGGGAACAGTCTCATCATTTATACAACTCACTTGTTCCAAATCTGGTACAGAACAGAACTCTGCTATGGGGTTGGAAGAGGTGAAGGAGAAACCCAAAGGTTACCGTTATTTAACCTCACGTTGCTGAAAACAACACTGTGGCCACCTAAAGTAGTCGGGCAGACCAGGTCAGGCCCTAACCATGGCTGTTAGTGGGCAGAAAAATCCCTTTGGCAAGGCGTTCCAGCCATCTTTGCAAAGTCAAACCCTTGCCTTTGCCTGCACAGGTGTCTGTTCCAGCCGAGGCACGGGCTGGGTGAGGGAAGGAACACAGGAGCCTACCGCCTGGGCTCCACCCTCCACCAGCTTCTAACCTGGCAGGAGACAAGGACAGATGGAGGAAAACCATAAGAGCTGCATGTACTTAACTCCTCCCGCATGTCAGCGGAAGAGCCTGATGAAGGCGAGAGTGTTTGCAGAAAGCCCCACTGACTAATGCTCCCCAAATTAATGCATCCTGATGATCCGCTTTGAGACAGACTCAGCCTCCATAGAGAAAGGAGCTCAAATTCAGGGCCCATACAACTGGACAGGGCCTGGGTGCAGGCAACATTGTGGGAGACAACCGGGGTTCAAATCCTGGCTCCACCATTCACTAGGTACATGACCTTAAGCTAGTCACTTAAATCTTTCCTGGGGTTGTTGTGCAATTCTAATAGAATAACTGACCTTCAGCACCTCATGCAAAGAAGATGCTCAATAGGTGCCTATTACCCTCCCTTTTTACTCACAATTTCCTTGTCTATGAACAGGAGACAATGATATCACTTCCACATAATTGTATGAGGATTACAGGAGATGAGGTTAAGTAAAGAAAAGGGCTTTCTTTAAAACAATTGGCCTGTGCATTTCACAAATGTCCATGTCTACAGACACACACATACACACACACACACACACACACACACACATGCAAACACACAGGTTAGGGAATTGTTCTAGATTAAAGGAGTCTAAAGAGACAGGATAACAAATGTGATGTGTGATCCCTGGTTGGATCCTAATCTGAAAGGGAAAAATAAAGGGCATGATTGGGACAACTGGGGAAATGTAGGTGATAGGGGTAGGTTCTTAGGAGTTACATGCTGAAGTACTTAGGGGGAAGTGTCCCAATGTCCACAGCTTTCCCTCCAATGGCTCAAAAACAACAACAAACATACACACAGAGGAAGAAAACAAATGCCGTCAGACAACAACTGGCTATCAAGGAAAGGAAATACAAGTGTCCACTGCATGATTCTTAAAACTTCCTATTGATTTGCAATGTCTCTAAATGAAGAGCTGGGAAAGGGGGAAGTGATGCTGAGGGCTCCATGCACACTTTTCTTTTTCCCTCACGTCTGCTCAGGCAGCATGGGCACATAGCCCACAGGTCCTCAGCACTCACCTGGCTGCAGCACCCTGATCACCAGCAGGTTGGAGGTCCTCTCCGCCAGTTGCGTCCAGGTGTTGTTGTAGTTCTTCCGCCACAGCTCTGCCACACACTGGTACTTGCCTGCTTCCGTGTCACTGGCTCGGCTGATGATTAGGCGGACGTTGTTGCTGGACTCAGCCTTCTCGGTGGCAGTTCGGGTTCGGAAGCTGGAGGACCTGTCCCCCCACTGGACCCCTCCGTCCCGGGTGAAGGTCACCAAGTCATGGAACTCCACCGTGCCCACCGGCTGGAACCGCCATGTCACTGACACGGGGACCTGGGCAGGGTAGTGGGGTTTGATGATACACTGCAAGTCAAAGGAGTCGCTGTAGGTCACCCCCGGTGTCCGGGAGATGGCTGTGACTGCGAAGCCCATTTCTGGAGAGAGAGCAGAGAGATTCAACCAGAGGAGGCATGTGGCTTTCTCAGGGCAGTATGACATCAGCAATGGGGCAGCTGGCAAAGCAAGCAGTGTGGAGCAGAGGCTCTCGGGGCCCCTTTTGAGCTCTCAGGCTAGTGTTGCTTTTAGTATCCTGCTGAGGCCCAGTCCAAGAGTTTCCAAGACTCCAAAGAAAGGCCCACCACAATTCCCCCTGAGCAGCGCTAGCCTAACCCTTCCCAATGAGATCCTCGTGCATTTGCTCCTCCCCTGGAATTAGACATCACAATCCTCTCAGGGACTGATTGCATGTAGGCAGGGTTGCTCCTAGAAATCTTGAGATTCCATGAGAAAACAGGAAAAGAAAACCCCAAAGCCAATTTCCTCCATTGCGCAGGAGGAAAACACAACCACACAGCCCCAACACCTCTTTTCCTGGTCCCTTAGTGCACTGGTGCTGAGAAGGGAAGCAGATGGAGTCGGCCTCCAGTCCCTTTCTCACGTCCCTCATGAAATCCAAGAACAGAGCAGGTGGGGACCTCCAGTGGGGTGGGACAATTGTCCTAAATGCAGGGTTCTGCAGTCTCAGCGGCTGTGGGTCTCTCAATATTCCTTATTGAATGGGCAGCACTGCTAAGCTCTAATACTGACTCCTCAATATGAGTACCTCAGAGTTCCTTCAGCCTGGAAATACTGCTTAATATTCATACATTGATCACAATCATAAAGCTAACAGTAGCCAGTATTTATTGAGCACTATCTAGGTGCAAGCATGGTGCCAACTGCTTTGCTCTCATCATGCTCCACTGAATCCCCAAAACAACCTTGTAGAACAGGCAGGCTTGTCATCTCTTCCTGCAGACGTAGAAACTGATGCAGAGAGAGGTTAGATAAATTGCCCAATATCAAGCATTTGGTAAGTCAATGACAGAGTTAGTCTCCAACCACATGTAACTGATTCCAGGGGCCTTTTTAGGTTGCTTTACCCATGGAAAGCATAACACAATGGTTAAAGGTCTAGACTCTGGAGCCAGCAGCCAAGCCTTTGATACGTCCCAGCTGAGTGACATTAAAGTTACTTAACTTCTCTCTGCCTCTGTTTTCCAATCTGTAAAATGAGTCTCTGTGAAGATTAAATAAATCAGTGTTTATAAATATTACAAATAGTACCTGGCACATGAGATATACTATATTTTGTTAAATATTTTGTTAAAAAATGAAATAGAAATTTTAAAAAAGTACTTTAAATTCTGTAATGTGAAAGACTGGCCACAGGATGAATCTTTTGGCTTTCTATGGTGAGGTTAAGTTGGCAAATAGGTAGGTACAATTTGCTGAAAACTCTGGACCTTTGATTTGGATTTCATGAGCTATCTCTATATACCTTTTAAAAAAGTTTATGACACGGAGGTCCATCCTTAAACATGAAGCACCTCTGACTGTCACTGTGCACCTGTGTGTAGTAGGTGTTGCATGAGGGTGGTGTAGGACAGAACCTCAGGGACAGGACCCACACCAGGTGCTCCTGGCCTCACACCTGAAGGGGAGAGAGCTTCCCCAAGCAAATGACTTTGTCTAGTCCTGACACAGGCACATGCCACAGTCACAGAGCACCCAAGCTGCTCTAACTGAACAGCCATAATGGCCCATTGTACATTTGGGACCCACATCAAATTATACTGATATGAAAATTCATGTGTGTCATTGTTAACTTTAGACTGAAAAGACAACCTTAATTAGTCTAGAGTGCCCTCCCATTCTTCCTTGTTCAGTCCTTTGGGCCACCTGATTATGGCTGTAGCCAGAGGTATCTCAGCGGTGGAGATCAGGTGAACAGTGCTGGCCTCCAGATCCCAGGGCAGAGCTCCTCAGTGCCCCTGGCTGTGAGAACCACCAGACATATGGTGAGTAAGAAAAAACTCAGGGGATAACCTGATACCATAAATTACTTCTAGAGAAACAATCCTCACTAACTCTAATCACTCATTGGACATTCCTAACCTTCCAGGATGGTTAAAAAAAAAAAACACCAGTACTGGACATCCAAAATTTGTCCCCCAAGTTCCATCTGACTGGGTCCACACAGGTGCTGAGTATGGACACAGGAACTGAGCTGATCAGGAAACGCAATCACTGGAGGAAGTTTCTAAGACAGAAATCTGAGCCATATAATTACTGCAAAAAGCAGGTCAATCTTTAGGATTAAGCTTTAGAAAACAAATGTAATTCTAATCTCAGAGGGGTAAGAAAATGGAGGACTCTGTTAAGGACAAAAACCACTCGGGGCTGCCATCTTTACTGGAAGTATCCAAAAGCACCACCATCCCGACCTGCAAGGAAGGTGGTGACACAGTCCCAGGGAGTGGGACATAAAGTTGCTGAGGACAACCAATGTCTCCTGATAAACAGGAAGACCTGACATAACAAGTTTCTTTCCCAGCAAAGTCACAGACTGGTCGTTTAAAATCTAATATACTGATTATATCCAAGCAGATAAATGTTGATAGAAGCCTCTTTACCCCATGAGAAGCAAATCTAATCTTCCTTGGTTTTAGCAAATCTCAAGGTATCTTTTCATTCCATGCTAATGAGGGAATAGCTTTGTTAGGTATGGGCCCCATCAGGTAGTAGAAACTTCTAGCCTTAGGCAAAGTATTTAATGTGTCTCAGTCTCAGTTTCCTCCATAAAATGAAAGTGTCTGTCACTTGGCTAGGTGGGGATTCAATGGGACAACTAAGCTTAAGTGTTAAGGATTAGCCAGGAACATAGTAAATGCTAAATAAATGACAACAGATAATTTTATACCCTTCTCTGCTCTCTTTCAGGAAGGCTGGCCCCTGAACAGCAGGGCAGGAAAGACATGCCACACAGTGCTCAGCCACTCTGCTCTCTTTAAGGCCAGGCTGGCAGTGGCCATGCTCCTCCACCTGGGGCCACCACTATGGCTGGGTGGCTTCACTAACCTGGATAGAGTTCTGATAACATCACTCTCTCCCAGCCAGACTAGGAGTAGTCACAGCTGCCAGCTATTGCTATCCCTCAGGAGCCCCATCATCCACTGTGGGTCCCTTAGTCCCTGCTAGCACTATCTTAATTAATTAAACCCTTATAAGAAACAAAATAGATATAAAGGAAAGTACTTCAAACTCTATAGGTAAAAGACTGGCCATAGTTTCCTGCTAGAACTCTGACAGACAAAAGTCAGGATAAGGTGTTTGACACTGAAGCTGTCTCCATGCCAGACCCACTGCCAGTCCCACCGCTCACTCACCAAGAGCTATGATGGAGATGGGAGTGCTGGCCCGGCGCTCCCCAACAATCTGCCACTCGCCATCCACCACCCGCACCCATTCAGTCACATGGCATTCATACTGGCCCTCGTCCTCCTTCCTGCTGTTGAAGATGCCCAGGCTGAATGAGTTGGGCTGCACCTGCTCCATCTGGACGCTCCCAAAGCTGCTGCGCTCCCAGTAGGACGAGCCTGGCTGCACGGTGCCATCCCGGTCTAGCCACATGATATTGCTGCGGCAGTTCTGCCTGTCCACAAGCTGCCAGATGACAGAGAAGCGACCCTGCGGCCTGCCTGCCATGCGGACGCTGCAGGAGAAGCGCAGGTCGTCGCCCTCAAGGATGACGCTGGCATTGCTGGCCACCCCCACGGAGATGCTGCTCTCTAGGAAGAGGGAGAGAGAAACACCCTGGAGGCTTTATGGTCTCCACAGCGCCCTCCCCACAGAGGAAACAGGAGGAGGGGTGCAAATGGAATCATATTCAGGTACGGTGAGCCTCAGAGGGTCAAAAACACTCTGACCCTAGCTGATGTAAGCCCTGGCTGGTTCTGGGCATTGCTCCCTGTGGTTTTAGATCTGATAATCTAGGATGTTCTTTGCTGTGTGCAGAGAACTGTGATAACGAGGTTCTAACACCTGAGCCTGAATAAGAACCTAAGAAATACAACATAGTGGCATGATGATTAGGGCATAAAACAATTTATTGGGTAATCTATTCAGCGGCAGTTCAGGGTTTTTCAAGTTGAATTTTCAGCAAGAAGAGTAACTCCAAAATCCTACTTCACTTCACTCTTCCTACCATTCGATACTACAGCAGTCAAATAAAAGCTGAACATCCATAATGTGCCATTTGAGTCCTTCAGGACAATTTAGGAAGTACGAAAAAAAAAAAACTGACAGTAAGTATTTGGATGATAACGTGTGCTTAAGTGTGGGTAATAATAGAGCACAGATGGTCTGGTTTTGCAGTGCATGAGGAGCAGGCTTTCATTCTTTCATTAACACACAGGAATAAAACAAAGCCAGCAGCTCATCATCCACCACTCTCCCACCTGTCCAGTCAGCCCTGGGGCTCCTTTGCTCTCTTTCTAGAAACATTTGGCCAATCAAAAGTTTGGGATAAGGATTCCACTCCCTTCCCTGTCTCATCTAGCCTCTGCTGCTCGCTTAACTATCTGAATCACTCAATCAAATTATTTAAACTCGACATGCCTCAGCCTCTTCTTCTGTAAGACAGGTAGAGAGCCACCTTTAATTGTAGAATTCTTTAAATATTAAAAAGTAAATGAGATGATGCATATAGATTCACCTAACACATAGTAGGTTTTCAAAAACTGGTCATCATGATCATGATTAATTTTACTATTCCACATAACTCTTTGTTTTTATAAACATCACAGATAGCCTAATATGTTTTAATTATGCACGTAGTATTTTGTATAATTATCTATATTGAGTTCAGAAGGTCTGTAAGTATTAAAGAACACAAAGTAACTAATTTGGCTCCAATTTTTGGGTACCACCCACATTAAATACATGCAATAATTTAAACCAATTAATTAAATCAAATCCCAGATTTTAAGAGGCACACCCAATTACCAAGAGAAAACACACACATACACATAACAATGCATTTGAATCAAATCTTTTCTCTCCTTTATTTCCTCAACAAGCAGAAACAAAGATGAGCACTGAGCCTCAAAATGTAGCTCTTATTATAGTGAGGATGCCTGCTAGCCATTCTGGATGTGCTTGTTTTATGTGAAAAATAAAAGGTCTGGATGGGGCAGGGAATAGCAATTTTCCCAGGAGGGCGACCTCCCCCAGGAGTCATACCAGGATGATTCATAGAGATAATCAGGCTCCTGAACAGTCACCATCTATAGCACTAATGGTTAAGGGGCTGGATTTGGAGACTTCTTAACTCTGTAATCCTGTGGTTCTTCCTTAACCTACCAAAGCTCCAATTTCTCATGTGAAAAATGGAGATACTAATAGTGCCTACTTCTTAGGGCATGACATTGACAGGATTAGATGAGGTAATTATTTTTCATCATCATTAATAACAACAATATTCCTCTTTAGATTAAAGACTCATCCCCACTGTTATCAATTCAAAATAAGGGATTAAAAGGGCAACTGCAGCATCAAGGAAGAAAATTCTTTCACTTGTCTTAAGCAGGAGAATGACTTGCAGGACCTCACTCTCATCCCCTACTGTCATCCCAGTGGACGCTTATGCAAGTCCTGGCTCATTTATTGAAAGGGCTACTGTTTGGTGGTGCTCTGTTGCTTGAGCAAGCCTGGAAACCCACATAGTTAGAATGTGGGGCTACAAGAAGAAATGCTATTTTATTACAGCAGCTGAGGCAAAGGCAACTACAGACCTGGTGCCTCACTGCCCACTAAACACTATTTACAAGAATTTCCAGGCCTGAGAAAAGGCAGCTGACAATTTTAAACTCTCTGGATTAAGTGAAAACTAGGACAGAACTAATAAAAATCTGAGTACACATTCGCAAATGAAATTTCAAATCAGGAAGTTGATGGTGTAGCACAGGCTAAGCGCAGGGCGGTGGGTGTGGAGTTAGAAGCAAATATTTCCTAATACAATGCAAGCTCAACCACTAACTGAACAATCAGCTCTGTCACTTCCTGTGTGGTGCTCTGATTTCTTCATTCATTAGATGGATATCATATTGGCCTCTACGAGGATTTGAGAGGTGGGAGCGGAGAAGGAGATGATATATGCAGAAGCACTTTGGTCTCTTAGGAGAAAAAGCGCCATTAAAATCCAAGGCATTATCACCATTACCGATGTGATTGTTGTTGTTCTTCAGCCGACTTACCCAAGTGGCCTTGGGACAGGATCTGGCGGTGCTGGGGGACTTTAACTACCCAGTTATCTGCTGGAAAAGCAATATAGCAGGCCACAGATCATCAAACAAGTTCTCAGAAGGGGTTGGGGGAAATCTTAGGACAAAAAATATAGGAAGTAAACAGAGTGGCTGCCCTTCACTTGATCCTTAGAAAACAATGAGGAATTAGTTGCAGATTTAAAAGTAGAGAGTCCGTGGTTAAGGCAAGCACAGACTGACAGGAAAATAGTAAAGACAGTGGGCATTCAATTCAATAATTTCAGTTGTACAGTATTCAGCGAGCACCTACTCTATGCAAAGCACCATGCTAGGCATTGCAGGGTGGAAAAGGCTAAGAAACAAAAGAATTTCAAGATAATTAGGTGGAGCGGGCGGGCGGGCTGCTGAGGACGCGCCGCCTGCGCCTTCCTCCCTGCGTGCCTCGCCCCGGGCGGCCCGGGGCTGCCGCGGTGCGCGGGTGCCGGGCCCTGCCTTGCCGGCCATGGGGGAAGGGGGCGCCGCGGCGGCGCTGGTGGCGGCGGCAGCAGCAGCAGCAGCGGCAGCGGCAGCGGTGGTGGCCGGGCAGCGGCGGCGGCGGCTAGGGCGCAGGGCGCGCTGCCATGGGCCTGGCCGGGCTGCAGGCGGGAAGATGTCCAAGCCCTGCGCGGTGGAGGCGGCGGCGGCGGCGGTGGCAGCGACGGCCCCGGGCCCGGAGATGGTGGAGCGGAGGGGCCCGGGGAGGCCCCGCACCGACGGGGAGAACGTATTTACCGGGCAGTCAAAGATCTATTCCTACATGAGCCCGAACAAATGCTCTGGAATGCGTTTCCCCCTTCAGGAAGATAACTCAGTTACACATCACGAAGTCAAATGCCAGGGGAAACCATTAGCCGGAATCTACAGGAAACGAGAAGAGAAAAGAAATGCTGGGAACGCAGTACGGAGCGCCATGAAGTCCGAGGAACAGAAGATCAAAGACGCCAGGAGACGTCCCCTGGTACCTTTTCCAAACCAAAAATCTGAAGCAGCAGAACCTCCAAAAACTCCACCCTCATCTTGTGATTCCACCAATGCAGCCATCGCCAAGCCGGCCCTGAAAAAGCCCATCAAGGGCAAACAGCACCCCCGAAAAAAAGCTCAAGGAAAAACGCAACAGAATCGCAAACACGGATTTCTACCCTGTCCGAAGGAGCTCCAGGAAGAGCAAAGCCGAGCTGCAGTCTGAAGAAAGGAAAAGAATAGATGAATTGATTGAAAGTGGGAAGGAAGAAGGAATGAAGATTGACCTCATCGATGGCAAAGGCAGGGGTGTGATTGCCACCAAGCAGTTCTCCCGGGGTGCCTTTGTGGTGGAATACCACGGGGACCTCATCGAGATCACCGACGCCAAGAAACGGGAGGCTCTGTACGCACAGGACCCTTCCACGGGCTGCTACATGTACTATTTTCAGTATCTGAGCAAAACCTACTGCGTGGATGCAACTAGAGAGACAAATCGCCTAGGAAGACTGATCAATCACAGCAAACGTGGGAACTGCCAAACCAAACTGCACGACATCGACGGCGTACCTCACCTCATCCTCATCGCCTCCCGAGACATCGCGGCTGGGGAGGAGCCCCTGTATGACTATGGGGACCGCAGCAAGGCTTCCATTGAAGCCCACCCATGGCTGAAGCATTAACCGGTGGGCCCCGCGCCCTCCCCGCCCCACTTTCCCTTCTTCAAAGGACAAAGTGCCCTCAAAGGGAATTGAATTTTTTTTTACACACTTAATCTTAGCGGATTACTTCAGATGTTTTTAAAAAGTATATTAAGATGCCTTTTCACTGTAGTATTTAAATATCTGTTACAGGTTTCCAAGGTGGACTTGAACAGATGGCCTTATATTACCAAAACTTTTATATTCTAGTTGTTTTTGTACTTTTTTTGCATACAAGCCGAACGTTTGTGCTTCCCGTGCATGCAGTCAAAGACTCAGCACAGGTTTTAGAGGAAATAGTCAAACATGAACTAGGAAGCTAGGTGAGTCTCCTTTCTCCAGTGGAAGAGCCGGGACCTTCCCCCTGCACCCCCGAAATCCAGGGACGGGGTGTGAGGAAGATGCTGCCTCCCAGTGGCCTGGACGGGATGTTTCCAAGCTCTTGTTCTCCTAACGTCTCGACAGGCACTCACTGAAGTGTATGAATATTTTTTAAAAAGGTTTTTGCAGTAAGCTAGTCTTCCCCTCTGTTTTCTCGAAAGCTTACTGAGCCCTGGGCCCCAAGCACGGGCCAGGCATAGATTTCCTCTTCCACAAGCTGCCGCTTTTCTGGGCAGCTTGAAGCATCAGGGCGCGAAATCAAACTAGATGTGGGCAGGGAGAGTGTTGCTTACCTGCCCTGCTGGGGCAGGGTTTCCTGAAACTGGGTTAATTCTTTATAGAAATGTGAACACTGAATTTATTTTAAAAATAATAATAAAAATTAAAAATAATTAAAAAAAACACAGAAAACAACTTACATGTATATAGGTCTTGAAGTGAGTGAAGTGGCTGCTTTTTTTTTTTTTTTTTTGCTTTTTTTTTTTTGCTTTTTGTAGAAGAGATTGAGAATGGTACTCTAATCAAAAATAAAGTTTTGTAGTGGGACCAGAAATTACTTACCTGACATCCACCCCCATTCCCCCTCATCCTGCTGGGGTTGAAAGTTCCAGACCTGCTGTCGAGGCTTTGTGTTTGTCAGATACCCAGTGTCCTCCTGCAAGGACACAACTGAGCTGAGGTGTGAGCCTAGGAGCCCAGGACCCCTGACCCCAGCCGATGCTGCCAGCCTCAGAAAGACACCCAGGTGTGCAGGGGGGCACACAGGGCCCGGCAGCCCCCAGGAATCAAGGATAGGGCTAAGGTTTTCACCTTAACTGTGAAGGCAGGAGGAATAGGTGGCTGCTTCCTCCCGCCCTTCACAGAACTGATTCTCACACACTGTCCCTTCAGTCCAGGGGGCCGGGGCTCAGGAGCCATGACCTGGTGTCTCCTGCCCACCCTGGTCCCAGGTAAATGTGAATGGAGACAGGTATGAGAGCCTGTCCTCATCTTTGATTCCCCCCCCAACCCCACCTCGGGCCTTACGACGGTGTTACCTAAGAAAGTCTTCCCTCCCACCCCCGCCCCCCGCTAGCCTGGTCAGTGGTCAGCAAATTGGAAGAGGATCCGATGGGAGTGTAAATATGAGACACAATGTCTTGATTATACCTGTTTGTGGTTTAGCTTTGTATTTAAACGAGGAAATAAACTTGAAAATTATTTGTCATCATAAAAATGAAACAAATTAAAATATTTATTGCCAGGAAAAAAAAGATAATTAGGTATGTGTGTGCATGGTTTTTAACAAAATAATAATAAGCATAAAAGAAAATAATCCAGTTGATGAGAAAAGAAGAAAAGACTAACAAGAGGACCCCTATGGCTACTTTTTACTTCACACTTGAAGAGAAATATTTTAAATATTAAAACATATAAATAAAAAGTAAAGGAAATTATTACAAGGCTCAGAGAAAGAATAGTTTTAGCAGCTGAGAAAAGGTTAAAGATTAGTCTTAAAACTTTACCACTTGTTTAAAATCAGAGCATCGTAGGTTTTTATTCTCTTTACTAAAAACAGAACTATGGGAGAATGAGATTAATAAGAATATCTTGATACTGTGAATGTTTAAACACAACACAAGCAAACACCGGTAGTTTCTGGAATCCCTAGCAATGGCCACTACCCACCCACACAAGGCCAGTCTACATGAAGGCTGGGAGCCCACTGAGGCAGCCTCAGAAATCAGCTAAGCTTAAAAGACTATGCTCCAGGAAGATGTGAGAGGTCCCATCCACTGACTTTTAGAAACACAATTTCAACAGGGAAAAGCCATTTAGGGAAATGCCAGCCTTTATACCTGAAAAACCCAGATGGCAAATCCTTAATAATGCACTTTATGATTTAAAATCCTCCCATAAAAGACCAGCTCTCCTTAAGTGAGATTTCAAGGCAGGCATCTATCTACCCACTTCTTCTGGGACTTGATTCCCACACAAGAGCAAACAGCTTTCTGGGATTCCTGGTTTCCCTCCAAGCTGAGCTGGCACTGCTTGTGTATGCACAGGGCTGCTAGCAATCAGATAGGCCTATGCCCAGCCCTAGACTGCCCTGATCCTGGACACCCCTGATCCTGATCCTCTGCTATGGGGAGACTGCTAAATGTAGGCAGGTGGGCTACAACAGGGAAGAGAGGCTCAATGGTTTTTCCCCCAGCTCTGCATTAACCTCGGGGGTTCCATCTGCCTCCCCTCACCCTCACCACACTATTCTCTCTCCCCCTACCTCTCCTAAATGATGCTGAGCCAAAGGAGAAGAAAGCAGCACATCTCTCTACTTACCGAGGGGGAGGACTATGATGGGGATGTTCTTGGGACGCTTGCTCTCCTTATCAGTGAATTCCCCCGTCACGGTTTTCTCTCGCTCAGTCACCCGGCAGTTGTATTTCCCGCTATCTTCCTGGCGGAGGTGGTAGATCTTCAGCACAAAGACACTGTCGCTCTCTTTGGCCACGTTAAGCTGTCCCCTGGCTTCCCGGTGAGCAAATTCGCTGTTGAGGACAGGCACAGCGTTAGGACCCATGGTGGCGATGAGCGAGCTGTTGAAGGCCCAGGAGACAGCAAAGTAACGGTCGGGAACATTCTGAGCCTCCAGGATGCATCTGAACTCCACCGGCTCGCCCACCGTGTGCAGCCGCTTCTCTGTTTCCAACCGAACAGTGAATTCTTTGTCTGAGAGAACAATTAAGAAAAGAGACACATCCTGGGTGAATGAGGGCCCCAGCCAACTAAACCACATTAGCACATTCCCACTATCCTTCCTCTTCTTTACAATACTAATTGCAGGGAGTACCACAACACTTGGCTTGAGAGTAAAATCCAACTCAGACCCAGGTTATCTGAGGTCCAGAGAAACGCCTGAATATCACAGACAGAATTCAATACTACTTCAGCCCAGACGGTCTAAGCAAACTGTTACCCCAGTTAAGACCAATGGGGCTCAGTCTGAAGCTTTAGATGTCTTGCATGAAACCCCCAGGTCAGTGAGAAGCTACTAATATCACTCAAATGGTGGATTACAAATATCTAGCCTTGATATATGCACCCAGAACTCTATTTAAGGAACAGCCTTATAAACATTTTCAGCAGATACTGTAAGACTTACCCCACTGAGGTCTGTGGGAAAAAATTACAGAGTGGCCTAGGTGCTGGCCCAATCCTAACAAATGCTCAAAGATTAAAATTCCCTCTCTACCCCCCGCCATGTGAATACTAGAAATAAGTTGTAGCCATGACAAAACCCTAACAGAATTACATAGAAAAAATAAAAACTAATGTCTGTTCACTAGTTTACCACCTGTCAGATCAAATCTTTAGGCAGATTTCAATGGAAGTAGGTACTTTCCCACTGAAGTACCTACTAAGTACTTACTTTAGTAGGAAAGTACCTACTTCAGTGGGAAAGTACCTACTAAGTACTCACGCCTGGTTAAACCTTAGTAGGTACTTTAGTAGGAAAGTACCTACTTCTGCTGAAAGCCAGACAGACTCTGAAATGATTACTAAAACCAAGCAGCCTCCAAAGAGCTAGGTGTTTTTTAAATTTTTATTTATTTACTTATTTATTGTAACAAGGTCTCGCTCTGTTGCCCAGGCTGGAGTGTAGTGGCATGATCATGGCTCACTGCAGCCTCGACTTCCCAGGCTCCAGCCATCCTCCCACCTCAGCCTCCGGAGTAGCCACCATATCTGGCTAATTTTTGTTGAGTTGGGTGTTTAACCAGGCATGAGGGGGTGACCAAAGAGGGGCTCATCACCACTAACAGCATCACCACAACCTGTGTACCAGTGTACAGTGGCTATTAATCTCATTAGACAGCTATCGTATCTCATAGGCACCCAGGGCAGAAGTCAGGGGGAAGAAAATGGAGTTAAGGGTTAGAGACTGGAGCTGTGACCACTGCCCAGTTCTAGCTCTGTTCCTCTAAAAAGAACACTGAGGTGGAAAAAATCTCATGGCAGAGATGTTTGAATTCCATGTAGATTCATTAGCTCTGACCTTGTCTGCCTTCCCTAGACTGGCATGTCTAGTCTTTCCCACTATCTGCAAGATCTTGCCCATTCATCCCGTCCTAGGCACTCTTCAAGCAGACGAGGTTTCTGTTTCCCCGAGAAAACATAAGAGTCACGCATGAGCAGCATCCACATTCCTCTTTTCCAGCCCCAGCTCAGCTTTACCCCTCCCACTCCTCAGGCTCTCCAGCCCCTCCCTGCCGATATAGGCCAGTGACCTGCTGCAAACACCTCTTCTTTCCAGTGACCTAACTACTTCCTCTAGCAGCCAAACTTCCTGACAGGGAAAACCACGTCATCAACTCCAGGGCCTCCCCTCCAATGAAGTAGCTGCTGTCACAGCTTCCAGCTCCCAAGAGACCAGTCTTAAGAGGCATGGATTGAAGGAAGCACATTTCACTCTGCCACCATCTGCCTGGATGAACACACCCATATGGGACAGTCCCCATGTTATCTGCTGGATATTATCTCTCATGTCAACCCAATTAGTCATTTATAACCCGACATCAATGACAGAAAAGCACTCCTTCCACATAAACACCACTGGAGCTGTGCAAGGGGTACCCTAGACCTCAGACCTTTCCATTGCTCCAGGTTAGCCTGGCTGTAACTCTGGCTTTCTTCTTTCAGAGGCCAAAGGATCTGCTCATCTCAGGGGAATCCCCCCATGCCTTGGTGACACCTTCATGTTCCCAGGTTGAAGACACAAGATTTACCCACATCACCCCCGTTTCTGCCCTTGGTTATGCCCAGTCAATTACATCTCTAGAAACTGACCTGTGCTTTTTCCAATACCCCTTCCACTTCATCTCACTGAAATTAGGCTTCACTGACTTAGCAAATGTCATGAATGATCCACCCTACCCCTACCCCTACCCCCATCCTAACCAAAGGCTTTCCTCAAGCAGGTTGAGGCCTCTGAGCCTGCTCTATGATCCCTTCTCTCCTGCTCTTCTTGCTGGCCTGCCCACTCTGTTCCACTCTCTCACCTGCTTCTCTGGTCACCCCTTACTGCTGCTGTTCTCCCAGGCCCTTTCCCATTTTGACCCCATGAGCTCTTCCAGGGCCCTGATCACTCTCAGGCTCGGTCTCTGAGCCCCAGACCCCTATGTCTGAGGACCCACTGGGTGTTTCGCACACTGAGCATCTCTATCAGAGTCTATCTGATGGATGGGCTCTTTCATTAGAATTTACAAAAACAAAAGGCAGCCAATGCTGCCACAAATGCAAAGGTCCCGCATGTCCTCATTATTGTTCCTTCCCTCCCACAGTTCAAGGAACCCCCAGAGCCCCAGCCCCAGCCCCTGGGGTTCTAGACAGTTGGACCCCTCCTTCCATTGTGCTCTTTATTCTTTCGCCTCTGGCACCCACTGACCTAGCCTTGGCTCTTATTAGCTCTTTTCTACCTGGTCTCTTGGCTTCAGACTCAACAGATTTAATCAACCTCCAGGTGGCCTCCATAGGTTTTTCTTTCTGAAACCCTGATCTGATTGTCTTACTCCCTGCTTAAAAATCTCTACCTCCTCTCCAACTGTCTGCAGCAGAGGTCTTCAAACTTTATTAAGAAGAGGACAAAGGAAGTGGACTTTTTATTCATATAAAATCTTCTGCTGCCCAACATAGTTGAAGCAAGGGGGGACCACCCAGGCCCTTGCATGCCTTCTCCCTGCACTCCTGGGTGTGCACAATGTGCACATGAACACCAACACACACCCATGTCTAACCTCCTAGGCACCTTTGAGGGGCTTCCAGGGTTCCAAGAACAGCTTAAAAACTCTTGGCCCACAGAGTCAAGCCCTGGCTCTATATCACTGCATTTGGGGCTTCGGGCTCCCTTTCCTCTCATCACACACATCTGGAACTGAACATCTGGAACTAGTCATACTTGACTCCTTTCTGCTTGCCAAACATATCAAACACTTTTGCACTTTTATGCTTCTTCTCCTGACTCCTCAAGCTTCCAGACTCAGTTCAAGTCAAGAAACTTATTGGTGTTCCTGGATTTGTCTTATCAACCATCCCATTCAGAGAAAACTATGGTTGCAAGAACACTTCCTATTTCCGGTATTCCCAGAGGACTCTATACAAATGCTATCAATGCACTTAGCACATTTTACTTGTCCATTGGTTCTCAGGTCTGCCTAAGTGCAGGGACCAGTGCTAGTCATCTTTGAAGCCCTTAATGCCTATCACCATCACACCTTCAATGCTGTGGAGACTGGCTACATGTTTACTGAAATAAACTGAGAAGGGTAGAGTTGGAGATGCAACTACTGAACCTAAACAGCACAGGAATGCAGAGTGAAGTCATCAACTTTTTTTTCACTTAGTTTTCCTTTTGATGGCTTAGTCTAGATACATTTTCAGGGTAAATTCAAAAAGTTCTAATTCCAAATTGGTAAGATTAAAATAAAGAAGATTAACTGATGCAACCTAATTTAAAAGCATTAAGACTCAAAATTTGGCCCAAATTTTTGAAGTTGATCTCAAAACTTTCCAGGAAGGGAAAGGATAAATATAAAATAAAGCCCCTTGGATAGATTTTTTAATACTGAAAAATCCAGAAGCTGCTAAATGCCCTACAGAGCAGATAAAGTGCCCCCTATCCCTACCAACCCCTATGGTAAAAGATTTCACATCCATTAGATGACTTATTAAAGTGATGTCCAGAGAATTGCTTCTGCCCTAGAAGCTTTGCTTGAAAAAAAAAATGTAGATAGCAGAAGAATCACCTGGGAAGCGTGCCAGAAATCCAGCTTCCCAGGTCCCATCCCGGGAGCCTCCAATTGAAGACTTCTGGGACAAAGCCCCAAAATGTGTACTGTTAGCTGAGTCTGAGGCATTACTCTAGAATGGCAGAGAAAGTATGCAAAGACCCAGACAACTGACTGCAGCAAATGGGACAGGGAGCCCAAGAGACAGGTCCTGAAGAAGGACCCCACCTGTACTGCAACTCACCAGCTCATTTCCCACAAAGCCACACTCACTCACCAGAACCACCACAGTCCTCACTGGAAGTGAGCATCCACACAAGGAAAGGCTTTCAGGCCACTCATCACCAACTTAGTGACGGCACAACAACCACGCTCCAACCAAAGCTGGGGGAACTGAAGGCCCATGTGAGAACCTGCCCTCAGCCCAGCAGAGGCAGCCAGCAACAGCTGTCAGCTCTGGCCTGGAGCCTGGTGGGCTCATGAGACTGGGGAGTAGAGTCTGGGGCCACAGGAGATACCAAGAGAAGCCAGGGAGGGTTTCAGCTGGCTGTGCCACCATCATTTTGCCTCAAGACAAATGATGGTGTCTAAAGACATCATGCAACCTCCTCAGGACCCCTTCCAGGTCTTCACTTAAGAAAACATATACAGTGGAACTTGGTACTCTCAGACTGGCCTCATCAACATGCCCTATGACTCCTCTTGAGCCCCAACATAAAGTAATCTGCATTCAGCATCCTCACCTGCAAAATAGGAATACTACCACGTACTCACCTCACAGAACGTCTGGGGGATGGTGAAGTAATATGTGATAAAGCATTTTGGAAATTACAAAATATCACCAAAGACTATTATTAGATAAAAAATAATAATTTAAGCCAAAATTTCTCTAGTTCATAATGTTAGACCTTGGATGGAAGTCTCATTATCTCAAATGGCTTCTGCAAATGAAACCAGATGGGTACCTGAGGAAGGCAACATCATTAAACGGGGCAGCAACTGTGGCTAATGGGAATGAAAGCCCGGAGTTTTAAGATACAAATGGTTTCTCAGAAATCTCCCAATTTTTAAAATGAGTTTCTAATTCAAAAAAGTGTAAACACCACGTAGGTGGAAGAAAGCATGTCTCTAAGCAGGATTCAGTCTGTGTGGCACCTGCCTGTGACTCAGGTCTTAGGATACCTATGTCCCGCACATCCCTCAGCTCCCTCCGGCCGCACACAAGACCGGCTTTAACTTCACATGAAAACCTGCTGTCCTGGTAGAGGTGCCCAAAGAAGGAGTCTCCACATTCTCCTAGTATCCGACAGCTTTCACCACCAAGTAAAGGACAGGACAAGAGGCTCAGAGGGACTGACCAGTTGGCTGGACGTTGACCACGGCTCCCTCGGAACGCTTTCGGGTCATAGCATACCACGACCCATCCGGATTCTGGATCCACTCGGCGGCCTCGCAGTAGAACTCGCCCTGGTCAGAAGGCTGCAGGTGGAAGATGGTGAGGCGGAAGGTGGTCCTCCCCAGCTTGTCCAGCCGCACCTCCCCCAGGCTCTGCCTCCAGGCATATTCGCTGCCGGAGTGAAGCATGAAATCTCGGCTCAGGGAGATGACCTCCACGGGCTTCTCGCCAACTTTCTGCCAGAGCCAGGCCACAGCACCTGGCTGTGCTGAACGGTCTCCGAGGCCACCTCACAAGTGAGTTCCAGTGGGTCCTGCTCCACTCTGTGCAGAGTCTGGGGCATGGCAGTGGTCTGCAGGGAGTCTGGGATCACTGCAACACAGAAATGTCCTGAGACTGCAGTCACAAAGCCACAGAATCTGAGACTCCCGGGGCTAAGCTCCCATTCCACGCAGGCGTCACCACACTGCGTCCCTAACAGTCATCCTTGAACCATCGATTCAAGGCCACAGACAGCCCCAGATGCACATAAACAGAAAGTTTTCTGTTCAGATTTGGAAATGCATTATTTTGGTGCTTACACTTACCTGTCTCGTATTTTAATAACACTTGGATAAAACATGGGGTGTATTTCATATTACATAATAAATGAACTCCCTGAAAATACTGTCTTTAAACAATTGTCTTATAGGTCAAATAACATTTGTTGTTGATTCTGGCACTGCTTTGAGATACTTTAACTTCACTTCTGACTGATCCTCTAATGGAAATGCCTCCTGGAACTTTTAGTTTTACATTTCTATACAATATCCTTTCTTTCCTTCCCACATCCCCATCCTGTAACTTACTTCAGCAATGCAGCCCTAGGAAGATGATTTTTTTAAAAAACCATTTTTGGTAGAAACAATAATCATCATACCCTATTTTTAGTGGGTTTAATTTTCACCTAATTCATCGATCAAAGGGGTCCTCACTGGAAGGAAGCCACAGTCTGGAGAGATTCAGGCAAGAGAAGAGATTTTCTCCGTGATCCCTTGGTCAGAATCATACCCTGATCCTTGCTTGCACCTTTCTGGAGATTAAATAGCACCACCTCTCTGTCTGATGACAGTACCCTAGTCACAACTAGTATGTGTTTTCTCCCTGTTCTCACCCAAGGATTGGGTCTTACAGGTCTCCTGCTGGGAACGGCCAAGTGCGGTGGCTCACACCTATAATCCTAACACTTTGGGAGGCTGAGGGAGGCGGATCACCTGAGGTCGGGAGTTCGAGACCAGCCTGACCAACATGGAGAAACCCCGTCTCTACTAAAAATCCAAAATTAGCCAGGCAGGGTAGTGCATGCCTCTAATCCCAGCTACTCGGGAGGCTGAGGCAGGAGAACTGCTTGAACCCGGGAGGTGGAGGTTGCAGTGAGCCCCATTGCACTCCAGCCTGGGCAACAAGAGCGAAACTCCGTCACACACACACACACACACACACACACACACACGAAAAATAAAAGGTCTCCTGCTGGGACACAGACTAGTTAGAGAAAGGAAACATAAACAAATGATAGTATGTGTATTAATAAAAGAACTAGCAACACCCACTGCTTAGTTGTGATAATAAAAACTGGACATTAAGATAGGCAGAAAAACAGAACAGCCTTGATACGGTTAACCCTTTGACACTGGCAAACACTGTGACCAGTGCTGCCCACACTGGAAGCTCCTGCATCCCTCTTCCTCATGTTTCCTTCAGCATTAAGGAGCAACAAGGGAGACAGCCAGTTCATAGTTCCTTACGCATGGAGCCAAAGGACCTTCAATGTACAAGGTCTGAGCAAGGACCCGCAGCCACATGTGCTTCCTGCTTCAGCAGTGCCCCGTGGGTCTCAGAGCTGCCCAGAGGCCTATCCTTCCGAGAGGTTCCTCCTCTCTTCCACCTGATGTCATATGTCTCATCTTCCTTGTCATTCAGATCATCAACCACAAACGTCCTTGCCTTATATTTTCATATCCCTTTTCACCAGTTACAGGGTTAGTTAACTTATGAAATTCTTAACATCTGCATTAGATCTTTTTAAAGTTTCACCCTCAACCACCTATTATTTAGAAGTGAACACAGAAATTTAGTTTCCTTGTGCTATCTGTTGACCCCTAAAATATGTTGGGAGTTTTGGGATTTTTTTTAAAGTCAAATGCATGGCATAAAGCAAAATTACACTACTAAAGAACTGAGTCAGGCCAGACGCTGGCAACGTGAAGACAGCTTCTCCTTACCCACTAGGTTCATCTTTGCACTGTAACTCCCAAAGTATTGCTTATCGGTGCTGGGTGTGTGGCATTCATATTCTCCGGCATCCCGGGCCTGAAGATCTGTGATGTGCAATAGGGTTGGGTTCCCCTGGACTCTTTCTATGAAGATCTTCCCTCCGTGGACGCGCTGGGTGTAGATGGCATAGGGGAAGGAAGAGTCTATGGTGCTGATGATCTGCACCTCTCGCTCTGGCGATGAAGGCAGGTAAATGGACCACTGGAAATTCTGCTCAGGAGGTCCCTGGTAGCCACTCACATTGCACCAGATAGTGATGTGGGAGCCCTCTGTGCGGTACAAGGGTCCTTCCTGAACGGTGACCTGCCGCTGTGCTGACACCACACCTACGAGGGAGAGAAACACAGGCAACATGCTCACTTACTTCTCAGACCAAAATGCAAAGTAGGCAGCAATCTCCAAAGGGTTTGTTACTTGTGTGACATGATAATAATATAAACAGCTTACTGGCCCTTTCAAAGGCACTCTGTGATTTATAAATATTAATTAAAACACTCTGTGGTAAAACACTGTCCCTAATTTGCATATATGGGAATTTGATCATGCCAAGATGTGCTTTTGTTACTTATTCAACAGCTGACCCTTGGGAATTTCATTAAGCCCCTCTGTTTGTCATGTATATGGCAGTTTATATCTATTTATTAATGCTGTGTATAAAGTTTTTAATAAAATAAGCAGGAAAAGTTGAATCCTTGGCACAAATTCAGATGAAAACAAATAAAAGCAACCATCTAGAAATCTGGCTGAAATTAAATGCTTCTTCCTTGGTCCGAGTGCTGGTGGGAGGGAGTCCTGGGAGCACCTTTTTACTGGTGCTGCACCCTTCATTTTCCCATGTAGCTGCTCCCCAACACCACCCCAAGGAGCATTCCTTAGTTTCTCTTCCCTCTATAAATGGAGGCAGAGCTGAGCTCCTGCAGGCTGCTATCGTTTTAAGCTGAGCACACCCAAATACAAATGTGAAGGGCTGAAAGAGATCCCTGATGCCCAGATTCCCACAAACTGACAAAGGGGGGAACTAACAGTGCCCAGCTAAACCTGTGACAAGGACAGTCAGGCTACCCTTGAGTTTCCCACTCAAGACTCCCCCGCTGACCTCCTGCCTTCTGGCTCAGATACTGTTCTCCAAGGTCACTTCTGCCTGCCTTCTCCATGTTCTTCTTAAAGTGGCATGGTGAGTTTAAGTTCTCATTTCATGCCAACTCAACACTGATTGTGCCTGAGCCACTCAGAAGGTGGGAGGGGGCACAATGCTGCCTCTTCATTTCGGCAGTGGTCACGTACTGCAGGTTGTGAAAAGCGCAGGTGAGTTATAGGCGCAGCTTTGCCACCAATTAGAGCTGATTGTGTCATCTCAGACAACTTGCTTTTCTTCTCCAGACCTTGATCTTCTCATCTATCACATGATTTCTAAGAAGGCTTTAGAGAGGACTAGCATGGGTTCCGATGCTGGCTTTGTCACTTATTAACTGTGGTCTTGGATAAGCTGCTTAACCTCTCTAAGCCTCAGTTTTCTCATCGGTAAGATGGGGATAATAATGCCTGTCTCATAGGGTTATTGAGAAGATTTAGTAACATCTGTAAAGACCCTAGCACAGAGCCTAGCCCACAATCAGTCCTCAATAAAGAGCTGCTGGCTAAGACATATTTCTGCTGGAACATTCTGTGGCTCTGGATCCATAGAGGACAGGATTTGGCCAATGACTGCTTAAGGACATTTCAATGGCCCCTTGACAATGACACCATCACTGGGCTGCCCGCCTCATCCCACAGCTGCAGCCCATTCTTGTGATAGCTTCCCTTTTCCCCCACAAATGGGAATGGCGGCTGCCCTGGCTATGCCTATCTGAAGTGGATCCAGCTGGTGAACAGCCGGGACAGCTCAAATACTAGTGGAGTGCAGCTCTCTGCCCAGCCCAGCAGGTGACTGTGCCTCAGTGTAAGCTAATCTAATCTGCAAGATGACAGACCTCAAAACGGCCCATACAATGAAATGCCCATGGCTTGCAAAACTTTAATTCATGCAGAACCTTTCCTCACAAACAAAATCTTACACAGAACCCCATCTTGGCTTCAGCAGAATCAGGAAAAATAAAAAATTGGCAGGGGAAGGAAATAAACAGAACAAGTGGTATCTGAATTTATTTGATATATTCTGGTTGATGGCATTAATTATGATATTTAAAGTCACCATGAGGACAACTCATTAGTAATATCAGTATGTTAAAATATGGTGCATAACGTTTTTACTATATGTACAGTCATGCACTGAATAACATTTCAGTCAATGAGGAAACACATGTGCAACAGTGATCCTGTAAGATTATAATGGAGTATATATAGAGATCTAATATATGGCACTTAATGTTGGCATGGCAGATCAAGTAGGGGAAATGACTGATATTTAGTAACAGTGCTGGGACATTTGATTTTCCATAATAAAATATATAAATGAAAATATATATCCCATCTCGGTTTGTTGAAATACACCCTATGATGTTCACACAAGAATGAAATTGCCTAACGACACATTTCTTAAAACATGTCCCCATCATTAAGTGACCCATGACTGTATACACGCACACATATGGTGACATTTGAATCAAATGATTGCAGTATTCCTGAAACACAGAACATTTTGCAAACAATTTACCTACATTCATAGCATTAGGTATCCTTTGAATTGCAGTGTTCTATGACAGAACAACTACAACCAACCCCCATCCATCTCCTGCAAAGAAGGCTGGAGGCAGGTCAGGGTACACCAGCATCTTCAAGGACTGCTTCTCAGTCCTGGACCTACACTGGAATCACCTGGGGAGCTTTAAAAAAAATAACAGTGCCTGGACCCCACCTGACATAACTGGTCTTAGGATTAATTAGGATTTTTTTTGAAGCTCCACAGATGATTCAAATCAGGTGTAGCAAAGCACTGTTACTTTAAAGTGTCTCTACCTACATGGTGCCAGCCAAGTGCTCAAATGAAATATCTTAAGGCTCTCACTAGCTTTAAGTTTCTCTCTTTGGTAGAGACCCAATCACTGGTTCAAGGAAGTTTCATTCTCCTCCAGTCTTCCCCAGTGCAAAAGAAAAGAGCTGAGACCCATCAGATACTGGCTTTTGTGATGCAATAATGAGTTTAACCAGAATGCATCCTATTTACAGACCTTACAAAGGCACTCGGCCAGCGGATCATGCATGTCCTCCCCACCCAAAGGTAAACAGTGTTAAGTGGCCTGAATGAGCCAGGTCAGCAGGGTCAAATCAACTTGTCTAGGCTGGAAGCAGGTTATAAACAATCCGGACAAATAAATAACTACTGGACTGCACTTTAACCACACACATTCAGCTGCACCTGTTTATTAAATACCTCCTTAATTTCCCTCTGCCCCACAAAGGGCTTCTGACCCCTGAAAATAATGCTTCTCAACATAAAAATAATTGTTTTCTTCTTGGCAGTTTAATTCCCCTTCCACACATCCCACCCCCCCATTTCCCTATAATGGTAATACCCTGCTGTGCAGACCTCTGCTGCCTCCAAAGAGACACAGGCACCCAACCCTGACCAGGGCATCCTCTGACCCACAGCCCCTCTATCTCCCCTCTCAACCTACAATAGAAAGTTCCTCCCAGGCAAGGATCATTTTTTTTAAATAACTTTTTTAACTTTAGACATTCTGTACTCTTTGGATTACTCTGCAATAAGCAAATATGACTTCTGTAACATAAAAAGAAAGATCAAAATGTTATATATAACTGCATGAAAAGAACTAGAAAGAAAATACTAGGTGACAGGATGGCAAGTGATTTTTATTTTTTTCTTAATATTTTACTCCTTCCCCCAGTTCTCTGCAATGAGTATGTACCAGTTTTATAACTAGAAAAAAATTTTAGCCAAAAAGAAAAATAATGCATGTTTGCTATATAAAATTCACTACTGTAGTGTTTATATATATATACATATTTGGTCTTTGTCCCCAGTTCCTGGCACTGAGCTCCTAAACCCCTTGGAACTTCCTAAGCAATGGGAGTACATTTTGTTATTTATAAGAAGCCCCTTTTGGCCATCCCAGAGTTTATGCTAATGGGGTGACTGAAGGTGAGCACGGAGGCAGTTTCAAGGAAGGAGCTGGCCACGCTTAGAGTTGTGGAGTTTTCAGCCCCACCCTTAGACCTCCAAGGACAAGAGGGGGACCGCAGATTGATCCAATCAGCATTGGTCAGTGATTTGATCAGTCATACCCATGTAATGAAATCCCATATGAAAACCCTAAATAACGGAGTTAGGAGAGCTTCTGGGTGCTGGAAGCGGCGTGCACCAGGAGAGGGCATGGGCAGTCAGCACTACTCCCCTCTCAGACCTTGCCCTATGCACTAAATAGGACTGACCTATGTGACCAATAGGAAATGCACAAATGGTGGAATGTGACTTCCAAGGCTAGGTCATAAAAAGACAAGCACGATGTTATGAGGACATCAAAGCAGCCATATGGGGAGGACCGCATGAGGCCTCCTGCCAACAGCTAGCACTAACTTGCTAGCATGTGACTGGAAGTAGATTCTCCAGCCTCAGTCAACTCAGTCAAGCCTTCAGATAATGTCAACCCCAGGCATCTTTTTGTTGTTGTTGAGACAGGGTCTCACTCTGTCACCCAGGCTGGAGTGCAGTGGTGCAATCATAGCTCACTGCAGCCTTGACCTCCGAGGCTCAAGTGATCCTCCCACATCAGCCTCCTGAGTATCTGGGACCACCAGCACACACCACCATGCCTGGCTAACTTTTTTATTTCTTATAGAGACGGGATGATATGGTTGGGGTCTGTGTACCCACCTAAATCTCACGTTCAATTATAATCCCCAATGTTAGAGGTGGGGCCTGGTGGGAGGTGACTGGATCACAGGAATAGATCTTTCATGAATGATTTAGCATCACCCTTTTGGTGCTGTGCTCGTTAGAGTTCTCACAGTATCTAATTGTTTAAAAGTGTGTGGCACCTCCCCCCTCTCTCTCGCTCCTGCTTTGGCCATGTAAGGCGTGCCTGCTTCCCCTTCACCTTCCACCATGATTGAAAGTTTCCTGTGGTTGCCCCAGAAGCCGAGCAGATGCCAGCATTATGCTCCCTGAACAGCCTGTGGAACTGTGAGACAATTAAACCTCTTTTCTTTATAAATTCTCCAGTCTCATGTATTTATAGCAATGTGAGAACTGACTAATACATAGGGTCTCACTGTGTTGCCCAGGCTGGTCTCAAACTCCTGGGCTCAAGTAATCCTCCTGGCTTTGCTTCCCAGAGTGTAGAGATTACAGGCATGAGCCACTGAACCTGCCCCTTTCCCCCCAACAACATCTTGATTGCAACCTCCTGGGAGACTCCAAGTCAGAAGTATCCAGTTAAGATGTTACTGACTTTCTGAACCACAGAAACTGTGAGATAATAAACATCTATTGTTCCTTTAAGCCTTAAGTTTGGGGCTCTTTTTTTTACACCAATATATAACTAATGTAGACACCTGCAGTCCCTAAGATTGAATGCAAAATTGTGTTACATACACATGAGTGTGTTCTTCTGGGAAAAGAGTCCATAAACTTCAAAAGATTCTCAAAGGAATCCAAGACCCAAAAAGATTAAGAAACATTGCATCAGACAATAAATTGTCAATGAGCAAGGTCCTGTCCTTTTAGACTGGGTTTTGAAATCACCCATCCCACAAATATATGATACCACTTAACTAGTTTTTCAAGATATTTCTTGTTCAAAGATGCTCCCACTTTTTCTTTGTGCTCAAGTCCTAGATAAACCTGGCTAGGGGCAGGAAGTATGATTCAGGAGTTAGTGAGCCGGGAGGGCTCACTGTTCCTGGGAAAGCCAGCTTCTCATGCAATTTTTGGAATATGCCTTGGCTCAGAAACCTACCTCTCTAGGCATAGGATCCAACTTATATGTTCAAGATGCGTGACTGAGCATGTGAAAGTGTCAGAGGGATCGACCTCACCATTTTACATCTACTTTTCCAGTTGTGGCCCCTACAATCATCAAAGCTCATTCAGCACCATGCTCCTCCAAATTCTGCATGCGACTCAGCCACACTAGTATCTTTCTTCATCTATAAGATGAAAGTAATACAATGCACCATGTAGCAAACTCACAGGAGACCCTAGAGATCAAATAATACTGTGAAAGCCACCAAATGAATATTTTAAAATTTTATCTCATTTCTGCCAAGGTGAGATATCAATCTAAAAACAGGATAAATCTTTGTAAGTACAAGAACATTAAAAAGAACATTAAGTTTGGGTTAAAAATGCAAAACTGCATATGCAGGAAAATTATGTTTAAAAAAAAAAAAATCCTACACCTACAAAAACAACCAAACAAAACATTGATGATACTGGGCTGAATCACTGAATGGTGAGAATATGAGTGATTTTCTCCTCTCCTACTTTTCTCAATACCTTTTCTCTATTATCTCCTTTTTTAAGTAAGCAAGTATATATTGTTCTAAACTGAAGATAAATGATCATGAGTAGCACTTTCCCAGGCACTGTCCTAGTTGCTCTGCATACATCATCTCATTTAATTCTCACAACAGTGAATGGGGTCGATTTCATTACAGCCGCATTTACCAGACAAGGAAATGGTTTTCAAGCTTAAGTAACCTTCTCATGACACAGAATGTGACTAAGAGTTTTCTTATTCTATGGCTCACACTAAATGTGCTGTGTGAATATCAGTGAGAAGTAATAAAGCACTGACTGGATCTTCTTGCCCACCTGGTCCTAAAAGAAATGACGGGGAATCTATGCAGTCCCAAGTTAAAAATGGGAACTGAACTGAGCTGCCACAGCATGCTGAATAGGTGGAATCCAGGCCAACTAAGTGCTTCATGGAACTTAAAGGCTCCAGAGGGAAAGCAATCAGGAAGGCACTTCCACAGGCACATCGGTGACAACTTCTGGGGATTCTTACCTGTCAGCCTTCAGCCAAGGACGGACAGGAAATGGCATGGGCTAAAAGATCCTTTGTTTGACCTCTTTCCAGATCAGGTAACAGGAAAACACAACACTTGAACCTTTTCAATAAGGACAGCCAGCACTTACTGAGCCCCAGCCAGGTAACTGACACTGTTCCAAGTACTCTGCTTGTATAACCAGCTTTAACCTTGCAACAGCCCTCTGAGGTAAATACTCCTAGTGACCTCATTTTACGGATGCAGAACCTGAGGTAAGGAGTTAGGGAGTAAATGAAGCTGGCTAAAGACACTTGCACTGGCCAGGCACAGTGGCTCATGCCTGTAATCCCAGCACTTTGTGCTGGCCAACATGGTGAATCCCCAGCTCTACTAAAAATACAAAAATTAGCTGGGTGTGGTGGCGCACACCTGTAGTCCCAGCTACTCGGGAGGCTGAGGCAGGAGAATCGCTTGAACCCGGGAGCTGGAGGTTGCAGTGAGCCAAGATTGTGCCACTGCACTCCAGCCTGGTGAAAGAGTGAGACTACGTCTCAAAAAAAAAAAAAAACAAAAAAAAAACTAAGCATCAGTCAATAAATCAGACAAAGAACAAGTTAAATTCAAAGAAAGAAAAAGGAAAAACATAACAAACAAATGAAATACAAAAGAAACACACAATAGAATCAGCCAAGCTAAAACTTGTGGTTTTTTTGGTTTTCAGATAGGGTCTCATTCCGTTGCCCAGGCTGGAGTGTAGTGGCTCAATCACAGCTTAGTACAGCCTCCCCCTTACAGGCTCAAGCGATCCTCCCACCTTTGCCTCTCAAAGTGCTGGGATTACAGGTATGAGCCACCATGCCCTGCTAAAACCTGGTTCTTTAAAAATACATTATAAAATTCACAGACCTTTAGCAAGATTTGTCAAGAAAAAGCATTCAAAAAACAATCTTGCACAGGAGGACTGTACTACAGATAGAAAGACTCTGAAAGGAAGTCATAACTTGCAGGCCAAGAATGATGGCTCACGCTTGTAATCCCAGCACTTTGGGAGACCGAAGTGGGAGGAATGCTCAAATTCAGGAGTTTGAGACCAGCCTGGGCAACATGGCAAAACCCCGTCTCTACCAAAAATACAAAAATTAGCTGGGCATGGTGGCACGTGCCTGTGGTCCCAGCTACTTGGGAGGCTGAAGCAAGAGGGTGGCTTGAGCCTGGGAGGTGGAGGCTGCAGTGAGCCATGATTGCACCACTGTACTCCAGCCTGGGCAACAGAGTGAGACCCTGTCTCAAATAAACAAATTCATAATGTAAAATTATGAATACCTTTATGCCAACAGACTTTAAAGCATAGATGACAAATCTTTTTCTTTTTTTTTTTTGAGACAAGGTCTCATTCTGTCGCTCAGGCTGGAGTGCAGTGGCACAATCACAGCTCACTGCAGTCTCGACCTTCCAGGCTCAAATGATCCTCCCACCTCAGCATCCCAAGTAGCTCACACTACAGGCACCCACCACCACACCAAGCTAATTTTTATTTTTTTTGTAGAGATGGAGTCTCACTATATTGCCCAGGCTGGTCTTGAACTACTGTAGTCAAGTGGTCCTCCCACCTGAGCCTCCCAAAGTGCTGGGATTACAAGCATAAGCCACCATACTTGGTGAGATATGAATTTCTAGGAAAAAAAATCAAAATTGACTCAAAAAGTAGAAAAAAAACTTACATAGATTAAATATATTGAATCAGTAATGAAAAAACTTCCCATAAAGAAATTTCCAGGCCCAAGTGCCTTCACCAAAAAGTTCCATGAAACATACAAGAGAAACAAACCAACCAACCAAACAAAAAAAAAAACTCTGCCACCAACACAAACAGAGAATAAAAAAAGAAGACTCCCCAGTTCATTTTACAAGGTTAAAATAAAAATAACCTTGATATCAAAACCCAACAAGGCAAGTGCAAGAAAAAATATTTACAGGCCATCATTATTCAACGTGGATCAGCAATTATTTTTAAGAAGTACTGGCCAGGTGTGGTGCTCATGCCTATAATCCTAGTATTTTGGGAGGCCCGAGTGAGAGGATGGCCTGAGCTCAGGAGTTTGAGACCAGCCTGGGCAACAAGGCAAAATCCCGTCTTTATAAAAAATACAAAAATTAGCTGGGCATGGCAGCACACCTATAGACCCAGCTATTTGGGAGGCTGAGGTGGGAGGATCACTTGAGCCTAGCAGGTTGAGAATGCAGTGATCCCTGATCATGCCACTGTGCTCCAGCCTGGGCAACAGAGTGAGACCCTGTCTCAAAACAACAACAGAAAGATATGCTGACCACCTGTGATGCTGGCCAGGATGGTGTATGCATGCTACGGCCTGTCATTTCCACTGATCACAATTTGAAACTCTGGACAAAATATAAATAACAATGACCCAAGTACTCTGAAAAGTAACCAGCAGACAGGTTGGGAAACGTCAAAACCTGAAGAATTATCTGGATGGCGGTGGTGAGAGATCATATTCTGGGTCATAAAACAAACCCTAAAGTTAAACAATTAAAATTCAGTTAATTATTTTCTCTGATGACAGAATTAAACTAGGAATCTAGAACATTTCTAGAACATCCCCAAATATGAGAAGTTAAATGGCATACTTCTAAATGGCCCCTAGGTCAAAGAGAGTATCTTAAGACAAATCGGAAAACAGTTTGAACTTAATAAATATGACATCATCTTATCAAAATATGTGCTTACAGGGCAATTTATAGCACTAAATTATGAGAAATGAAGCATCAAATCAATAATGTAAGCATTTACTTTAAGTAAAAAAAGAACCAAATAAACTCAAATCAGGCATAAGAAAAACAGACTAGATCAGTAATATTTAAACAAAAACAGTAAAGGAAAAAAATTCAACGAAATCCAAAGTTGGTTCTTTGCAGGGGTGGTGGGAGGTGGAAATCAATTAAATGAGGAAGCCTCTAGCAGACTGACAAAGGAAGAAGAGAAAACGCAAATTGCCAATACCAGAAATGAAAGGAATATTATTACAAATCCTGTAGACACTAGAAGGCTATAATGGATACTACAAAAACAAAACAAACAACTATATGCTTCTAAATTCTACAAATTACATGAAATAGATCAATTCCTTGAAAGACAGACTACCAAAACTCAAGGAGAAACAGACAGCTTGAATACCCCTGTATTTATTAAAGAAACAGAAGTGGCACAGCACTTTGGAAGACAATTTGGCAGGTTCTGATAAAGTCAAATGTAAATGGACCATGTGACTCAGCAATCCTACCCTTAGGCATTTGCACAAGTGAAATGAAAAACTATGCTAAGACAAAAAGCACTTTGTGAATTCCAATCCACTTATAATTTACCAAAAAGTGAAAATAGTCCATATTCCTCCAATGACAAACCAATAAGCAAACCATGTAGTATTTATACAATGGATTACTATTTGGCAATAAAAAGGAATAACTGTTGATACAGTATATGAAAGTAGCCAGACTCAAAAGGCTACATCCTGAACGATTCCATTTGTATAAAATTCTGAAAAAAAAGCAATGCTAGAGGAACACAGATCAGTGATTGCCAGTTTACAATGGAAGGTTTTACTATAAAGGGCAAGGTAATTTTTGGAGTGATCATATAATTTTGTAATCTACCAAAAACAAACATGATAAATGGGCAGATAAGTAAAGTTCATGGATTGGAAAGTTCAATATTGCAAAGGTCTCCCAAAAATGACCTATCAATTTAATCCCAGTGGAAATTCCAATCAGTTTTGTGAAGGCTGCTAAGTCAACTCTAAAATGGCCAAGAATAGACAAGATCACCGGAGAGGAAGCAGGGAGGTGGACACTAGTATCTTCTGATTGATGAGTGAAATCATTAGAAGGCCAGCAAAAATACAAGTAAGCCAGAATTTCTAAAGCACCACAAAAGAACACTAGTTAGTAGTGCATATAGGTATCTCCCAAATTTGTTGTAAACATAGGCCTTTAAAAAATATTAGAAACTGATATTTAAAGAGATATAAACTCATATTAAGCTTTTAAAAAATTCTAAGCAAGGGCCTCACCTAATTTCATAAAAGTTTGCGTAGAACCAACCATTGCTGCCAACGATGTGCTGCCCTGAGATGTGAGGATCCCAGTGGTCCCTCTGGGTCAACAGCAGCTACCACGGCTGAGCCCAAACTCTGATACATTATCTATCTACAATCATTATTTTTAACAATTTATATCAATGCTACCCATAAGGCACAGAGAAGCAGAAATGTTTATGTGGCCTCCTGCCAAAAACAATCACTTGCACTTATTTCTAGTACTCCAGAAGACAGTAATAGAAGTTTTTCAATTTAGAAAAACATTTACAGCAAAGAAAAAAATCTCTGTAAACTTCCTGCTTAACCAATCAAGTGAATTGTGATGAGCCATATAAATTCATTTAGCCACCTTATGAAAGACTTAATCCAAAGTCACTTCTAACTTCTAGAAGAGCTAATGTATTATAATCACAGTTGTGAAAGACTCAAAGGCCAGAACTGTCAAGGTGTGGTCTACATCCTAAGTCCAGAAAAAAAACCAAAAGCAACATGTACAGGCCAAATGATTGCCAATTTCTTCTGCCTACGTCATCTTTCTTCACTATAGCCTGAAATTACATTTCATGTTTGACAATTCTCAGCAAGGAGACAAAACAAGCTTATGAGTAAAATAATAGAAAGCAGAGCCACAGAGAGGACGAGAGGCAGGAGTCATCTCCCAAGTCCAAGTTCAACTTCCATATTATTAGACAGGGCCTCAGTGTCTTCGAACTGCAAGGAATTAATATTGATTGTAGCGTGAGTAAAACCTATCTTCTACTCATCATGAAAAGTCACAGTCGTTTTGTTTAAAGACTCCAGAATTATTATGGGCAGAAACAAGAAGGTTACACACCTATCTGGTGAAATGAGGAATCAGGAATGAGCATTCCCAAGAGAATACAATTACAAAAGTAAAATCACCTAGAGTTTTTGGGCTGCTTAAAAAACCCAGAAAGAAGTGCCAAATGCGAAAATAATCAAATTCAGTGGAAAAACTCACTTGAAGGTATCATGGTCAGCTGGGTTTCCACCCCTTTGTTGCACTTCAAATCCTGTGTATTCCACAAAGACTTGCTCCTTTCTAAAGGCTATGGTTCACGTTCAACAGAACAGCAGCAACCACCATGAGCCTGAGGGCTGGCTAGTCTTTAGTATTCTGCCTTATTCAAAGAAATGATCATTTCCCTCATTCCTAAAGATCTCCCAGGTCCATTACAAAAAAAGGAGCAGCAGCCAGGCGCAGTGGCTCACACCTGTGATCCCAGCACTTTGAGAGGCCAAGGGGGGAGGATCACCTGAGGTCGAGAGTTCAAGACCAGCCTGGCCAACATGATGAAACTAAAAATACAAAAATCAGCTGGGTGTCATGGTGTATGCCTGTAATCCCAGCTACTTTGGAGCTGGGTAACTGGCAGAGGTTGAACAATTTGCAGGTCTCAGAAGACAGGAAACTGTGGGAAAGTTTGAAATTCCAAGAGACTTGTTGAATGGCTTTGACCAAAATGCTGATAATGATATGGACAATGAAATCCATGCTGAGGCAGTCTCTGATGGAGATGAGGAACTTGCTGGGAACTGGAGCAAAGGTGACTCTTGTCACCTTTGATAAGATGGTGGTTGAGGAGAGGTCTTGGCAAGCGGTGATGTGTGAATGTAGTGAGGGGCCTGAAAACGGAACTCAGAGAGGACACTGGGTTTTAGAGGCTGAAACTACAGAAAGTCCGCTGCGTTCAAGGCCTGCTTCCACCAAAATCTAGCAGTGTGGCCTCAAGCAAACCATTTCACTTCTCTTGGCCTCAGTTTCTACATCTGCAAAATGGGATTTATAATCCCTCCCCAGCCCACAGAATTCAGAGTTATATGAGAAGGCTAGAAGAGCTCACCTACCAAGGGACTCTTTTAATGGCAAGGTGGGGAAACTGAGGCACCGAGAGGGCTAGGGCTCTGCTAGCTGTCACCCAGAGTCTGATGGACCTGCGATGAGAAACCAGAACTCCTGCCCCTAGTTCCGCCGGCTTTCCTCAGGCTGGGCAGTGAGTGCGGTGAGATAAAAAGGGCAAGCCCTCCTGCTCTTTCTCTCTGGACAGGGGCGGGATGCTGGGTGAAGGGTGAAAGGAAGAGGCTGGAGAAGGGAGAAAAGCTCCAGCTCACACTAAGTCTGAAATTTTTTAAAATGCGGACTCCGTGGCCCCTCCCTTACCCGCCCCATTCCTCTCTGAAGTCCTGGTTGTGAAGGGCCAAGTCCCAAAGTCTGCTGCTCCGCCTCTCTGTGTGCAGAGCCATGGGGCCTTCACAGGCTGCAGTGGGTCCCGAGCCCCCAGGGCTGTGCCCGCTGGTCCTGACCAAGATCGCGGCTGCCGAGGTCAGTCCAGCGCCAAGGGCACAGGGCCAGGGCAGGTGGGGCAGGGCTACCCGAAGCGCATAGAGGCTGCTGGTGTCAACGTGACGTCTTCTGGGGCTCCTGGCATCCCTAGGAGTGGAAGCCGCTGATGAAGTCAAAGCTGCCTCCTCCTTCAGGAAGACTTTGCTCCCATAGCTGGCGAACAGGAAGCGGAGCAGCGCCAGGAGGATCTGCGGGCGCTGCTGAGGGCTTCTTTGCAGGGACAGTGCAGCAGGCAGCTAGGGACAAGACTGCACGGCAGCCCCCCATGGCCAGGGGAAGTTCAGACCCGAGTCGCCCACTGCCCGGTGATTCTCCATCCCTGGATCGGTACAGGGGCATTTGGACGCTGTGGGGAAGTCGCGGTCTGGGGATATTGGGTCCAGCCTTCGGGTAGAAGCAGGTGATAAACGCACTCAGGCCAGCCCGGAGCGTCAGCCACACTGCGGTGCCCACGATGCCCAGGGTGAGCGCCACGAGGCGCAGGAAATTGGCTAGGGTGGGAGCTCACTGGTAGGTGGCCCTGGAAGTCAAAGATCTGCTGCTCCAGCGCTGCCACCAGTTGCAGGCAGCAGAAGGCGAGGAGCGTGTGGCACCAGCGTACTCGCCCATTGCTCCACGGACCTCTTTATCCAACCTTCAATAATTATTCTTTTTATTATATTCAATGATTATTCTACTTTTCATAGAGAGCAGCTGTCAGTCCAATAACACACTTAACAAATGATATACCTAGTCCTCAAGGTTAACAAACACATGAAGACCAGCCCAACCCTGAAAATCAGTTTGCAAACCTTCGCTATGTCTGATGCCATTCCTAAAAATTTTTAGGGACAAGTTTTGTTTGTGGTAAACAACATAAGGTGGGGTGTGTGCTGAGCCCAAAGCTGACCAATTGCTCACAGTTACTCATAACTACCCATTGACTTGATTTTATCAAACTTCAGACAGTCTTGTCTCCTCTCCTCAGGCCCCTGGACCTTGGCTCACCACCTAAGACTGAACAAGCACTAAAGGACTGACCAGCCCGCTAACAGCTCACTCCAAAAATGAGCGGGACTCCCAGAGAAACTATTTTTATTGGAGCATCCTGGTTTTGCCACCTGCTCACCCCACTGCCTGTCCTTCTCTCCAAGGAGGCTTCTGCCAGCCCTGCTTGTCCTTCCCTAGAAAAGGAAAGCCTTTTCCTGTTTGATCCTGAGACACCTGTAGATTGAGTTTGGAATATTCTCCCTATTGCAATAGTATTTTTGAATAAGTTTTATTTTTCCCTACCTCTGGTTGATTTTTTAATTAATACCAGTAAGCTTGGATGAAAGCCTGCACACCTTAGGTGTGTGTGTGTGTGTGTGTATGTATGTACTTTAGCATTACCATGAATGTAATAACAGTAAAATCAAACAAACACAGATGGATAAGCAATATGTTGGACTAGTATGAAAATGGCATTGCCAGGAGTGATATGATTTTTTTTCAAAATGGTACGCTTTTTGAAGTATAATCTTATTTTAACTTAAAATCTTACTATCAGAAAATGCAGCGTACATTAAAATGTTCTGAACTGCTTTTATTCATATATTAAATGGTTGTACTCAAATATCTACAAATTTGTTTTTCACTTATGTAATTGTCTTTTCGAATGTTCAAAAGTCATGCAGAATGTGAGACAATTTTCTATTGAATACGATTGCTTTATCATTGCAAGACATCAAACATCCCTGTTTCCTGCCAAATAAATGTACAATAGCAATAAATGTAAAGATGTGTTTTGTAAAAAAGGTATATTTTTGAGTTACAAAACAAGGATTTTAAAACTTGAATTGTTACAGTGAATATGTCTTAATACAGGCCAGAGTCATTTAGGTAAAAAATTACCTCACATCTATTCTTTGCAGTATCACTTAAAGGTGTTTATTTAGTGGCAAAGATTTTTTTTGTGCCTAGAGGCAGATATTTTGCCCCATGGCTATTTACTGTATGAAACTGTATTTAAATGAGTGTACATATATAAAAGCTGCCATTCTGGCTGTAAACTATTGCAGGTTATCAAGATTAAAAAATAAACAAATAAAAATATTTCTGTTTTTCTATGAAATGTCTTTACTCGAGTCCAAGTGTAGAGATATAAAATGCTTGAAATTAATAAAACCAAGTGTTTCACGTATTTCAGTTGTGATGGCCTTTGTCCTACTTTTGTTAGTGAAGCAGGCAGACTGCATTTTTTCCCTCTCATACACCTTCAAATGGTGGACAGAAAAATTTGATAAAACTTCTAGGGCATTATCTGATGAAACACATTAAACACTAAAGGAGAAATACAACTTCATTGTTTATAAAAGACGTATAAGAAGGAAACCTGCATACATATATCTATCAGTTTTGTGTTTTCAAGAAATATTTGCCTTAAAATGAACTTCATTAGAATATGTGTTCTCCCACAGAGCCAAGGAAAGTAAGTTAGACACAGGATCTGGAAGTCTACCTGTGTGATGTAATTACATTGAAAACATTCCACAAATAACGCAGAAATGTATCATTGTGACCCAAAATATTCTCTAAATTTTCTCAAAGCAATGTGGCCACATCTATTATCTTTTACTATGACTAGTCATCATTCCATGCATTTGAACATTACCTCACCCATTTGCAGCCTCCTATCTCTGCAATTAATTATGGCTAACATTCTCAGCAGTCCAAACATCTTGCAAGTGACAGCTTGAAAAGGCCTACCAGAATGATGTTCACTCTGCCACCTGACTAGCTTGTCTTCCATCTAGACATTGCAGTATGTAGAAGAGTGCTTTTAGTATTATAAATTTGATCCAACACGTGTTCAATTAGATGAAATCTTAAATATTGCACTACATGTGAATTGGGAAAATGTTAATTTGCTTCTGTAGTTTTAAGTGTATTCTCAGAGGCAGATGAAGACATATTACATCACTGAGTTCAAGAAATAAAGTAAATAGAAGAAAAAAGGTGTTATTTTAGTTTGGTTGTGTTTATATTTGAAGTTTTCTTTTCCAGATTTAGGAGAACCTACTAAATACACTGAAAAAAATGTGGTAGCCCTGGGTTAAATATCATACCTTATTTTTTGTTTATTAATTCCAGGGTAGAGTAGAAAAATATGCTCTCTTATATAATATAAAAATGATATGGGGAAAAGAAATAAAAAATTAACTTAGAGACACCATTAATTAATTTCTTTTATAAATGAAACACTAGGTAGTTTCTATTTGTTTTGACAAATAGAGAATATATTTAGAATCAATGCTTTATTTCTTGGAAAGTGGAGTAAAAAATTTAAATGTAGTATTCAGATTGTATTATAACTATGCACTACAGATCACATACATTTGTCTTTTCTTTGTATTAGACATTATTTAATGGTAAGCATCCTTTCAAGGGCTATTTTATATAAGTAGTAAGGTATCTGGAATTTCTGAAATAATAAAAGTGACCTAAATCACTGTGTTTGGTAAATTCACAATATCCAAATAGCAGGAGGGGAGTGCTAGAGGTAGGGAGGGGAATGCTCATGTTCTCATTATTCCCAAACAGATTCTTAAAGTCTTCTCACTGGACACATGGATGCACCTCTGTAATACCCAATGTCTTAGCCACAACTGTCTGCACTTTTTAATGAGATACATTTCAACATTATTCCTTGTCACCTCAATATCAGATACTTTCTCATGTAATCTTTTACTTCTGAGGAGTTGAATTCTTGATCCATAAACTGAATCCATAGCTATGTATCTGTGGATGTTTTTAAATTATGTGAAAATTTTGTATATGCATTTTTCAGGGGAAAGTATCAGATCACCCACCTGGTGATTGTAACAAAAACAATCACTCCTGTTGATATTTAAGTCTTAATTAATTCAGAAAAATTTGCACACACCTTAAGGTCAGATAGTATTTTGTACCCTACATATAAAAACTCCTTTTTTTTTTTTTGTTTAGATGGAGTCTCACTCTGTTGCCCAGGTTGGAGTGCACTGGCGTGATCTCTGCTCACTGCAAACTCCGCCTCCCATAACATTAATGATCACTGATCACAGATCACCGTAACAAATATAATAATAAGGAAATATTTTAAAAATTGTGAAGATTACCAAAGTGTGAAACCAAGACACAAAGTGAGCAAAGGCTGTTTGTTAAATGGCACCAATAGACTTGCTTCACCAGGGTTGTCACAAACATCTCATTTGTAAATAAAAGAAAAAATGTTCCTATCTGTGAAGCACAATAAAGAGAAGTGCAATAAAATATGTTTGTATTAATTTGGTTAACTTTATTCCAACTTAATGTAAATTAGTTTTAAAACAGTTTATAAAATTCTAAAATGAACCTGGCAAATTTAGAGCAATAATAAAATGATTTAAATTAGAAAAGTCTTTTTTAAAAAGGATAAATAACAAATGCCTCATTGGAATTATTAAAGTTGTTTCAAGTTCAGCTCTGAGGTTCTTAGAAACTAAAGTAAAAAAGTATGACCAGTTTCTGAAGTCAAGATAAAATCATACAATCTTTAACTTAGAAAATTATCTTCTGTGTTGTGTCCTAAGCATAAACAAATGTAAGGACTTGCCCTGACACTCTGTAAGTAGTTCCACTCCAATACGCCCTGCAGAAATGTTTCCTGGCAAGAACAGCAAGTCAGAAGCCTTTTCAGCATGGCAAGGAGGGAGAGAGACTATGCTATTAAAAAAAAAAAAAAAAGATGAGGAGGAACAATAGCACCTTAGACAAGTGAGAAGTTTCAAAAGAGACATGTATAAGGAGAGCAGTTGCAATTATAAGGAGCAAAATATGGAATGATGAAAAAAGATACTTTAAAGAAAGTTTTCCTCAGTACTTTGCAATGCACTTGCCACCTTCTGAAGAAAGCTGGCTCCTCCTGGAACCTTAGGGTATTTGGACCCATGCTTTGGAATGGGGTGACCATCTACATCAAGCTAACTTAAATTCAAATTTGTGTGCATAGGATAAGAATAATTGGGTTAAATAAAATTCACTTTTAATCTAAAATGTCATTCATTAGTTGACCAACTTTCCTTACCACTGGCCACTTGGTCCTTGTCTTGTTTGACCAGGGTTGTCAAACAAGGTTTGTTGTTTCCTTCTTTGAAGGAAAGAGTCAGTGTTTCTTCCATTCCAATGCATCCACTTGAGGAATTTTTAATAAAATGGGCAATGAATGGGAAGCAGAAGAAGTTACAGGCCTGTTAATCAAATGCTAAGTAATACACCCTGGAAATTCTAAACTCGTTTGCATGAAGACCTTGCTTATTTTGTAACTATTATGTATTATCAAACGTATACTTAATTCTTTGAATGTGTTAGTATGTGTTCAAAGTACACCTTAATTTTATATATACATATATTTAAATTACATAAAATAAATAAGCCATAAAAATTTTTAAAGATTTTCTTATATTTCCTTTCAGTATTTTTATGTGCATGCATCTGTACTTGGTAATATTGTTGAATTCATGTTTGCATTGACAAAGCCTCTCCCCTTGCCCAAACTCTAGTCAGGATCCTCTAAGCCTCCTCTCAGCCCCAGCCTTCAGTGTTCATCCTAGTCTGGCCCACATCTCTCAGGTTTAGTAAGAAACTTGCAAAGAATCCCCTACTCTCAGTACTGATCACCTTTGACATCTGATCAAATTTGTTATCTCCCACCACCCTCCAGATGATTTCTGATCAGTCTGGCCTGCCTTCAGTAAGAATCCTGTTCGATCTGTTTAACCCAAATCCCCTTTGCCCCTGATGTTTCCTCTTAGTATCCCCAGTTGAGCCAATTTTCAACCATTAAAAAAATCTTGGACAAAATTAAGTTCAGATAGGTTCCAGAGTGCTTATGTTCAGTTCTTGGCTTTCTGAAGACCTGGCATATCCTCTTTAAATTGCCTCAATACAAGAAAATACAAAATGGAAAGAAGTAGACATTAGAAATTGGAAAAATGGAGAAATACAGGAATGAACATAAGTTTCTATTTCAAGTAATTAGGTAAATTGTAAGATGTTTATATTTAACTTTTTCTCATTAGCTTTAGCCCCTTGAACCTTTGAGAACATGTTATTACTATATTTATCGAATGTCATATTTTTTATTTTAACATAGAATGGTATTTTCACTCAAATCTCTTGAAACATATATTTATAGTCAATAGTTAAATTTTATTTAATATCAATTGTTTCTTTTTATTAGTATTTTCTTAAAAAAATAATATTGGCCTGGCGCAGTGGTTCACACCTGTAATCCCAGCACTTTGGGAGGCTAAGGTGGGCAGATCACTTGAGGTCAGGGGTTGGAGACCAGCCTGAGCAACTTGGAGACAACCTTTCTCTACTAAAAATACAAAAATTAGCCGGGCGTGGTGGTGCATGCCTGTAATCCCAGCTACTCAGGAGGCTTGAGGCAGGAAAATTGCTTGAACCTGGGAGGCAAAGGTTGCAGTGAGCCGAGATCACACCACCACACTCTAGCCTGGGTGACAGAGTGAGACTCCATCTCAAAAAAAGAAAGAAAGAAAGAAAATGCCAGACATTTATTGAAGGGCCGGAATGGTATAGTGAAGTGTTCTGAGTCAGCTGGGCTCTGATTGATACAGAGCTTGGCATGTTTGAAGGACAGCAAGGAAGCCAGAATAGCGGGAGCACAGCAGCGGGGAGACAAGTGCCACAAGATGAGTTGGAGAAAGGCACTGGGAAAGGTTTGTATTTTAAGTGCTCTGAGAAGCAATTGAAGGTTTGAAATAGAATAGTGACTTGCTTGATCACATTTGTACTTTTGAAAAGTTCCTCTGGCTGCTGTGGGGAAAGGCTTGAGTAGATGCAGGGTGAGAGAAGCATAACCAGCAGTAGACTCTTGTAGCAGGTTAGGTGAGAGATGGTGGTGGCCACGAGTGTGCTGCTAGTGGTGGAAGTGACAAGAAGTAGAAGGATCGGAGACAAAACTTGAAGATAAAAAGTCTTGAATTTGCTGATGATTTGCATTGACGAAG
The DNA here is from genome assembly GCF_000001405.40 of Homo sapiens. Classification (NCBI taxonomy): domain Eukaryota; kingdom Metazoa; phylum Chordata; class Mammalia; order Primates; family Hominidae; genus Homo; species Homo sapiens. The sequence continues at coordinate 328,713 of NW_011332699.1, forward strand.
TGTTGGGGGAGAGGACTGAAGGAGCAGAGGAGAGTGACAAGGGACTGGATGCCATTTATAAGGATGGGGAAGACTGGGATGAAACCGGTTAAGGGAGAAATTTTAAACATGGCAAAATTAAGAGGGGTTTTGTGTGAGAAAATGGAAATGCTAAGAAGGAAGTTGAAAATCCTGCTAATTTGGAGATCTTTGATTAAAACTAGAAATAAGAATGTGGGAAGCATCAACTTCCAAGATGCCCTCATTGTAGATAACACCATTTAGGATCTAGGCTCAAGCCCTGGGAAACTCCAGGGCTTTGGAAGTCAAATAGAGGAAGAACACGTACAGGAGATGAAGAAAGATTAGCGAGGAAGGCAGTGAAATATCCACAGGTGGACTGCTGCCAAATCCAGTAGAACCGTATGCCAGATGTCAGGAGCATGAGTAAAATGAGAAAAGAGAAATGGCTTTTGACAACACCTCCCTACTAATAGTAGGGAAGAAGACATAGGTACAGATTCAAGTTGATTGGAAATTATGAAAGTGAGGTAACTGACCTGCAGTGGTTGCTGCTCAGTGAAATCAGCCTAGTGATTACCTGAGCTAGGTTAGAGATTTGATGGGTAAGAAAGAACACCTGAGGGTAATCCTGGAGGGAGAAAAATAAAGTGTTTGCTGGAGAGAATGAGTTGGATTGCTGGACTTCAATGTGTGTGGGTTGAGTTTGTGACTTAAAAATTAAACCAGTCTATTGCTTGTGTGGCTTTTCCAAAATACTGTTATTCCATTACCTATCTCTTACCCCAAGAGTAGTCACATTCTTATTTCTGGTTATTTTAATTCCTGGTGGTATTTTTATGTGATTAATGAGATAGTACTTGTTAATTTGATGATATTCTAGAAACCTGGTAAGTACTATGTACCTTGTCTTAAGTTTTGGTTACTTGATTGGCAAAATTATGCATGCACCATTGAATTACCTAATTCAAAATATATTCTTTTATTGTTTGACATTTGTCTTGTTTTTCTTTAAAATGTTATCTTTGTGGAGTAAACATTTTTCTTTATGCTGTTTAGCATCTTCAGATTAGTTCAGGGTATTGCTGAATGTGGTTGTTTGGAAGTAAAATGCTTTAGTTTTAGTTATATAGATTTTAATAAGATACTAATTTCTATATAATTTATCAGGTACTTTAGGCATTTTAATTTGCAAATTTAGGACAATTTGCTTTAACGTTTCTTCACTTTTGTCCATTGGATGTAATTTCCATAAAGTATTCATTTCCCTAAGTAAAAACCGAAACCAAACCGACAACTAATGGTCACTGAAGAAAGAGTGATTAAATGCTAAGATTATAATGGTATTTGCATTTTAATGTTACCAGCTCTCTACAGTTTAAAGTTTATGCATTTATCGATTGCTTATGTTTCTCATTGCATTCTTTGGCCTACTGGTTTTGGTTGTTTATAGCTATAGAATATAGAATTCCTTATGGTTATCCATTTCTCCTTTTAAGTAGATTGATAGTTGGTAGAAGAAAAATAACCCCCCAATACTTTTTTCTAGTGTTAATTCTTAAAGTGTCATTGACTTTTATTTACTTTTTGGTGCAGTAATTGCAGTTCATGAGTCAATGTTGATGTCATATAAACCTTAATTTTTAATATTTCATTGTAGTGATGTCTCTGTAGCAGCAAACATTTAAGTTACTTAAGTTATACTTAAATGTTTAAATCACTGTTAGTGATTAGCTTATTTTGCCTTCCTTGAAGCAATTTGTCCTAAATTTCCATACTTTTGCATTTGTTTTTGCTGTTCTAAAATTCCTTAGTTGCTGGCTTTGACCGTTTATGTTGCTGAGTTTTACACATCTATTTTCTCAACTGCCATATCCTAGGAGGCCTGGAGTACCCATAATACTGTGAGCCCACCTTCCTTGTCCTCAGACATTTCAGAAGGTCGGGAAATTTTTAAACCCAGGCAGCTTCCTGGCAGTGCCATTTGGAGCACAAAAGTGGTAAATAAAATTGCATTTACATTCATATATCATTTCTGTCTGATTTGTTTTGCCCTACTGGGTGTTAAGAATTAAATCTTTCTTTTCTAGATTGAGCTTCCAGAAACACTTTTTAAATCTAAAAATTTTAATGTAAAGAAATAATATGCTTGCATTTAAAAATCAAGTATACATTTTTAATACCTCTTTTTATGGTTAATTCCTTTTGTTGTGATTACTACTGGTTTTATGAGGGAGAAGTCCTTGACATGTAGACCAAAAGGTAATTAAGGACCTTTTCATTCATGATATCATAAAACTTTGTTGCTTAGAAAAAAGCAAAAGAAAAAACTCCATTAATTTATTATGTTCTCATGGACAAGAAATACCAAAATTGTGGCAGATTTCATTGTCTGTTTAATACCTTAAAATGACAAGGCTTTTTCCCTCATGACATTGGTTGATGGCTCTGCCAGTCCTTCAAGTGAGTTAAGTAGTGTGATGCATTTTGAAGAGAAAAAAATTAATTTGAAAAAGTATTAACTCAAAAGTTAAAATACTTCATTGACCGGAGATGACAGTTTTTCTTCATATTCTATATTTAATATTCTGGAATATGGCTGTTTAATTCAGACTAATCAAGGATTTTAAGGAATTCTAGATTATATTTTATTTTCTTTCTTGACTGGAAGAACTATTTTTTTTAACCTCCCTACCTCCGCCTGATATCATCCAAGATATTGAGGTATAAATATACCTCATTTGACAGTTTGATAATATAGACCACCAATTTTTACTTACTTTTTTTCTGGGTCAGCATTTCATGTTTGAGAAAATAAATTGAGAGATTACTGTAGTCTTGATTTTTAATCACTGACTTAATTTTTCAAAAATCTTTTATACCAATTTAATAACAAAACAAACTCGGCCGGGCGCAGTGGCTCACGCCTGTAATCCCAGCACTTTGGGAGGCTGAGGGGGCAGATCACCGGAGGTCAGGAGTTTGAGGCCAACCTGGCCAACGTGGTGAAACCCCGTCTCTACTAAAATACAAAGAGATTTAGCCGTGCGTGGTGGCATGTGCCTGTAATCCCAGCTGCTAGGGAGGCTGAGGCAGGAGAATTGCTTGAACCCAGGAGACAGAGGTTGCAGTGAGCCAAGATCACACCATTGCACTCCAGTCTGGGCAAAGAAGCGAGACTCCATCTCAAAAACAAACAAACAAACAAAAAACCCAAAAAACTAACCTGACCCCATCCATCTGTTGTGCAAAGAAGCTGATGCACTTCTCAAAAGGGATCTCAAGGAGAGCAGGGTAAGAGAAGACAGGAGTGGCAGTTTGAAACTGGGAGCTGGCTGTATTTATTACATCCAAAGAGAAAAAAGCCATTCCTCCTGTTCCTTTTGTTCATGTGTTTCTATTTTATGCTTACCGTATCATCATAAATTTTTGACTTGGAAACCATTCTGCTAAATAGGGAATAAGTTCATTTCAAACTATGATAAGGGACATCAGTTGAAGATATGACATATTATTTAACTTATGGTGAGGGAAACACCTAAGTATTTTCCTGAGCATCTGGATAATTTTAAATATACATAATTCATCTACTTAGGTAGGTGCCAGGTTTTTTCAAGGAGTAATTAATTAGTACAAACAAGGGTGAGGGGGCAGGGAACACCATACTCTGGTACTTAATGTCTGAAATTATCAGGGAATTTAACACATTTTCCCATAGGTTTATTTCTTGTGTAAGAAGTCAGATAAATTATTTCCATTTCAAGTATTTATTATTCAGATTATTTAAAGCAAAGCTTTCACAAAGCCTTTTGTCAGCTTTCCTGTAATCCTCAAATAATTTTTCCTGGCTGGACGCTTTGGCTTACTCCTGTAATCCTGGCACTTTGGGAGGCAGAAGCAGGAGGATCACTTGAGCCCAAGAGTTCTAGGCTGCAGTGAGCTGTGATCACACCACTGCAGTCCAACCTGAGTGACGGATCAAGTTCTTGTCTCAAAAATAAAAGTAATAACAATAATAATAAATTTTCCTCTAAATACAATGGTGAATGAGGTAGAAATGTTGAGTTCATAAGAGAACTGTTGAATAGTGAAGGAAACTGACTTAATTTTAATGACAGGAAGAATACTGTTACACACTAGCAAAAATGAACTTTTATGCTGATGTAGCAGTACAGAATATGCTTCCAACCCAGGGACGCTGGAGCCAGGCTTGCTAGCTAAGCGACCTTGGACAACTTACTTAACCATTTTATTCCTCAGCACACTCATCTCAAATAAGGATAATAAAACCTACTATATGGGATTGTTGAGAGTAAAAAATACTTAGATCAGTACATAGTAAGTACTCAATAGATGTTAGCTATTACTGTAATCACCGCGAGACCAGTTAATGAGAGAGTTCTTCCTTATCCTTACTCTATATTGAATACAATTTGTTGCACTTCGAAATATCTGGATCAGACTATAGTTGTTGTCGTCACTGAGAATGTAGGAGTGGGAAAGAGAAAAATCATGCAAAGTCTTGCTGATAGCGTTCACAGTGACAGCCCGAAAGTATGATTCTAAGGTTGTAAGCATTTTATATTTAGATTTTTAAGTTGTGGAGTATACTTTTAAAGATAAAAATAATAAGCCAGGTCTCTTAATACTTATCTAAAGAAGTGTTTGTATAACATTTAATAAAATGTTTTATCTCAGTGGCATTTGGATTTAAAAATTATTTTGGGCTGTCACAGAATGTTGACTTTTCTTAATCTGTTACATAGGGCTGTGGGTCTGGATTTCCAGGAAAGCGGAGACCTCGAGGTGCAGGACTGTCGGGGTGAGGTGGCCGAGGCAGGTCAAAGCTGAAAAGTGGAATCGGAGCTGTTGTATTGCCTGGGGTGAGGCTTCCTTCATGTATATTTTCTCTAATCTAAATGTCAGTTAATGATGACAATCTCATAGCAAGTTATTTTGAACTTAAGAGTTATATAAATAGGTCAAAATGTTTATTTTACTGTTCTACTTTGCTTTTTTTTTGAGCCTCTGGTTACGTTTTCTTGTATATTTACTTTCTCATCCTTTCTCTATTCTTACCTTCCTCTTTGACTCCTTATCTTTCTATGCCACCCCTCTCTAAAAAGTCAGTATGTAATATAGTTGCTCTTTTACTTAAAAAATTTTAAGATTGTTATTTGCTTACTATCATGTTATAAGGCTTTATTTATATGTGTATTACAAATATATTTGCTAACTACTAGCAAATATTTTACGTAATAACTTCGCTATTTTATTAAAATCCTGTTTTTAAAATTCTAAAATGTCATTTTAAGTATAGGAGACAGGTGAAATTGTTCAAGTTTACTACTAAAGCAGGAATAAGGAAGCTTAGATTCTCGTCCTTTTTTCAAAAAGAAAAATTTTAAAACCAGGCTTATTGAGGTATAGTTGATATAAGCTATATTTGACATGTACAATTCCATAAGCTTTGATATATACATATATATATATACATATACATATATGTATATACATATACACCTGCATTCCCCCTGCCATCCGTCCTTGTCCCCAAGATTAGTTTGCATTTTCTAGAGTTGTATATAAGTGGAATCATACAGAACTGTATGCTTTTTGGACTGATTTATTTCAGCACAATTATTTGGAGATTCATCTATGCTGTTGTACTTGTTAACAGTGTACTCCCTTTTCTTGCTGAGTATTAATAAAACTGTGGATGCACCACGGCTGTAGACCTGTGCACTTTTTTTCTTCTTCTTTTTTTTTTTCTGAGACAGGTTGTCGTTCTAATTCCTGGCTGGAGTGCAGTGGTGCGATCATAGCTAACTCCAGCTTCGACCTCCCACCTCTGTCTCCCAAGTAGCTGGGACCATAGCTGTGTGCCAACACACCCAACTACTTTTTTAAAATTTTTAATAGAGACAGCATCTCACTATGTTGTCCAGGCTGGTCTCGAACTTCTGAGCTCAAGCAATTTTCCCACCTTGGCTTCCCAAAATGCTGGGATTACAGGCGTGAGTCACAATTCCCCAGCCTGTAGTCTTACATTCTTGTAATGTCTTCGTCTGGTTTTGGTATCAGCATAACTCCAGCTTCATAGAATGAATCAGAAAGTATATTCTCCTCTTCAGTTTTCTGGAAAAGTTGTGTAGTAGTGGAAATGTATCTTCTTATACATGAATTTATTAGTGAAACCATCTTGGCCTGAAATTTTCTTTGTGGGGGGGTTTTTGTTGTGTTTTCTTTTTTTTTTCTTTCTTTCTTTTGAGATGGAGTTTCGCTCTTGTTGCCTAGGCTGGAGTGCAATGGCACAATCTCAGCTCATGCAACCACTGCCTCCCAGGCTCAAGTGATTCCCCTGCCTCAGCCCCCTGGGTAGCTGGGATTACAGGTTCCTGCCACCATGCCTAGATAATTTCTTTTTTTGTATTTTTAGTAGAGACAGTTTTTCACCATGTTGGCCAGGCTGGTCTCGAACTCCTGACCTCAGGTGATCCACCTGCCTTGGCCTCCTAAAGTGTTGGGATTACAGGCATGAGCCACCATGCCCAGGCTGGAGTGCAGTGGCGTGATCTCTGCTCACTACAGCCTCCACCTCCCAGGTTCAAGCAATTCTCCTGCCTCAGCCTTCTGAGTAGCTGGGATTACTGGCATGCACCAACATGCCTAGCTAATTTTTGTGTTTTGGGTAGAGATGGGGTTTTGCCATGTTGGCCAGGCTGGTCTTGAACTCCTGACTTCAGGTGATCCGTCTCCCAAAGTGCTGGGATTACTGGATGAGCCACCAGTGCCCAGCCTGTGGGACAGTTTTTAACAACAAATTTTATTTCTTTAATAGGTACCTATTTAGGTTATCTGTCTCTCCTTGCATAAATTTGCATCTTTCAAGAAATTTGTTCATTTTGTCTATCTTGACAAATTAAAGGAATGGAGTTGATCATAATGTTTCTTATTATTTTAATACCTGTAGAATCTGTAGTGATTTCACCTTCCTCATTCTTGATACTAATAATTTGTATCTTGTCTTATTTTTTTCCTGATCAGTCTGGCTAGAGATTTATCAGTCTTATTGATCTTCTTGAGTCAGCCTTTGTTTTCATGGACTTTTCTCTATTTTCTTTCCTCTTTCTGTTTTATTGATTTATATTCTCATCTTTATTTTTTCCTATCTTCTCACTTTGAGTTTAATTTGATCTTCTTTTTTTGTTTACTCTTACGTGTCCCTGTTTGGAAGGGACACTTGTGAAGTTTAGGTCAGAGCTTTCTATTCTCCTTGGCTTATATCTGTGGTCTGTCTAGGAAAATGAAATTTCTATCACCTTCTGGATAAATCACACTATTATCTATGCAGGCAACAATAGCACATATTTTCTCAAAGATTACCTTTGCCCTCAAGTTAGGTTTTATTTTTCTAGCAGTCTAAAGGTCATGAAATAAATTATAAAATAAAAACAGTGGGTCTTCAAGCTAGATGATACTGTTTTCTTTCTTGCATGGACAATTATTTTAAAATATTTTGGTTTTTCTGCACTTATTATTTAAATATGACTCCCCACCCACACTTGAATCTAGGGACATTGTAGTTTTCTACTGCAGACTTTGTTTCTGGTTTATACTGGGAATATATTGTTTATCGTTTTCAGTGAAAGCATTCACTGTTTAAATTTCCTTTTAAAAATAATAATGGATCTTTACAATTTCTTTGAGCTGCTCAGTGTGTATAATGTGTTGAATTTTCTGTTAGTGGTTGGGAGGTGGAAATAGATACTTTATCTCTATTTTAGCCATTTCCATAATTATATATCTCAATAGTCTTGTCAATGCATCATTAGTCCTATGACTGAATTAATGATTACTTTCAGTAGTCACTTAATTTCTTACTGATGATGATGATTCTACTTCTGTGAATCAACTTGGATGATTCTCTAAAATCTTAGAAAGCTAATTTTGTTAATGCTATGCATATAACACATCAATACATTTTCTCTATTAAAAAAATTAAAGTGTTATAGGTAGATCAGAATTTACCATTACTAACTCCTCAGTCCTCCTTATTTCCCTGTTACCAGTTTGGTATATTTATATATTAGGTTGATCCATATGAAATTGCCAATATTATTTCTGAACTGATGAAAAGTAGCAATTTCTTATGAGTCAACCTGTTATATGTGCCCATAGACTACATATAATGACTTTGCATGTTTTTATATTATAGTGCTATACCTCAAATACTGTTCTGCAATTTATTTTTTCACTCAACAGTGTCTTTTTGATAATTTCTTTCATGGCAGTCTATACAAGTTTCTACCTCCCTACTTTTAAAATGTTTCGTACTTTCGTAATGTTTGGATTTGTCATGGCTTTACTTACTCCCTAATGATGAATATTGGCATTATTAACACTTGTAGTCATTAGGGTTCATATGACTATAAATTGCTCTTATAAAGCATTAGTACTATTCATTAAAACTGCTTTTAGGCTGGGCATGGTGGCTCATGCCTGTAATCCCAGCACTTTGGGAGGCCGAGGTGGGCGGATCATGAGGTCTGGAGATCGAGACCATCCTGGCTAACATGGTGAAACCCCATCTCTACTAAAAATACAAAAAATTAGCCGGGCATGGTGGCAGGCGCCTGTAGTCCCAGCTACTCAGGAGGCTGAGGAAGGAGAATGCCGTGAACCTGGGAGACAGAGCTTGCAGTGAGCTGAGATTGTGCCACTGCACTCCAGCCTGGGTGACATAGCAAGACTCCATCTCAAAAACAAACAAACAAAAAACCAAAAAAAACACTGCTTTTAAATGTATTTGTATTGAAAAATACTGAGATGTAGTCCTATTTAGTTAACCAACCAACCTTCCTTCCTTCCTCTTTTTTTTTCTTTTTCTTTTTTTTTTTTTTTTGGAGACAGGGTCTCTCTCTGTCACCCAGGCTGGAGTGCAGTGGCGTAATCTTGGCTCACTGTAACCTCTGCCTCCTGGGTTCAAGTGATTCTCCTGCCTCAGCCTCCTGAGTAGCTGAGACTACAGGCATGTGCCACCACGCTCGGCTGTTTTTTGTATTTTTGGTAGAGACAGGATTTCACCATGTTGCCCAGGCTGGTCAACATGCCAGGTTGCCTGTCTCAGTGTGGTCAGTGTTACCATCCATACTGTGTCAGTATTAAGGTAAACATCCTTAAATTGAGTTAACAAATATGTACTGAATTTTTATTTGGTTTTAGTAGTAACATGAGCTCCCAGTTCTCACAATTAAGTATTATGATTATTAAACATATGTGACAGTATTTAAGCACTTTAAATACTGCTTTTAAGGGTTTCCTATCTGAAGAAATTTGCTCCTCTATAAATCTTATATTGTACTAATATCCTGCTTTTGTCTTGAAAAAGTAAAACATAAAAATATATGCATTTAATTTAAAAGACAATTTATACTATTCACAAAGATTTTAGGTTTAGCTGATTCATTTTGTCTGTTGATTTAAAAAGCTGAGAACTGGAGTATTTAGTAAAAAATTATTAGCCTATTCTGTTCTTTACCGCATTCTCTCTCCTCTGTGCTCACTCATATACAAAATGACATTTTCTCCTTATAGCCAAAAGAAACAAAACAAGTGTCATATTTAATGCAATTGGTAATAATCGAGAGTCAGCACTGCTCACTTTCAAGCATTTCAGGATAGAGGCTTTCTGTGGAACCTTTTAAGTGGTATCGTGTGCTTGGTTTTAAATATGGACAGGTCTCAATACTTCACTAGTTGTATCTAAGGTTCTTGGTTTTTTCTTTTTAAGAACTCAGTCTTAATAAAACTTACATATTTGAATAAAGTGTCATGGCCACTGGAAGCAAGCATGGAGGTATAGCTGTACAGCAGAGGTCTTAAACTGTATACTCCACAAGGAAATCTTTTCTAGTATTGCCATACCATGTAATATAAATACTAACCTCAGTTTCAATAATAGGTTGTGAACCATGAGTGATTTTTATACCATTCTCCCCTGCCCTTCAGACATCACTGTGTTATATCATTGTCAGTAAAATGTCAGTATAGTAAGCAAATCAACATTATCTCCTTCAGACTTCTTTGTTGATAACTACACTAGTATTTATTTTATAGGGTAATACAGGTTTTTGTGAATTTAGGAATCAAAATGAAAGATTGTAATTAATACTATCCAAAATAGAAGACTAGTACGGTTAATTTATGTAGTTTTTTAAAATTAGTTGCTCATGGTATGTGACTGAAAAACACAGAGTATATAAAGCCAATTAAAAATGGAGTTATATATGCATAAAACATGTTTCTTTTCTTCTTTGTACTTTATATTCTGTATAAAAGTAGCTGCTATCATTAGATTTTGTTTTTTAGAATACTTAATGTTTTGGACCTAAGGAAATTGAATAAGATCCCTTTCAAGGTAGTAATGTATTTCTTTTAACCCATCCAACAATTACCGAATTCCCATTTTACAGATGAGTACGACTTACATAAGTTAAGATTGGACAATTAGTGCACTATCAGACATCTAGTTATTCCTGTTTTTAAAAATTATGTGTGGTTCCTTTTATACGACACTGTTTTGGACAGTATAGAATACTGCAGTCTCATTGAGAAATACAGCAATATCTAGAAATATACTAGGGATATGTGAATTGGCTCAGCTTGCATTTTTATTGCAGGAGGCAATTGTTTGTGGATAAGTTTGATACCTTTGAAGCTTCTTTTTAAGCTTGCTGGGGCAAGTCTAGAAAGCCTTCACTCTAAGGTGGATATTTTCAAACTTTATGGTTTTAGAACCTTAACACTCTTTAAAATTACTGGGGACGCCATAGTTTTTGTTCATGAGGATTTTAACTATGGACTATTCAGCATTTTAGAAATTAAAACTAGGAACATTTTGTAACACAAGACTACAGAAGCACAACCTGTACAATGTCAATGTAATATTATGATACAACATGTAGCTTCTATAAACACCACTGTATCATTGTGAATAAATTAAAGTGAAAAAAGGCAAATTAAATCTTAGTATTATTTAAACTTGTTTTAACTTTACAGACCCACTGGGGTTCCCTAGTCCACATTTTGGTAGCTGCAGTCCTAGCATTAGTTTAACCCTATACTTAAGACTTGGCCTTTCTGGGATCACTACTGAATTCTACCCCCTGTTCACCAGTGTCTTTGTACTCTGACTGGTTGTGCTTCACTTGTCTTTGAGCCTTTTGCAAGCTCTGGTAATTGTGCAGCTTACAAATTCCCAGTAGATGTACTTTCCCCTGGTTGTGGGTCTTTGGGCTTCTAGAAGTACGGCTTGGTGTTCCACCAAAGACTTCAGGGGATCCTTTGTAGGTTTCTGGAGCTCTTAGTCCTTATTGCTTCTTCATTTTGAGTACTGTGTCCTGCAAATTCCACTGCCTCGCCTTCCCTAACCTCAGCGAGGCCATTGATTTTACTCTGCTGAGGTTCTCCCTCCCTGGGCAGCGTTCTGGAAAATGTTTCTAGGCAGAATATCATAGGACTCCCTGAGTGTTTCCTTCCTCTCAGAGACCACTGTCTCCTTTACTATGTGTTGTCCAATATCTGAAAACAGTTGTTTCATACACTTTGTCCAATTTTCTACTATCTTATGGGAGAACAGGCTGGTCCCATCTACTCCATTATCATTGAAGCATGTATCAGTATTAGATTATAAAACATATCTGTAACAACTTTGGACATGGTACCATGGATGGAATCCTGGATGACATCTTATTTGAAAAAACTTTTAAAACTAAGGCTAAACTGGTTCAACGGAAGAAAAAAATGATAGTACAACCCCAGTACCTAAGTTAAAAGGAAATTTCAAAGAGGGAGAAATTGTTGAAGTGTTGAAGTACCAGAAGTCAAGAAACACTAACACTAATGTTTCCATTAGATTTGAGAATAAGAAGGTCTTGACAAGCCTGGCTTAAGCAGTTATGAGTGGATGTGGGTGTAGAGACCAGACTGTAGTGTTTTGAAGAGTGAATATAAGTGGAGAAACTTGAGAGTTTGGTTGTAAAAGGGACCACAGGTATCTGTGAAGAAAACTTAGTAGGAATGAAGATAAATATTTTAAAAATTCTACCACTAAACACCTCAGATCTGTCTGCCACTTTGTCTTCAGGTCATTGTTTAAGCCAGGGTCAGGCAGACTGGCCCATAGACTAAATCTGGCCCATTTCCTGTGTTTGCAAATAAACTTTTATTGAAATATGGCCATGTTCTTTGTTTACATATATTTGTAGCGGTTTTTGCAATACACTGGCAGAGTTTTTATAAAGTTGCAACAGATCATATGGCCCTCAAAACTTTCTGTTTACTCTCTGGTCCTTTATTGAAAATATTTGCTGGCTACTGCTCTAAGCCACCCTGATCTTACCCCAGGCCATTTCCTTCATTTGGGCAAATAATATACTAACTTGGTAATCTAAGACAAATTCTTAAAAATCAATAAGCTAATCAAAATAATGAATATACATGTTTAAAAATCAAATGACATTAAAAGCCTTGTAATGGGCCGGGTGTGGTGCCTCACACCTGTCATCCCAGCACTTTGGGAGGCCGAGGCGGGTGGATCACTTGAGGGCAGGAGTTCAAGCCAGCCTGGCCAACACAGTAAAACCCCATCTCTACTAAAAATACAAAAATTAGCCGAGTGTGGTGGCTCATTCCTCTAGTCCTAGCTACTCAGGAGGCTGAGCCAGGAGAATTATTTGAACATGGGAGCCGGAGGTTGCAGTGAGCTGAGATCACACCACTGCACTCCAGCCCAGGCAACAGAGCAAGATTCCATCTCAAAAAAAAAAAAAAAAGGCCTTGTAATGAACAACCAACTCTTGTCTTACTCTACCTCCACATCTGAGGCAATCACTTTTAATCTTTTCAGGTCTTTTTTCTTGTGGTTAATGCTATAGCTCTAAATAATCAACTGGTTTACTGCTTTATCAATGCTAGATTTTGTTGACTTTCTGCTATGAATAAATAAATTCTGATTTAGGTCTTAAAATACACCTCCTTCCTTCTCCCAATATAGTTGTATTACTATGTTTAGTTCAATTAATAAGGTGTTGGTTATGACTCAGTAAATGTTCACTGCAGATCTAAACAGTATACTATGAGTTTCTTTTGTCTTTCATGGAGTTTTTAATAACAAGAAAGTAATAGTGACTCTCCATTCGTTCTTTGTTTTTGCCTACTATAGAACTATCATATAAGATTATTTTTTAAAGTACTGTTTTTTTCTGGGAGAAGTCCTACCCTCCTTCTAGACATTCCCTTCTCCTGCTCTGATATGTGCCAGTGGCTTCTGGGTGTGTTGTTCTCATCCTTAAACTTCCCTGGCCTGATGTCCTTTGTTGGATCTGTTGATTTATAGATCCCAAGTCTTCCTTTTCTTTGTAATACATCTTCATTCTGTTCCGCATATCTCTAAGTAACTTTATTAGAAGGAGAATGAAGGAGCTGAATTTTGAATCTTCCTGTGTCTACAACGTATTCTGTCTTCACACATAGTTGCTTGTGTAGCTAGGTTGAGAATTGTACTTTGAAAAGTATTTTCCTGTAGAATTGGAAACTTATACTCTTCTAGCATCTGGAGTTGGGAAGTTTTGTGCCATTCTGATGGGTGTTCCTTTGAATTTAACTCTTTTATTTTCTTCTCTGGTAGCTTTTAGGCTTTCATGTACCTCATGATCTGAATTTTTATTCTGTACCCTCATTACTTGCTGTTTCATTATAATGTGGGCACTTGATTGGTTCTGTCTGAGGATCCTAGTCTTTTGAGATCTTTAAGAAGTTCCGCAATCTTAATATTACATGGTGTGGCTTCCTTCAGTTGTTTGTTAGGGATTTGGAGATTCCCAAATATTCTGCTAACTTATACCCTTGAGAGAGGGGAGAATAAACAGAGGGGTGAATGTGAACTTCAGAATTCCTAGCTTCATAGTCTAAATAGAAATCCTCTAAGATCATAAAATGTCCCTAAGAACTCATGCTTTACATTAATTTTTTTTGGTATTTTTTCTATTGATTCTAAGCATGGAAATGTAGATGGAGATTTTGTTGATGTATTTTCAATTATGTATCAATAATAGTGAAGCTTACTTGATTTCTTTAAAATCTGGTCACTATATCTATAAATATAGTGGACATTAAATGTACAGCATAAGGTAATTATGTGGACTTTAAAAAGGCATTAAAATATGTGCCATTGTCTATTACTCTGCTCAGTAGGCTCCTAAAAGCGTGTATGAACATGCCCAACCCAGTATTGGGCCTCCGTAGGTGCTCAATAAATGTTAGTTGATTGCCCCTTTCTGCTTCTAGGTACATAAGCACCATATTAATTTATATAGTATATTTGATTATGTTAGGTTAATGCATAAATCACATGGATTGGTTGTTTCTTTTACAGATCACTAAAGTGGTTCTTAGCAAAGGTTGGAGGTGTCTTGAGTGCACTGTTTGTGAGGCCTGTGGGAAGGCAACTGACCCAGGAAGACTCCTGCTGTGTGATGATTGTGACATAAGTTATCACACCTACTGCCTAGACCCTCCATTGCAGACAGTTCCCAAAGGAGGCTGGAAGTGAAGTGCAAATGGTTCTCTAGGGTTTGTTTGCCTTGTTAGTCTTTCAAGTTCAGAGCTTTCTCATACCACTTTAGTTTTTAAAAATTAGCCATACCTATTTAATTGAATAATACACATATTCTATGATACATACCACTAAGCAGAAAAATTTTCACATACACATTAAATCATTTGCCCCATTATGTTCGTATGTAGCTTCCTGAATTACAGTTACTGAATAACTAAGAAAATAAAATGGAGACTTTTCGGGGGGATTTGGATTTCAGGTGTGTTTGGTGCAGACACTGTGGAGCAACATCTGCAGGTCTAAGATGTGAATGGCAGAACAATTACACACAGTGCGCTCCTTGTGCAAGCTTATCTTCCTGTCCAGTCTGCTATTGAAACTATAGAGAAGAAGATCTTATTCTGCAATGTAGACAATGTGATAGATATTGTGCTATTTTTTCATCTTTTTAAAGCTTTTCTCTTTGAAATGTAGCAAAAAAAAAAAAAAAAGGAAAATAGCTTTTCCTTAATCACAAGTTTTAGGTACAGAACTTTTTGCCTTGTAGATTTTTAGTCACCTAGAATCTTACAGAATTGATTTCCTGTTTTGAATTCTCAACTCCAGACTAAAGTTTTGTTTTGTTTTGTTTTGTTTTGTTTTTAAATTTAGAGACAGAGTCTTGTTCTGTCGCCAGGCTGGAGTGCAGCAGCGCTATCTTGGCTCACTGCAAACTCCACCTCCACCTCCTGGGTTCAAGCGATTCTCCTGCCTCAGCCTCCGGAGTAGCTGGGACTACAGGTGCATGCCACCATGCCCAGCTAATTTTTGTATTTTTAGTAGAGACAGGGTTTCACCATGGTGGCCAGGATGGTCTCCATCTTTTGACCTTGTGATCTGCCCGCCTCAGCCTCCCAAAGTTTTATGATTATAGGCGTGAGCCACTGTGTCCACCCAAGACTAAAGATTTTTAATTTAGGCCTTTTTGAGGGTTTAGGAATCCCTTGAAATTAGATGGAGAATTATTGCCTTCATCTATGCCGTTTCTTATGAAGGGTTTCTGAATCTTTTAATTGATTATAAAAATATCTAACACTTTCTGTTCTCCTTAAACCACTTTCTCTTAAAGCTCTAGATACTAGATATCTAGGTATTAGATAGCACCTTCTGCCCTCCCTACGTAATTATGTGGAATTTCAAAATCAAGAATGTTTCCTTGCTTTCATTGGTATATTGTTGTACTCTTTAGAAGTTAAGCAGTGAACATATATTGATAGTATTATTTTATCAGTAGTACAGTATTCTTGGGACTCTGGCTACTAATTATTTGTTCCATTGCAAGACAACTTTTTACTTTATTTCCCAATTACCATTCAACATCGCTTTCCATGAGATATGTCTACTTCAAGTGAGATGCATTGCCTGGAGCCCATATATGCTAGCACTGCCATTTGCCGTTTTCTGAATACCTTTGTGTTTGCCCTAACTAGCTTCCTTGCTGTCTTTGAAATATTTAATATATGATGATAAAATAATTAGCTTCCTTATGTAATGTGCTTTGCTTCCTCTCTAATAGTTGTTCTCATTCCTTTTTATTTCCTCCTTAGCTCTATGAAAGTTTTTCTGTTACTAGGGATAGTTAGGAGAAAAGGGCAAGGTAGGAGGAGCATGTGAGGCTTAGGGCTTTTAAGTTTGAAGACTCAGTGTTACAGGTTTTAAAAGGTAGCAGTTCTCAGTATATTCCATTTTTTAAAAAAAATGTACAAATATGGTCTTTTTAGATGGATGCATGCAGTTCGTCAGAACTTAAATACTGAGGAAGAAGTGGAAAATGTAGCAGACATTGGTTTTGATTGTAACATGTGCAGACCCTATATGCCTGCATCTAATGGTAACAGAATAATTTAAACTGTGAGTCTGCACTCTTGTACCACTCTCTTGCACCTTACTGTCCATAACCAATGAATTAGCTTAGCTCTACTCTATTTTGTCTTTGTGAAACTTACTTTGACAAGTATTTTATGAAAAATATTATTGTTGGTTATACATGACTTATCACAACTTGTTATAAAACAATTTACATGAAACAATAAAAAGCATATACTTTAGATGTAAACTATAATTTTGCTTCCAAGGAACATGATCTTGTAGTTATTGACAATATGTCAAAATCCAATGTGTTGATTCTTTCTTAGCCAGGTTTTCCTCCATGACTTGAGTATTTCCTTCATCACTTCTTGTTTTGTTGTTGCTTTAAAAAGTGCTTTTAACTTTAGTGTTCAAACATTTATTTTAATAAAATGAGTATAGAAACAGAAATTTTAATCATATATAAGTATGTAAATACACTTTACCTTTTCTGAAAAGAATTACCTGGATTTTTTTTTTTTTTCATTTCAGTGCCTTCCTCAGACTGCTGTGGATCTTCACTTGTAGCACAAATTGTCACAAAAGTAAAAAAGCTAGGTAAAATTTGAAATGCTTTACTTAATTTAATTAATTTACTTTGCTTAATTTTTACATAATTGGCTTACCACTTCTAAAATCTGCTTCAATCATATGGGTGTTCTATCCAAATTCCATAATGTTGGTAATCATTTCCACAATGATATATAAAATGTCATCCAGCTTTACTGGGGCAGTATTCCTATAAATTTCAGCAAGTTGGCAATAAAAATAACAGCTCTTAGAATAACCATTAATGCCATACTTGCTTTGGTTTCATTGATATATTACTGTGCTTAATTATCAGTTAGCAGAAAATACGGCCTAGTTAGCAAGCAGATTTCTTTTAGAATTAATTCAATCGCTTAATTTTTTAAAATAATTAATAAGCCTAGTATGGTGATTAATATGATATTCTTATTAAACAGTCATTCTTTTGAATACTTGTATTTAATAGCACCTGATACAAAAACATTTGGATAGTACAGGAATTGTTCTAAGGAACAACAGTTTTGTATGTTTAAAATTAAATCTGCAGGATTTGTACTTATTTATTACTTCTCCCTGTTAGTAATTATGTTGATACTCTGATTTTTCCAGATGAGCTTCTGGAGTATTCTCTCTCCTCTTGTGTAAATAGATCCCTGCCTTTTGATCTTTTCCAGGAAAAAGCTCATAGTGGATTAGCTGAGCATTGCATTTATTTGCAGTGCTTCTAACTCTTTTTATTGGGACATGAAAAAAGAAATGCCAGGAAGACTTTTTTGAGACGGAGTCTCGCCCTGTCGCCCAGGCTGGAGTGCAGTGGCACGATCTTGGCTCACTGCAACCTCCGCCTCCCGGGTTCAAGCAATTCTCCTGCCTCAGCCTCCCGCATAGCTGGGATTACAGGTGCCCGCCACCACGCCCGGCTAATTTTTTGTATTTTTAGAAGAGACAGAGTTTCACTGTGTTAGCCAGGATGGTCTCGATCTCCTGACCTCGTGATCTGCCTGCCACCTCGGCCTCCCAGAGTGCTGGGATTACAGGCATGAGCCCCCGCACCCAGCTCAGGAAGACCATTTTTTAAAAACATGTAACATTTCTGCCCATAATCCAAGGAAGTTTGACCTATTGTTCCTAGTTTTTATTGGGTATCATGAAGTTAATTATTCATGCATTTCATAGATACATAATTGTTTTCTAGAACTACAGTCACATTCCCTTGACATGGGTATTTTGGAACAGTAATCAGTCAAATTTAAAATGAAAGTTTAAATTTGTATTCTTGGGATTTTGTAATTTTAGACCCACCCAAGACTTATACCCAGGATGATGTGTGTTTGATTGAATCAGGGATGACTCAGTTACAGAGCCTCACAGTTACAGTTCCAAGAAGAAAACTGTCAAAACCAAAACTGAAATTGAAGATTATAAATCAGAATAGCGTGGCCGTCCTTCAGACCCCTCCAGACATCCAATCAGAACATTCAAGGGATGGTGATATGGATGATAGTCGAGGTAATACTAATTTATTTTCCATGAAATTAGTGCAAGAATTACAGCATATAAAGTAACTTTTGAAATATGTGTATGATTTACCAAAGGGTAAATCACACTGACTTAGATAACCCCGATGTGACCCTTGCCATCTCCAAATGAGTGATCTTCTTAGACCTTGCCTTTTCGGGTTCTCTTCCTTTCACACATTTTAGAACAGACCTACCTTACAGAAATCTCAAGGAGCACCATATCTTTGAAGATCACAGGTGGGGAACTACAGAGGGCTTGACTTTAGTTTGCTAGATAATGACACAAACCTTCTCAGATACTGTGAGCTTGGATAATACCATGTTTAAGTTAAGGTAGTTGATGCATACATTCTAGAAATGGAAAAGCTGTCATTTAATATTACTTCAGGTATAACTTCATATTCACCAGTGTGCATCATAAAGTATTGGTTTAAAAACATTTTCTTAATCAAAGTAAATATAAGGTTTTTCCAGCTGAATTCTTTTTTTTTTTTTTTTTTTTTTGGTTGGGAGACAGGGTCTTGCTCTGTTGCCCAGGTTAGAGTGCAGTGGCATGATCTTGGCTTACTACAACCTCTGCCTACTGGGTTCATGCGACCCTCCTACCTCAGCCTCCTGAGTAGCTGGGACCATGGATGTGGGCCACCACGCCTGGCTAATTTTTGTATTTTTTTGTAGAGATGGGGTTTTGCCATTTTGCCAAGACTGGTCTTGAACTCCTGGGCTCAAGCCATCTGCTCTGCTCAGCCTGCTGAATTCTTGAGATAGCAAAATATTTTAATAGTAACCTAAAATCCAATATGAGTTAAAGAGGATTACTGTAGGTTTGCTCATTTTTGGGGCGGTTATTTATTTTCAACTGATTCAGAAATGAAGCGATAATTATTTCTGTTCCATTACATTTTATTTCATAGTTTTTTTTTTTAAGGGGCAGTGTCTTGTTACATTGCCCAGGCTGGTTTCCAATTCCTGGGCTCAAGTGATCCTCCTGCCTCAGCCTCTCAAGTAGCAGGTACTATAGGCATGCGCCACTGCAGCCGGCTTTGAGACAATAGAATTAATTGAATACCTACTGTATGTCAGATGTTGGAAATCATATCAGTGTACAAAGCAGGTAGAATTCTCTGCATAGAGTTTATATTTTAATGTTAGGTAACCCAACTTTTAAAAAAAATCAGTTAATTATAATGTGTTTGGCAAGGCCCATGGTAAATATAAAGTTTGATAAAGAGGAATTGCCTGGCCAGGCACAGTGGCTCATGCCTGTAATCTCAGCACTTTGGGAGGCCAAGGTAGGTAGATCACTTGAGGTCAGGAGTTCGAGACCAGACTGGCCAACATGGTGAAACCCGTTCTCTGCTAAAAATACAAAAATTAGCCGGGCTCAGTGGCATGCACCTGTAATCCCAGCTACTTGGGAGGCCAAGGCAGGAGAATTGCTTGAACCTGGGAGGTGGAGGTTAGAGTGAGCCGAGATTGCACCACTGCACTCCAGCGTGGGTGACAGAGAAAGACTCTGTCTCCAAAAAAAAAAAGGAATTGGAAGTACAGATGGGTGTTTAGGGTCCATATGCACAGATTTTAAAGAGGTGAGTGAGTGAGCCACTTGATTACCTGAGAGAAGAGCATCCCAGACAGTGAGGAAGCCAGTGTAAAGGCTCTGGGTGAGAGTGTGCTGAGCATGTTTGAAGAGTGTTGTGGAGACCAACAGAGTGAGCAGAGGGGACAGTCAGAAGGTGAGAAGATTAGAGATGTGAGGACAAGAAGGACGGCTCAGTATATCTCACACAACCATAAGGTGGTGTGTCAGTAGTTTGTGCTTAATAGCAATGGAATGAGAGGCCATTGAATGTTCCTGAAAAGAAGAACACCATGATCTTATTTATATTTTAAGAGGAACACTCTCCTATGATATAAGTAGATGATTAGGTGCAAGAGTTATGACAGGTAGATCAGTGAGAAATAATGGTCCAGGTGAGAGGTAATAGTGGCTTTGAAAAGGTATGTCTTTTGTGGCCGGGCTTGGTGGCTCATGCCTGTAATCCCAGCACTTTGGGAGGCCAAGGTGGGTGGATCACCTGAGGTCAGGAGATGAAGACCATCCTGGCCAACATGGTGAAACCTCGTCTTTACTAAAAATACAAAAATTAGCTGGGCGTGGTGGCAGGCACCTGTAATCCCAGCTATTTGGGAGGCAGAGGCAGAGGATTGCTTGAACCCAGGAGGCAGAGGTTGCAGTGAGCCAAGATCGAGCCACTGCACTCCAGCCTGGTGACAGAGTGAGACTCCATCTCAAAAAATAAATAAATACATGAAAAAATATGTCTTTTGTATGTTCTTGATAATTTTTGTTTTGTAGTGTGTTTTGGGTCTATGTTGCTGGGAGAAACACTTTCTGATGCTTTTATGTAACTGATTTTCAGATACAGTTGAACAGGTAATTTGATTTGGGGGCTTGGAGTTTGCAAAGAAGTAGTCCATATACTTGGAGGAATTGATCAGATCAGCATTAACAAGAATTTCCACTTCTGAGGATGTTAAAAAATGTCTGAAAAAGGTTTCCATAGTCTCTTAAATTTGGGAAGTGCTTCATTTCACAAAATATGAAAGGTTTCTTGATAATAGTACACATTGTTTCCCAAATTATGTGATTATAATACCTTTTAAAAACAACACAGAAGACCTTGGAAGGTTTTCCTTGTGACTTACCACTTGTAAACACTGAGAAATGGTGATATGTTTCAATTTCATATTTTCTCATTGACTCGTATCAGGGTAAAAGAAAATCAGTTGAAAAATTACCCTTGCTTTTTTAAAATTTACGTGATAAAATAGCCCATCTGAATTTACTGAATTTGTCCTTATTTTTATTGAATATGAAAAAAGATTGTTTAGTGTGTTGGATGTTAAATGCTAAGACAATTTTAGAATTTAAGGAATTGAATATACTGTATCCTCATGTTCATTTGCATGCCAGGATCTCACATCCTTTGCAGAAGGAAAGGTACATTCCTAGGGATAAAATAAATGCATGTTTCTTGGACAACATTTTTGCTTTCTGTTTGCTAAATAAAAATCCTTTTTAAAAATTTAGTATTGCCACACTTTGCCATATTAAAAATGTTTTAGATTACTATATTATCCTGAAACTACATGGACACACACACCCCTAAAATAAGTTTTATGGTTTTTCATATGCCTGTACGGGAGAAAAAATAGGAAAAGAATACAATCATCATAAGTTCTTATTATTACATTATGCTGAGATTTCTAATAATGCTGCCATTTTCTGGGTATTTTGTATTAAACCTAAAATTTGTGATGTTTTAGACTGTTTCACTAACATGTTTTGATAACGTCTCAGTACCCTTGGGAAAGCATTATAAAGTAGTGGGCAACGATGAAACCTACTCTGGATGTTTTTAGGCAAATTTTTTAACTTCTCTGATGTTAGTGTTCTCATTTATAAAATAGGTGAACCAGGATGAGCCCATAGGATAGTTGTGCTGATGAGGTGCAAGGATGCATGCCAGGCACCCAGCACTGGCTCTTCCCAGACATGGAGTGCTCAGTAACCGTGAGCTATTAGAATACAAGTGCCCAACCAGTGCTTGAGCAATTGTGTTCTGTGTCCAACAGAACTCAACAAAATCCCACGTTTGTCTTTATATGTGAATTCAGTTCCTTTTGAGACAGTAAGAAATTATGCCTGTGTTGGGGTAACTGAACTTTCAGGAGGAGGGAATTGTCTGCCACAATTATTCTCTGAACTTAATGTTTCCATGTCTTTTTCTTCATTTTGGAAGTTGTGGAAAAATTATAATGAAAGAGTATATAAACGTTTTCCTCTGTATTATAGCATCTCTGACAGTTTCCTTTATTAAAAAGTATGTTACATTAGGGAGAGACTTGATGAATTTAAAATTAAAGTTTGAAAAGTGTTATTGACTATAAGTGATCTTCAGCTGTGCAGTTTTCAACTTGAGGTTGTCAGAATGTAATATTACACATTATATTACACACATCTACAGAATCCAAATTGTGATGTTCCTGGAGTATTGGAACAATACCTATGACTTTTTGTTTCTATTGATTTTTAACTCTTCTAATAACCACTTCTTTAAGAAAAGTCATACATTATCACTTTGGTGTATCAGAAACAAATTCCTTACGCAATAAAAGCATACTTCTTTCTCATTCACCTACTGGGATCTAGAAACCCTGTTAATGCAAGAAAAAAATCCCAAACCTCAATAAAATAACACTCTGTTTGTCTGAAGTGTGGAAACACAACACATTTCCTCTCAACTGGTGGTCGCAGATCGACCATCACAGTGTATGGATGTGTTTGGAGGTGTAGGAATAGGACTGCACTGAGGCTCTAGAAGGCCAGCAGGTGGGGCAGACTGAATGGAGGGAGGGGACTGGCATTCAGTAACTACTGGAGCGTGGGAAGAGTGAGGTAGACTGTCCATCTGGTGAAGGTGGCTGCTTCCTTGAGGTTTGTTACTTTCTGTAATGTTAATTCCCTCAACTTTTAAAATTTGATTTTTAGACAAGTTATACATTCAAATGATTTAAAATTGGAAAATAATAAAAAGGTAAACAGTGAAGTCTCTCCCTTTCCCCTGCCTTCATGCCCCCAGTTTACATCTCCAGAAACCTCAGAGGTTTTTCGTGTAACCTTCCAGATGTATTTTATGCATGTACAAGGAAATGTGTGTGTATATATATATATATTTTGTGTGTGTGTGTATATATATATTTTGTTCCTTTTGTCTTACTACTTTTTACTGTCCTTCATTTTTTTATGGCTGCAAATATTCCTTTGTATGGAAATATAAGCAATTTAATTTACCTGTTCTTTCCCCTGTTGATAGACCTTTGGGTTTCTTTCAATTTTTTTTTTTTTTTTTTGAGACAGAGTCTCGCTCTGTCGCCCAGTCTGGAGTGCAGTGGCACGATCTTCGCTCACTGCAAGCTCCGCCTCCTGGGTTCACGCCATTCTCCTGCCTCAGCCTCCCGAGTAGCTGGGACTACAGGCGCCCGCCACCACGCCCGGCTAATTTTTTTGTATTTTTAGTGAGACGGGGTTTCACCATGTTAGTCAGGATGGTCTCTATCTCCTGACCTCGTGATCTGCCCGCCTCGGCCTCCCAAAGTGCTGGGATTACAGGCGTGAGCCACCGCGCCCGACTTTCTTTCAATCTTTTACTGTGAATAGTACAATGAATCACCTGGTATATTTATAATGTTGTATGTAAGTGGGCCTGCAAAGGTGAATTCCTTGCTAAATCCAAAGACATAATGCATTTGAAACTGTTTTTGGCAGGTAGGATACAGTTTTTTTTTTTTTTCATTTATTTTTATTATACATATCTGAGGTATACAACATGCTTTGTATACATAGTGAAATGATTACTATGGTCAAACAAATGTCTGTATCCTTCACCTTCCATAGTTACTCTCTGTGTGTGTACACCTAAAATCTCTTTCAGCAAATTTTCAGTACACAATATTATTAACTATGGTTCTCATGCTGTGTATTAATTTGATCTCTAGAATTATTCATCTTACCTAACTGCAGATTTGTACCCTCTGACCCACTTCTGCCCATCCTACCCATCCCCTACCTCCAGACCCTTGATAACCACCATTCTACTCTCTATACATTCAGTTTCTCACCCCGCTGCCTCCCATTCTGCTTCTTAAGTGAGATCATACAGTATTTTTCTGTGTCTGGCTTACTTTATTTAGCATACTTTCCTCCCAGTTCATCCATGTTGTCACAAATGGCAGTATCTCCTTTCTTAAAGCTAACTATCCCATTGTATAAAGTCCTCATTGTCATCAGTAAGTTCTTAGAAACTGTGGTTAAGAGGCGAAAAAAAAGTATGACAAAACTGATTTTTTTTTCATTTTGCATTATGCCAAAATTAGATTGAAGGAAACAGTGTTACTTGAGGACCTGCTGTATGTTCATTTAGCTTAACGTCTCAGTTCCCAAGAACCTATTGATGACATTAAGGGAGGACTTAATATATGTGTATACACACGTCACAATTTCTTTATCCATTCATCTGTCCTTGAATGGGTAAGTAAATTGTCCATTAGGACACTTAGTTTGTTTCCATATCTTGGCTATTGGGAGTAATGCCGCCATGAACGTGGGAGTGCAGATGTCTCTCTCAGATGCTGATTTTATTACCTTTGAATATATGCCCAACAGGGGCATTGTTGGATCTTATGGTAGTTGTATTTTTTTTAAGGAAACTCTATACTGTTTTCAATAATGGCTATACTAATTTACATTCCTATCAACCATGTACAAAGGTTTCATTTTCTACACATCCTCACCAACACTTATGTCTTTGCCTTTTTGTTAATAGTCATTCTAAGAGACACGAGATGATATCTATTGTGGTTTTAATTTTCATTTTCCTCATGATTATGATGTTGAGCATCTTTTCATATACCATTTGACCATTTGTGTGACTTTGGAAAAATGGCTATTCAGGTCCTTGCCTATTTTAAAATCCAGTTATTTGGGGTTTTTTTTTTGCTACTGAGTTGTGTGAGTTCCTTATATGTTTTGGATTTTAACGCCTTATCAGATGTGTGGTTTGCCAATATTTTCCCCTAATCCCTGTGCTACCTTTTTACCCCGTTTGGTTTTTTTTTATTGCTATGCAGAAGCTTATTTGCTTGATGTAGTCCCACTTGCTTAATTTTGCTTTTGCTACCTGAGCTTTTGGTGTGATATCCAAAAAATCATTGTCAAGGAGGATATTAAGGAGTTTTTCTCCTATATTTCCTTCTAGGAGTTTTATGGTTTCAGGTGTTAGGTATTTAATCTATTTTGAGTTGCTTTTTATGTATGATGTGTAAGACAGGCATCAGGTCCAGTTTCATTCTTTTGCATATAGATATCTAGTTTTCTTACCACTACTTATTGAAGACACCATCTTTTCCCTATTGTATCTTATTGGACTTGTCAAAAATTAGCTCATAATATATGTTTGGGTTTATTTTTGGGCTCTGTATTCAGTTCCATTGATCCATGTGTCTGCTTTTATGCCAGTACCATACGTTTTGATAACTATCACTTTGTAATATAAGTTGAAATCAGGTAGTGTGATACCTTCTACTTTGTTTTTCTTTCTCAAGATTCTTTTGGCTATTCAGGGTCTTTTATGATTTAATACAAATTTTAGAATTGTGTTTTCTATTTTTGTGAAAAATGCCTTTGGAAATTTGATAGGGATTGCATTGAATCTCTAGATCACTTTGGATAGTATGGACATTTTAACAATTTTCTTCCAATCCACAAACTTGGGGATATCGTTATATTTATTTGTGTCTTTAGTTTTTTTCTGTTTTTTGAGACAGAGTCACGCTGTGTTGCCCAGGCAGAAGTGCAGTGGTGTGATCTCAGCTCACTGCAACCTCCGCCGCCTCCTGGGTTCAAGCAATTCTGCTGCCTCAGCCCCCCAAGTAGCTGGGATTACAGGTGCCTGCCATCATGCCCGCCTGGCCAATTTTTGTATTTTTAGTAGAGACAGGGTTTCGCCATGTTGGCCAGGCTGGTCTTGAACTCCTGACTTCAGGTGATCTACCCGCCTTGGCCTCCCAAAATGCTGGGATTACAGGTGTGAGCCACCATGCCCGGCTGTGTGTCTTCAGTTTACTTTGTCAGTATTTTATAGTGTTTAGTATATAAAGTTTTCACTTCCTTCATTAAATTTGTTCCTCAGTGTTTTATTCTTTTTGATGTTATTTTAAGTGGAAATGTTTTCTTGATTTTTTTTCAGATCATTATTTGTATAAAGAAATGCATCTGATTTTTGTATATTGATTTTGTATCCTGCTACTTGACTGAATTCATTTATTCTAGTAACTGTGGAATTTTTAGGGGTTTCTACATACAGGATCATGTCATCTGCACACAGGGATAATTTTACCCCCTTTTTTCTGCTGCCTTTTATTTCCTTTTCTTATGTGATTGCTCTGGCTAGGACTATGGTGAATATAAGTGTTAAGAGTAGGCATCCTTGCCTTGTAGCAGATATTGAAGAAAAGCTTTCAGTCTTTCCCTGTTGTAGGTTTGTTTTTGAATAGGCAATACCTGTGCATGATACAAGAAATACAAAGGTCTTAAAAAGAGTGAACAATGTTAAGTTAGCCTACCTTTTGGCCATCCCTTCCTTGGAAAGAACCAGTGTTTTCTTATAACTTTCCAGAGATTAGTCATCTAGATACAAGTATGTATATATGGGAGAATTTCTCATATTTGGGTGATAACGGTCTTTTTCTCTTTTTCTTTTCTTTTCTTTTCTTTCTGTCTTTCTTTCTGTCCTCGTCTCGTCTCTTCTCTTCTCTTTTCTTCGTTTCTTTTGATGGAGTCTTGCTTTGTCGCCCAGGCTGGAGTGTAGTGGCGCAATCTCGGCTCACTGCAAGCTCTGCCTCCCAAGTTCACGCCATTCTCTTGCCTCAGCCTCTGGAGTAGCTGGGACTACAGGCACCCGCCACCACGCCCGGCTAATTTTTTGTATTTTTAGTAGAGACAGGTTTTCACCGTGTTAGCCAGGATGGTCTCTATCTCCTGACCTCGTGATCCACCCGCCTCAGCCTCCCAAAGTGCTGGAGAGGCATGAGCCACCGTGCCTGGCCGATAACAGTCTTTTTCTTTATTTCAGCCTGTGGGAATCAGAAGGCCCTTGTGAAGATGTTGGTTAGAAGAGACTTTAGCCTACAGTGATACCACTTGTGTTAGGGCACTGTATGTGCTACTTTATGCCATTTGTCTCAACATGTATGCTTACTGGTGTCACTGTGAACCTCATCAATAAAAGTGCTCTCTTGGTTTTTACTGTCCTTGTGTGCATTGTTTCAGGTGAAAGGTGGCCTTTGTGCTAGATCCAGTGCTATCCTTGGCCACAAACCATTACATATGATTAACTTGGGGATTTCCTCTTCATCATCCTGGAGATCATCTTCTGTTCTCTCCTGTGTTACATGTGTTTTCTGCAATTTCATGAATTTCTCTTTATTTCTTCCCTCAATTTGGGTGGAACGTATCTTCCATAGCTCCCTGACAGAGAATGTGTGGAAGGTAAGTTTTGAGCATTATATACTTCTGAAAATGTCTTTATTTTACCTTCCTACCTGACTCATCTTTTCCAGGTTGGAAATACATTTTCATTTATCATTTTTAGTCAATTGATCCACTGTCTTTTAGTTTCTAGTATATGAAGAACTCGGTTTTTTCTATGTGACCTGTGTTTTCTTGGAAGCTCTTAAGATTTTAGGAAATTCTTTGTCCTCAGTGTTCTAAAATTTCATGAGGATAACGTCTGTTTTTGTCTATTTTTGATATTTAAAATCTGTTTCGTTAGGCACTGAGTGGTCTCTTTCAGTCTGCTGTCTTATATCCTTCAGTGGTAGGAAATGTTCTTGAACTATATTATTGATAACAATTCCCTCTCTTTTTCCAGAATTC